>NC_000007.14:43270545-43573575 GCF_000001405.40 Homo sapiens | reverse complement strand
TATATATATGAAAAAGATAGATTCACTTATTTTTAGAAGCTAGGTCTTTCAAGTGCTGTAAGCTGCCAACATTCTCATTCGTGTTAAATACTTACAGGCTTCAAGGGACTTGTTTTAGCAAACAAACAAACAAAAAAGTAGGCCGAGCATGGTAGCTCATGCTTGTAATCCCAACACTTTGGGAGGCTGAGGTGGGCAGATGGCTTGAGCTCAGGAGTTCGAGACCGGCCTGGTCAACATGGTGAAATCCTGTCTCTACTACAACTACAAAATAATTAGCTGGGCGTGGTGGTGGGCGTCTGTAATCCCAGCTACTCGGGAGGCTGAGGCAGGAGAATTGCTCTAACCCAGGAGGCGGAGGTTGCAGTGAGTGGAGATCACACCACTGCACTCCAGCTTGGGCGACAGAGTAAGACTCTGTCTCAAAAAAAAAAAAAAAGTAAAAAGAAACTGTTCTTCTCAAACCTGCCTTTTCATGGTTTATAATCTTTCATCCCTGATTCATATATTTGAATCTTTCTTCATCGACTTGGACATTTAAAAGTAGTTATGTTGTGGCTTTTTTAGAATGCAGTACTATTTCAAGTTCCATTGGCTCATTCCATCTGTGGATTTTCTTTCCTAGTAATGGAGTTCCTTATATATTTTATACTTTTTTGATGATGAGCTCCTATTTTAACTGTAACTTTGTATTTTTAAATGTTTCAAATAGGGTCTGAGTTGGGAAAGAATCTCTATGATGTGGTTTCTAAATGGCCTCTGCCCTGACTACAGAGCTTGTTGATTGGGAGACAAATTTCTGGCTTAATTTCTCAATGGAGCTTGGGGGTTCTGAAGCATTTGGATGACGTGAATTTGTGTTCTGCACTGTCATGAGCCATGAGTCAGGATTCAGGATCTGTGGTTCACACCACTTCCTCCATCAAACAACTTATTGCCTGCTCTGTGCCAGCAGAGGAGGTTTTTACAACCCAGTCATGAAGAAGTCAGCACTTTCCCAATTTCAGGTTCAATGCCAAGAGTTCATTTTCAGTTCCTTGCTCTATAAGAAGACTGAGGGCTCAAGTCCTGACCCAGAAGAAAACCCATGTCCTTAAAGTGTTTAACCAATTCTTACTAACCACTGTAGCTGTAGGTTTCTTTTTATTGCTAGCTTCTTAGCTTCACTGTATATTACATTAAAAACAATATATATATATATTTTTTTTTTTTTTTTGAGATGGAGTCTTGCTGTCACCCAGGCTGCAGTGCAGTGGCACAATCTCAGCTCGCTGCAGCCTCTGCCTCCTGGGTTCCAGTGATTCTCCTGCCTCAGTCTCCTGGGTAGCTGGGATTACAGGCACACACCACCATGCCTGGCTAATTTTTGCATTTTTAGTAGAGACGGGGTTTCGCCATGTTGGCCAGGCTGGTCTCGAACTCCTGACCTCAGGCAATCCGCCCGCCTTGGCCTCCCAAAGTGCTGGGATTACAGGCGTGAGCCACCACGCCCGGCTTTTTTTTTTTTTTTTCTTTTTTTGAGACAGAGTCTCGCACTGTCGCCCAGGCTGGAGTGCAATGGCGCAATCTTGGCTCACTGCAACCTCCACCTACTGGGTTCATGTGATTCTCCTGCTTCAGTAATTAAGTAGCTTGGATTACAGGCACATACCACCACACCTGGCTAATTTTTTGTATTTTTAGTAGAGTCGGGGTTTCACTATGCTGGCCAGACTGATCTGGAACTCCTGACCTCATGATCAGCCCGCCTCAGGATCCCAAAGTGCAGGGATTACAGGCGTGGGCCACCATCTTTTTACATTTCGAGCATGAGGGTGGTGGTTGTTTTCAAGTCAGCTTAGTGCTCCATCTTAATTGGAAGTCTGCTATTGTTTGCTTGTTTTTTTGTTTTGGTTTATTTTTCAGTCAATTCAGCTGTCTTTTTATGTATTTTGCTTCTATTTCTCAGGGGTCATGTCTTCTGGCTAGCTATTCAGAATGCCAATTAGAAAATACATATTTTTTTTGAGCCAGAGTCTTGCTCTGTTGCCCAGGCTGGAGTGCAGTGGCATGATCATAGCTCACTGCAGCTTTGAACTCCCAGGCTCAAGGGATCCTCCCACCTCAGTCTCCTGAGTAGCTGGGACTATAGATGTGTACCACTGCATCTGGCTAATTAATTATTATTTTTTTTTTTTAGGAGAGATATGGTCTTGCTATGTTGCCCAGGCTGGTCTTGAACTCCTGGCCTCAAGCAGTCCTCTTGCCTTGGCCTCCCAAAGTGCTAGGACCACAGGCATGAGCCGCTGCACCTGGCCCAATTAGAAATTTTTTAATAATTTCAATTGTTGCCAGTAGTGAGTCATCTTCAGGGATGAACTCTTCCTTTGAGTCTTCAGGGTGCTGTTTCTTTTTCTTGTTCTGTGATGTTTGTCATAGTTTCCAGAATTATTTGTCCTTCAGTGAGTAAATTAGACCTAGCTTTTGCTAAGGAACTGTGTGTCTGTGTGTGTGTGTGTGTGTGTGTGTGTGTGTTTTGGTTCAACCCTCTGTTCATTTGGACACCTGGACTCCTACATCTGGACAGCAGGTAGGTGAGCACAGACCAACTGGAGAATCTGGTAAGTATTCATCTAAGTGAAGCTCAGTGGAACTGAGGAAGTATTGCCTTCTACCTTTACTGCTTGCTCTTCTGAAAAACTATGAAAACTACAAGCCACCGCAGGCTTGACCAGAAATGCTTCAGTTTCAAAGGCATTTGCATTTGCTGTCGCCTTTGACCAAGCCACTCTTCCTCCAGAGAGTGTCAACGCTCATTCTCTCATCTCTTAAGATTTTGCCCAAACATCATCTTTTGTCAGCACCTTCCCTAAAAATTCTTTTTATATTTCTAATCCCTTCTATTTCAACCCTCTTCATTTCCTTTCTCTTCCTTTCCTCTCCTTTTTCCCCGTCACACTTACCACCTCTCAACATACTCTATTATGTACTTACTTATTCTTTGTTTTGTTTACTGATGCAACACCAGTGCCTAAAACAATGCCCAGCACAGTGCTGATGTTCAATAAACATTTATTGATAAATTGAATAAATAAGTGCTTTGCCACTAGGGTTCTTCTTTCTCCTACCCTCCCCTACAGAATTTGTGTATGGGGGCTTCATCTTTTGGAATATGCGATACAGGATAATTTTCCTTTAGTTCCTGCTGTCTACATAGGAGTTCTAATCCAGGATAAACATAGAGTGTTACTGATGATGGGGTGGAAAGAGTATCTAAGAACAGTTTAGTGTCTGACCTGAATGAACGAAGTCACCTCCAGATCCACCAGTAAGATGCAATTTTGAACCATAACTTGGCCTTTGATATTTTAAAACTCTTGATACATATCATCAAATTATATTCAGAAAAGTTATGCCAACATGCCAATTTCTCTTTTCTCTGCAGTCTCATTATTAATTAATTAATTAATTATTATTTTTTTGAGACAAGGTCTCACTATGTTGACTAGGCTGGTCTCAAGCTCCGAGCCTCAAGCAGTCCTCCTGCCTTAGCCTCCTGAGTAGTTGGGATTTGTGAGCCACCAGACTTGGCCATTGTCAATTGAAACTAAAGAGTAGCTACCATGCATAGTGAATGCTCTCCTAAGGGTAAACGGTCAGTGTTTCTTCTCAAAAGTTATCCTAAAAAGGAAAGAATGCTGAATGGTCTTTGAATCAATTATCTATTGCCACAAAAAAGTACAGTGATCACAAAATATCACTGGTGTTTAACCATGCACTTTTAGTGTTGATGTCTCCGGGGTCAGCTGGAGGTTGGCCGGGTGGCTCTAATGATCCTGGCTGGGTTTGCTCAAGTACCTGGTGGTCAGCTGGCTGTTGGTTGATCTAGCCTGGCTCGGTTTGGCCCCTGACATCTCTCATTCTCCTCTTATTCCAGGCCTGCTCTCATGGTGATAGCACAGCAACAAGAGAGAGAGGTCAAGCTCAGCCGTGCAAGTACTTTACATGCCTCTGCTTGTGTTATGCTGGGTGGGTGGTTCAGGGAATGACTCAGAATGACCAACCACAGATGGAGGTGACTGCAAAGTTACAGGGTAAAGGATGTGACTTCAGGGGGGCTGAAGAATTGAGGCCCTTTTATGTGATCCACCACAATCTTAGAAGAGAGTTATTTCCCGTTGTCGTTTAATTTTTCCTACTGAAAGAATAAGGTTGGAAAAAGGGAAGAAGCTCTTTTTATGAGTGAATATAAAATTCTGGACAGGATAAAAGCCAGGACCCCATTTTTATTACATTTAAAAAGTAATAGGGATTATGTAACAACTGTGTAAGAAAAACAGAAAACTCTATAGGATGTACTCTTTGGAATAAAATGGAAAGAAATACAAGTTCTTGGGCATATATAACTTGCCCAATTATTTGAACAAATTAATTCTAATCTGAATAAGTTTTAATGCTAATTCAATCAGAAGTTCCAGACATTAAAAAGAAATCTCTTTGTAGCTGTATTCTCCCAGCTTTTAAAGATATGAAGGTTCTTAGGCTGATTGAATCACCTCTGCTCATTTCTTTGTTTACTGTTTCAGAAAAAAATATTTCCCTCTTTCTGGTATAATACATTTAAATTATTTTTCCCATTTTTATACATGCTCAAATTCTGTCTCCGAGTTCATTCCTGCCCATGCTTCCTCACCAGCAGAGACAATTGCTCCTGTTGCCTTTTCCTGTAGCACGTTGCTTATTATTTTTTAATGGCGTCATATTGTACTCAGGAGCCAGGTTTGGCGAGCTGGGTTGGGGAGACTACTCACACTGGAATCGGGCCAAATCTCAACTGGAGGAGAATAATGCATTATTATATTGTTAGATCATGAGCTCCCTGAGGGCAAAGACTGCCACTGGCCCCTGTGTCTGGCACAAGACCCAACACGTAACAAGTATTCAATAAGTGGTTACTTGAATGAGGTGGTGTGTGGTTGAGTGCTTGGGCCCTGGAGCTGGCTCCTTGTTCTCAAATCTTGGCTATGTCGTTTACTAACTGTGTGTCTTTGGGCAAGTTAGTTCACTTCTTTGTACTTTTTTTCTTTTTCAGCTTAAAAGAGGGATATAAAGGTAGCTATTTCATAAGATGATACATAAAAGGCATGTCAGAATTTATGATTGTTACTATTACTGCTGGAGGCTCTTAAGGTGGCAGGAAGGAGGATGTTACAGATTGAATCATGTCCTCCAAAGAAGATATACTGGAGCTCTAACTCCACCCAGTACCTCAAATATGATTCTATTTCCTTATTTGGAGGTAAGGTCTTTACAGAACTAATCAAGTTAAAGTGAGGTCATTAGCGTTAGCCCTAATCCAATATGATGTTGTCCTCATAAAAAGGAAAAGTGTAGACACACACACACACACACACACACACACACACACACACACAGTCATACAAAGATGAAGGCAGAGATCTACAAGCCAAGGAATGCCAAATACTGCAAGAAAACCACTGGAAACTAGGAGAGCGGGGTGGAATAGATGCTTTCCCACAACCCTGAGAAGGAACCAGCCCCCGACACCTTCATAGCAAACTGCTAGCCTTCTTTAAGCCACCCAACTTGGGGTTCTTTGTTCTGGCAGCCCTAGCAAACTTGCACAGAGGGGCCGTGGGAACCAGCAGCCCACATCCTTCTTTGGTGACTGCACACTGACCTTGGATTCCTGGCATCCAGTTGTACTCTTTCAGGTTCCATCTCTTCTGCATACCTCATGCTCCTGGCACATTTTTGAATGGTTATGCCAGGTCCAGAGCCCAGGACCCCACAGGATATTTTGTGATAAGGCGGTAGCCTTCAAGGTAAAACTCAGTGGCCTTGACATCAACTATTCTGTTCTCAGATCTCCAAGGTAAACCTGTTGGACAAAAGTGTCTAAGCCTATTCCCAGCCATAAATGTGATATGTAATTCCTGCAGCACTGATAAAGGTTGGCCTGATCCTCCATAACTCCCTTCACTTATTCTGTTAGAGAGCCATCCTCTATAAACACATCTAAACCATGTCTGGAGTACAAGCTATGTGTGTCACTTTTCCCTTTACAGTATATAATTAGTGAGCTGTCAGCACATTAATTGGAAAAGTATGGCCATAGAAATCAGGAGACCTGGCCGAGTGCGGTGTCTCAACCTGTAATCCCAGCACTTTGGGAAGCCAAGGCAGGTGGATCACTCGAGGCCAGGAGTTTGAGACCAGCCTGACCAACATGGTGAAACCCCATTTCTACTAAAAATACAAAAATTAGCTGGGCATGGTGGTGCACACCTGTAATTCCAGATACTTGGGAGGCTGAGACAGGAGAATTGCTTGAAACCGGGAGGTGGAGGCTGCAGTGAGCCGAGATCACGCCATTGCACTCTGGCCTGGGCAACAACAGTGAAACTCAGTCTCAAAATAAATAAATAAATAAAAATAAAAAAGAAATCAGGAGACCTGAAGTCCAATCTTGATTTCAGAGTAAGATTAAAGCAGAATACTATAATCTATGCCTCACTATAAATGATGATCTAGTCCAGATTTTCTCTTTATGACTTAGAAGAAAAGTGATTTTCAGTTAGAATAAATCTGAAGTCAGCCCAGCACGTGTGGAAAAATGCAATATTGGCCGGGCATGGTGGCTCATGTCTGTAATTCCAGTACTTTGGGAGGCCAAGGTGGGTGGATCACCTAAGGTCGGGAGTTCGAGACTAGCCTGACCAACATAGAGAAAACCTGTCTCTACTAAAAATACAAAATTAGCCGAGCGTGGTGGCGCATGCCTGTAATCCCAGCTACTCAGGAGGCTGAGGCAGGAGAATTGCTTGAACCCGGGAGGCAGAGGTTGCAGTGAGCCAAGATTGCACCATTGCACTCCAGCCTGGCCAACAAGAGCAAAGCTCTGTCTCAAAATAATAATAATAATAATAATAATAATAATAATAATAATAATAATAATAAAAGAAAAATGCCATATCAAGATGACTCTCTGTCTCCAAATCAGTCCGTCAGGTTTTTCCTTCTCCCAGTCCTCCCCACACTTTTTTCTAATAATAGAATATTTTCTCTTTAAAGAATAAATCAGCTTCCAACCACCCAGTAAGAGCCACATGGTTTGTCTTTTAGAGGCTTGGAAGGAGATCATGCTGTTTCCATCTTGGGAGTTTGTGATACGAGCCATAGGACACAATATGTTTGCCTAGTGGTGACCGTTGTCCTGGGATGACACTGGGTGTTAGGCAGTAGCCTGAAGCTTTCATAGAAGCATCTCCATAGCTAGGAATTTATATAAACCAGTGCACAACTGGTTTACATAAAGGGCACTAAAAAAAATGCTGCCCGTGTGGTTTGTGTAGGGTTCTTACAGCCATACACAAGGAACTTGTTACAAAAGCTCTCCTCTCTATTCATGGATATGTGAGCACATATTATGCTTTTTTGGGACTTTAAAAAAATCAGAGCAGCTGGTAACCTTCTGTGTTGTTTTATTGCTTACATCCAGCGAGAGAGTAAGGCAGGATACAGATTGTTATGTGTTGTCCTAGACTTCCGTTTGCAATAAGGAGCATACACAATGCCATACCAAAGTGAGTTTATTGACATTCCTTGAAGATGGTGTGATGGAAGAGAAAGCGCGGCCTGAGTATCACGTGACATTTCTCTTGCTGATGTAAGCAAAATCAGCCCAATAACGTGGACTTCTCCTGCTATTGACTAGAACAGACTTTTGAACAAAATTGTTGTAGACATTTCCTTGGATAAATTGGAAGCTGCAGGAAGTAGGCTAAAGGAACAATATTTACTCTATATACTACCTCTAGGCACCTTTTTTCCTACTAGAACAAAGGGACTACATGTCACTAACAGGAAAATAACACTTTCTCTTTTCTTTTGGACCTTATGATGGCTGGAACATCCATCCCAGATTTTTATGATATAGTATTGCGGTAGTTTTAATAATGAACACTGAAGTACGTAATAATAATAATAATAAAAATAATAATAATAATAATAATAAAGCACCACATTTGTTATGTAAAGTTCTAACTACTTTCATTTGAAAGTGTTTCATCTTGACTGGGAAAATATTTGTGGCAACTGAGAAATTTCCGAACCCAAATTTTGGACACATGGTTTGACACATGGACTGAAAATATGATGGATGTAATATTAAAACTACCCTGGAAAACTCAGCCATTGGCTTGCCACACAAATATACTTACTGTTCAAGGACATATGGTCATGTATTAAAAGAAAATTTAGATCTTGCATGTTTAACGCCTGCTCCCCCAAATCATATGTCTCTTTTTCTTAATTTTTTCACCACTCTCTCGGCATCTTCACAACCTCCACTCATTTATATACATAGGAAATTACAAAGAGTTCAGTAGATTTAGAATACTTCTCCTGACCTCACAGAATCAATTTCCATTTTTAGGATTATCATCTTCACACTGTAGAATAAAACATTTGTGATATCCATGAAATTATTATAACACTTTATAGAATTTTAAAAGCATTTTTCAAAGTTGTAACATAAATCTTCTCTTATTTATTGTTCTTGTTTGTCCCCTGATTAAAGGCGTTACACTCTTACTAAAATCAATTGTTTTAGGGAGATTGTGGCTTATAAATTTATAAGTGATTAATTTTGCAATTTGCCTCCATGGAGAAAACTCATGCTTAAAAAAAAATTACAGGTGGTAACAAATAGATCTGTCTTTCTGCCGAACTATATAATTTAAGGTGGTTTATACCTCCACCTAAGTGAAATTTAGTTCTATAGCTATTTCATTTCATATACATATTGAATGAAAAATTATATATAATTTAAAAATCAGCCTTATAAATAAGGTAAACATGAATTTCCATAACTTGTTTCTGTGTTCCTCTTCTCTTTGTTTTTCTTCCTTAAGGATTCTATGCAAGGTTGCAATAAAATATTACAAGCTTCATCTTCTTTCAGGTGACCGTGACATCAGCATTTCTTCATGAAATTTTGCACTTTTGTGAAAGAATGTTCCTGTTATGCTTTGTGGGATAGATCTATAGCTGTGACATCAGTAGTACTGGTGGATAAGGAAACGGTAGTTGAAAAATCATGTATGCCAAAGTTACCTATCTATATATAATTTCTGAGATACTGCATTCCTTTTGTATATGGGTAGATTAGATATTAATTAATCTAATTAATAGATTAATTAGTAATTTATATAAATTGCAAAGCTCTCCAGGAGCTGGTCCATCTTGTAAACAGCTTTCTCCTTTTCCAATGCCTGACAAATAATGTGAGTACTAGAAAGAGAGTGCTTGAATTAATGAGTATTTACATATATATAACACCAAGTTCTAAAGATAAAAGATGCCCCTATATTAGAGATGTTGTTGCAAGAGTTAGAATAAGGTTATGGTTCAATGATTTGCATAGTCCTTATGCTCTGATTTCATAAATAAAACAATAGCTCCATTGGAATCCATTATTTTTCAGATGCTGAACGTGTACTGAATTTTACATATCCCTCAAATTCTATATCATATAACTTACAGATTCCATCCTGTCTCAGTAAATATTCTTTTTAGACAATAAAAGTCTAAATTTCTATAATGTATACTCCTTGATTGACAACGGACACATCGCTGCAAGGGGTGCTGGGCATTGTAGATAATTCCTACTAAAAAAATGCTTTTATTTTTATTTATTTTTTTTTTAGATGGTGTCTCCCTTGATCATCCAGGCTGGAGTGCAGTGGCACAGTCTTGGCTCACTGCAACCTCTGCTTCTCAGGTTTGAGCGATTCTCCTTCCTCAGCCTCCCAAGTAGCTGGGACTACCGGCATGTGCCATCACGCCCGGCTAATTTTTGTATTTTTAGTAGAGATGGGGTTTCACCATGTTGGCCAGGCTTGTCTTGAACTCCTGACCTCAAGCGATCTCCCCACCTCGGCCTCCCAAAGTGCTGGGATTACAGGCATGAGCCACCGCTCCTGGCCGGAATGCTTTAGAGTGTAGGAACACAAATAACACACTGTCCAGACACAAACTGGTATAATGAGCCATTGGCTTCATATGAAATTCACTTCGTCTTACATTTCTCCCTTGTTTTAATATGGAAAACAATTAAATGACATTTAAATAGTGGGGTCTCTTGAGCTCTTCTTTTTCCCAGTGAAGAAAAACACTTTCATTTATGACCTATTTCAGGCAACATGGATAACAACGTTAGAAAAATAGCAAATGACCATTATGGTTGGGTTTATTTCAAATGTAGTTGAGAGGTTAGGCTGTCTTTGGAGCCTGCAGCTGTTTTTCTGACAACATGAAGTTTTCTGAGATATGTTTTCACTGAATGCTAAAAGAAACTGGATATTTATTTTGATACAAATCAACGTGCCTTTGGGGTGTTATGTTTCTGCCCCAGGAGGATTACTATGGGTGAAGGAGAAGTACTATGTTGCCCTTGATCCCTAACAAGCACCATCACTCTCTGCAGCTTCCTAGTGTGGTCCCGATGGACAATCGAATGCAAAGGAACTTGAACTCCATGATTAAGAAAGGAAAAGGAAAAAAAAATGTGAAAAAAAAATATCAAAGTTTTAAAAAAAGGGTTTGTCTGCCAAGCAAACAAAAGTCATGGCTTTAACAAAAGTCATGGTATCATCTACACATTTTTTTTTCCTTTGTGAAGAACTGTGGCTAGACTAAACAAAACAGAACAGTACAGAACTCAGGGATTCAAACCAAGGTAATATGTCCTTCTTCCCTTTCTCCAGTTGGCATTGCCACATTCTACATAAGACAATGGGGGCTGAAGCCTCATCCTTCATGCTACCTCAATCAAGAAGCTTTCTTTCTTGGACATGTGCACAAGTTTGTCCTTCTTGTGGTGTGAGTATTCACTAGGGATGCTCCCCCTCCTAAACTTCTCTTGAGTTGAGCCCACAATCCCCACAACCATTGGGATGCATTGCATTGCATCAGCAGCAGGTGTTTTCTTGCTGTTGTTAATCGTTAGAAGTGTCATATTTGCACCGTATGTCTAGGCTAGTTCCGGCTGATGGGACTGATGCCACATGTGAATCATGAGTTGAATGTATAAAAATTTCAGCTTTGCCACTGTTGTCCTTTGGATGGATATTATGCACAGGGAAAAGTAGATGGAGAGGAAAACAAAGAGTTGATCAGCTCCTAGTTCTGGAGTTGGTTATTAGAAATTATAAAAAATGGTGGCTCTGCTCAGAAGACATGGGCATATGAAAGCCTGGAGTGCTTAATGCTCACATTTTCCCTTCAATGATAGAAATGGAAGTAAACATTTATTACCATTTGGTCAAGTGTAGCTTAACTTGCATTCATATTTCATTGTTAGTAATGGAGGTATGTGGAGATATACACAGACCTTGAGACAGCTGTTTTTTAATATTGCATACAGGCTAGCAGTTCATTGAAAACAGAGGAGAGAAGCCTGAAGGTTAGATCTTAGAAGAAGGCAGTTCTTCATGCACAGCTTTTGTCAATCCTGATTTGGTTTGAAAATAAAAATCATGGAATACCAAAATCAAAGGAGAGTTGATTAAGGGAAAGGGAAAAGGGGATCATCCCAGGAAGGGTGATGTCACTGGCCAGGAAAATGTCAGGCGAGGTTCCATGTCCTCACTCAAGTCCAAAGGTGCTGGTTTCCTCTACTGCTGTTAACAGCTTTTCATACAACATGGAGTACGAGGGATACGGTGGAAGATCCAGTCGGTTGAAGCATGTGTGTGCCCTGAATGGGGAGAAGAGATTGGTGAGAGTGTTTGTTTCAATGATACAACTGGTTCTGGATCTGTGACTGTCTGAAGTTGTGATTCAAAAAGGAATCAAAAGTGAGCAGGACCATGATTTAGGACCACCATAAAACATTGCACACTAAAGAGCCACATTCCTCTAGAATGAATAGACTGGTGGAAGGAATGGAATAACTAAAAATGGGTTGTTTGCATTTGCAAGCAAACCAACTACACTAGAATGACACTAGCAAACTGATTATAAACTCTATGGTATCAGCCTGATTTGCAAATGAGTTACAAATTTTGATGTGGTCAATGAAGGAGGCAGAAATATAATTAGTATTGAAGGATTATATTCCTAAGTCTTCTTGCCCAGCTCTGATTTCTGAGCCTCTGTGAACCACATGCATCTATTTAGAGGAACCTGAGATGGCCTGGAATTCTGAGATCCAGTTCTCCATTCAAGTCAAGTGTGCTCTGGAGACAAGTCTGACTCCTCTACCCCAGTAGAACCCACAGAACCTAAAGTCGAAGTGCTGCATTTCCAAGAAAAGCTGCCCGTGTGAGCCAGTCCTCTCTGGATGCCTGGAGTGTCCTGGCGCCCGGGGTTCTAGCTTGCTTCATGTGCTTCCTCCTGCATGGCCAGTGTCTGCCTTAGACAAGGAATGTCTTCCTCGCCAGAGGCTAACACCTGGACCTGGAAGACTCATGTGGCTCTCCAGCAGTGGGTACAAGAAGCCCAGCACACATAGATTCCCTGCTGTGGAGCCTTGAATCACCTGACTAGCTGCTCCCTGCCAGAAGTTCTTTGTTTTTACAGAAACTTTGGCTGATGCCGAGTCCTGTACCGTAGTAGAGAGAAAGGTGGATGGGTGCAGGTGAAAGTTCATTTCCTGCCTTTTCCTCCCTAAGGGTGGTGTGTTGAAATGGTGTTTTCAGACACCAACCAGCACAGAAAAGGGCACTCTAAAATCAAACCAAATCAAATAAAATCAAATCACAAAACAAACATACAAAGAAACAAACAAAACTAAACTCTTCATTAGAGTTTTATTTGGGATATTAAACTCTTCTTTTCATTACAAGATCCCTAGGGGACTTGTGTATTATTTACACCTTTGTTTTAAAGTATATAAATCAGAGTATCAGATCACTGCCCAGGCTGATGCAGCACTCAGGTTACGGGGGGAGATTATTTTGGGAATAAGGAAGATGGGAAGAGGAAAGAGGGAAGGTGGGGTTTCCTGCCCATCGAGAATCTAGGGAGGATGCTGGTGTTTTCATCTGCCCAGCACCCATTCCTCCTCCTGGCAGTCCTTGGGGAACTATCCCTAACCCCTACCTCCCTCCTCCCTGTCCCTTTCCCCGCTCAAGCTCCAAAGGCAGGCACAGGGCAGTAGAGTGTCTGGTCTTAGGCCTTAAAGACATAACTGGGAAGAAACATACGAATACAGATTGGCAGAATTCTTAAATTATTATCTAAGATTCAAACAGGCCTTCCTTTACTTTAAAAGAAAATAATTGAAATACTTTACCTAGATGTAAATATTTGAGTGAAAGGGAACTCAGTAAATTGAGTAGGATGGTTACAGTGATTTCTCTCTATGTTAAAAAGATTGCAATGAAACTAGAACATACATTGGGCTATGGCTAAACAGGCGAAGTGGGGTGAAAAATCCCAAGCATGCTTTTGGAACTAGCTGAATTAGCCAGGGGCGAGATAGGAGCAGGCATCATCTTCATAGTTTTCTTCCTCTGGTCATTTTAACTGGCACTCATGAGTGGAAATATTACAGAAAAAAAATCACCTTTACAAATTAGTTGGAACCAAATTAATTCTGTAAAAGATCATTTCTGGGAGTAAACAGAAAGCATTGACGAATAGCACCTAGTCTGAACACTCATGGTTTACTTACTAGTTGCTTTTATTGCATTTATTTAGAGCCTTGGTGAACTCCCTTAGTTTGTCATCTAGAATGAACGAACACAATCAAATCATGATCCAATTCAGCATTCCTAAGAGCTCACCACCCTCCAGGTGTGGTTCTGACAGCACCGAGTGCCTGCTTACCTCATTCCCGTGCACCAAACCAAGCATTGCCCGGTGGTGTGGGGCAGTGGACAGCAAGAAACCAGGGCTTGGAAGACTTCTATGCTGACCCCGGTCTAGTCACTTACCAGCTTTATGACACTGGAAAAGTCAATTAATCTTCCTGAGCCTCAGTTTTCTCACTTGTAAAGTGGGGATAATAATATATGCTGCGTGCACCTCAAAGGGTTATGGGGAGGATCAACGCCAGAACACACATAAATGCGTTTTGTAACCTGTGAATCATCATTTAAACATAAGATTCTCTTAATAATGCAACCATGATTGTGATAATGATTTGGGGAACCGTGTCATACTTGTGGCAACTGAAGCCTCTGGAGTTTTGCACGTGACCTACTGGCAGGTGACTCACTCTCTTCTCACACTTGGTGCGATGGATGTTTTGGAGATCTGCACGGGTCTTTAAGTTGTGTCGAATTCCATGCCATTGGTGTCAAGCTAGGGTTCCAGCATTTTGAGATAATTTTGGATTGGGTTGTGCCAATCCCTGTATTGTTTATCCTTCTAACTGTGTCATCTACACAGTTGATCTCCCCGTCTCCTCTATTTTTCCAAGTTATAGATTGAAATGTTAACCAACACAGGGCCAAAGAAAGTCTTGCTCCTCTCTACTAGAGACCACTTTAAGGTTGTCTAGAAACACACAAAAGTGGCAGCAGTCACTCCTCTTTGCTGCCAATTGTTCAGCCGGTTATGTAAGTTGTGTCTTCCCTTCATGCCAATCTTCTTCCACTGCCTAACTACAGCCTTGTTCTCTTCAGATAGGCCTTGCTCTCTTTCCTTCTAAATTTACTCTTTTTCAAGTTTGCCAATAACCTCTTGATCCCTAAATCCAGAAGCCCATACCGCTCCACCTGCTCCAGCTCTTTAAAAGCATTTGACAGCTCTTCCTCTGGAACATCTCCCTCCTTGGCTTCTCCTTGGTTTCTCAATGGCTGCCATTTTCTCTGCTGAGCTCCCTGATGGCACCCTCAGGCCTCCTTTGTAGGTCCTCTTCTGGCCTTAGGTACTAGAGAGCAGCATTTCTCAGCTTGACACGATTCACTTTTCAAACTTGATAACTCTTTGTTGTGGGAGCTGTTTTGTGCATTGTGAGATGTTTAGCAGCATCCTTGGCTTCTACTCAATGGACACCAGTAGCACCCCTTCCCCTCAACCAAAAATGTCTCCAGACATTGTCAACTGCCTCTTGCGGGGGAAGAGGGGCAAAGTCGCCTTCCCCAGCCCCACTTTGAGAATCACTGCTACAGAGTAAACCAACTACTAACTTAACCAGGCCTCCAACTCCACCCTGGGTCTGGGCTTAGTTTACATCTGCAGTGAAACATGTTCATATTAGAATTTCGTTTGCAACTTTTAGGCCAGTTAATTGCTCATGACTCATAGCTTTGATATCCCTGGTCCCTGCCCCAAAGGTAAACCCAAAGATTCTCCCCTCTCCTTTATTCTATCTCCACACTGCCCAGTGCTACTTCGACTCTGACCTAGCTTCTGCCCTTCTCTTTCCTTCTGAGCCTTTCCTCTGTCCTCCTTTGAGCTCTTGTTCAAAGTAAAGAAACTTTGCCACCTCCTTAAGCTCTTTCCAGATGCTGCCTCCGGGTCCTAGTGTCCCATCTCCAGTTCTCATGGGTGGAAATTGCTCACTGCCCCACACGCTGTGACGTGGATGGACATTCTTCACACTCCCTGCTGTCAATTCCACGTCATGACTTTTGCAATCCTTGATCAGTTTCCATTCCTTTGAATCTCATGTCATTTAGATAATTTATTTTTAAAACCATAGGTTTTGGCTGGCATTTCATTTTAATGAAATAGGATAGAGCAGAAAATAGATTTTATTGCAGATAATAAGGGTAAAGTGCTGTTTTGAGGAACTTGAGTTTCAGATATACACACACATATGTGCAAATGAGTACATGTGCATGTCCTGAGTTGTGATATAAAAGGCATTTCTTTCTGTGGACTATGGTTTAAGAAGCTTGAAAATCAGTGATCCAGATAGATCTTTGGTTCCTTCTGACCCTCTGAACTTCTAACTTATTATGACTATTATCTGGCACTTTGCTGAAGTCTTCTTTTCCACTTCAAGTCCTCCTACCAGACTGTGTGGCAACTAAGTCCACATGGCTGACAGGGTGAACACCCAAGCCCCCAGTTCCTTGACCTCAACTCCAGTGACAGTCCTGCCTCTCATCTACTTCAACTATGAAATTATATCCCAGAAGCCTCTACCCTCAAAGTCCTTTCTCCTGGCCCTCACACATCTTTTAGCAGGCAGGGGCTTGGACTGACACAAAGGTTTTATGTAGCCTGGGCTATGACCGGGTTTTGCTGTGGCGGTGTCTGGCGCTCTCATCTGGGAAGCCAGTTGCCTTTCCTTTCTGCAGAGGAAGGACTTGAGGAAAGAGCTGAAGGCTGCCTCTCCCAGAGTGCAGGCCACATGCACTGTGGCTCACAGTACCTGGGAAGCCCATGCCACCCTGGGTCTGCTTTGCTTCCTGCCTGCTCAGGGCTTCCTGTCACCTGCCATAGTCAGGTCAGGTCTTCCCGAACGACAGTTTCTGGAAGTCAGAGGTTCTTTCTTTCTATCCACACATAGATGACATTTTTTTAGGTTCTTTGATCTTCAGACATTGTCCAAAGGAGATTGGACAGGGGTCACTATTCAGGGAGTTATTTTCAGTGTCCTCTTAGAGGCATTTGCTTCTTGTCCCAAGAAGAGGTCCCTACTTCCCCAAGAAACCATCTCGGGGGCTTGTGGTGCAGCAGCCCTCTTAGGGGTGCCTTGGTTCAGATATGAAGAACGTGTTCATAAGCCCAATGTCTGCCTTAGAAGCTCTCTGTGTGGGTTAATAATATTAATGTGTATTTCAAAGCTTCCAAAGCAAATATGGAAATTACATTCAATCTGTGACCCCAGATAACAGAAGCAATGACTCTCATTTCCTAAAGAATAGAGACTCCTCAGCACGGTCTTTTCTTTTTTCTTTCTTTTTTTTTTTTAATTTAATTTGAGACAAGGTCTCACTCTGTTGCCCAGCCTGGAGTGTGGTGGTGCAATCACAGTTCACTGCAGCCTCAGCCTCCTGGGCTCAAGTCATCCTCCTGCCTCAGCTTCCCAAATAGCTGGGACTACCGGTGCATGCCACCATGCCCAGCTAATTTTTTAAATTTTTTGTAGAGACGAGGTCTTGTCCTGTTGCCCAGGTTGGTCTTGAACTCTTGGGCGCAAGCTATCCGCCTGCCTTAGCCTCCCACAGTGCTAGGATTACAGGCGTGAGCCACTGCGCCCAGACAGCAGGGTCTTTTGTTTGTGGCTCACCAAACTCTTTCTCAACTGCATCCCCTGTGATGTTGCTCCGGGCATCTTACCCTCTGCACTGGCCAGCTGCACCTTCCTGAACACGTGCTGCCATTCCCCGCTCTCAGCCCTTGCTTGTGTTATTGCTTCAGCCTGGAAGCCCCCTTCTCCCTATTCCTTGCCTCCCAATCCTCCCCTAAATGCCAGTTTTTTAGTGGCATGTTCTCTAGGCAACTTGATTAGGAGGCTCTGTTTCACACTCTCGCAGCACGCTGCTCTTACCCCCTGTGCTCCTCTGATTCTACCTTGTGCTGTGATTAGTTACTATCAGGCCGTGTTCTCCCTAGATTGCAGGTTCCCACGGGCAGGTGTGTGGTTGTAGCTCAGCCCCTCCTCAAGCTGCATGCTATCATCAGTGATGACTCAAGCTGCATTTCTCTAAAATAAAAGCAAGATGTTTCCAAATAACTATATTCTTGAAATCATCATTCAACTTAACAAATGCAAATTCTGCCTTTTTAGTCTTCTTTTCTTGCCAGACTTACATTCACTAGGTTTAGCTATTGGTAGAGCCATGCAAACAACAAAGACCCTTGGAACTGAGGGTCTGCTGAACTGAGTGGGTGAAGCCAGGGCTGAAGCCTGCACCAGGGTGTTCAGCTGTGGTTAACCAGCTGGGCATGCCCATGAATGCTGACCGACACCAGGTGAATTGTCCTCGGGGAAAATCTGGGAAACCTAGGTGAAAGCTATAGTCCAGTAAATCCTTCTGCAATAAGGATTTAGCAAAGGTATTTGGGTGGCCATGTAGAAATAGAGCTGAGTTAAATGCAAAGCTTCTTTATAATTCGAACGTATCCTATTAGCAAAAGATAATAGGGGTCAATCTTTTCTTCTGTCTGTTGCAGCAGCGTTTCTCACTATAGCGCCTATGCACAACTGTCTCTTCAGTGCTTCCTGATCAGGAATGCACTACCCAGAGTGGCATAGAAAGGATTCAGGAAGTGCTGGGATTAAAACTCACAGTGCAGGGAATTTCTTCTGTAAAACTGCCTGGAGCCCCAGCGTCTCCTTTTCCACATTTATCCCACAATAGATGTGCTTTCTAAATAGAAGTCACCATAGAGACCCAGAGATACATGTATCCCCACATGTTCTAAAACTTGATAGGAAAAATCCGACACACCACAAATATATAATGATCCTATGAAGTATCAAGTGATACGCTGCAGAAGTACAGATAACGATGCTCGAGAGGTTACTTCCAGGTTCCAGCATTTTTATATTAATGTCCTTGCCTCTGCCCTCTCCTGTGTCAGACATTCATCTTTAAATTAAGTTGGGCTATGACAGCATCCCACAACTGACACATGGACCAAGATATTACAGCTCAAATACCATCAGTCATCAAAACCTCCCTAAGAATAATATAGTTTCAGTGCAAGTCTCACAGCCACCTCACCTTCACCTTTCCCTAATAACTCCAATGACAATACTTTGGGTGACAGGAAAGAATTCCATCCCAAAGGATGGTCACTCAAAATCAAATAGCAAAGTATACTTTGCCCTCTTCAGCAGGTTTCCCCGAAGGCTGGCAGGAGCTCTGTACCTGGGGAGAGAAGTAATTTTCCCCCATTTCTCTATGCAGAAGCGCCGAAGCCCATTGCTCCCACGGAGGGCTGCGAAGCCTTCGTAGGGCACGCTGGATGTTCCCGTGACAAACTGCAGTAATCTCAGCCTCTGCTCATTATTGAAGCGCTCCACCGCAGCCCAGAACCAGCGGATCACAAGATGCCCATCGTGGTAACCTGCACGAGGCAAAGGGAGGGAGGAAGACAGGATGTGGAGAAAAGAGGAAGGGGTGAGGAGGGAGAGAGAGATCAAACACATCAGGTATGATAGGAACGGAACCGCTGCTTTTGATCTGATTTCTCTTGTGATGGCCTTTAGAGAGGTCTAAAACAATTTGTGCAACCAGGTCAAGTTTTAGAACAAGAGCAGATTTAGAAAATAGTCATTTTATAAAAGGACTTTATGTTCTGTGATGTTCTCAGAGATGTCTGCTTTCTATTTAAACAACTGAGACTCCACTTAAAATGTTCCTGCCTCATATAGGTGTAGATAAGGAGTAGAAGGGCCTGGTAGAGACCAAAGGGCCTATGAATATAATATTGCATCATATTTCCTTTGTTTTGCTGTCTTAGCTCTTGGCAACCACATACCACGGGAGAGTCTAGGACTTACCAGTCTAGGCTGGAGGCGAACAGCCAGTTTCGTGAACAGGAGATCCCAGGCTCTCCCCTTGAGCAGCTGCTCTCAGGCCAGCCCTGGATGGATACATGCTGGGCCCATGGATTAAGTACTGGGTCCCTCTCACAGTAAGCTGGGGAGACCATGCTTGGATATATCAATTAAACGATTTGCCATTGACTGCAAATGCAAGAGGCATTCAGAGAGAGGAGAAATCTATGTGTGCCAAGGTAGAAGCAAGGAAAACTTCAGAAAGGAAGTGAAGCTACGAGCAGCGTGCAAAGGGCTTGTGCAAGTGGAGGGAAGAAGGAGGACATTCCTGGCAGGAAAAATAAAGAATAACAAGAAAGAGGAGGAAATATGCAGGCAACAGTAAGCCACTAGAGTAGAGGTGTGTCTGGTGAAGGCAGGAAGGAATATTTCCGGGGGGTGTTATGGGGCCTTAACAGCCAGGCAGAGACTTTTTTTTTTTTTTTTTTTTGAGACAGAATCTCGCTCTGTTGCCCAGGCTGGAGTGCAGTGGCATGATCTTGGCTCACTGCAACCTCTGCCTCCCGGGTTCAAGGGATCCTTCTATCTCAGCCTTTTGAGTAGCTGGGACTACAGGCATGTGCCACCACACCTGGCTAATTTTTGTATTTTTTTTAGAGGCAGGGTTTCACCAGGCTGGTCTCGAACTTATGAGTTCAAGCAATCTGTCTGCCTTGGTCTTCCAAAGTGCTGGGATTACAGGCATGAGTCACCATGCCCAGCTAGGCAGACAGCGGTTTTCATTCTATACCGATTTTATACTATAAGAGGCATTGCGGGGCTGAGTGTACTGGGGACATGAGGGAGGCTGAGGCGATGCCCCCAGCTCACTCTCTACTGTATTGATGGGATTTCTCTGTGATATTGTAAATGAAGAGTTGTGAGGCTAACAAAACCCTTCAAATCTATAAGTAATAAGGAACTTGTTTTGTGGGTAGGGAAGTGGCCTGATGAAAACAATGTTTCAGGAAGACAGGTCTGGCAGTGTGCAAGGTGAGTATTTAGGAAGGGTTAGACATTAGCTTTGGTGAAGGCCACGGTTAGAACCGTGTTGTGGCAAACCAGGATTGAGGCAGAGAGGGCTCCAATTCTGTAGGAAATGAGACACCCTTCCCTGGAGCCATGCACACTGCTCAGGAGCTGGGTCCTGGATGGAATGTTCTCTGCAAGCCTCTACATCGAGTTAAGCCAGAGACTCGACCAATATGAGGACGATGTCACCTGAAGGAAAGTTCAGGTTGGGAGTTGGAGAAAGGCATGTACAAGCTCCTGCTTTGTACTGAAGTAAGGCCAAGCTTTTTGTAGTCTTCAAAAAGTGATGAGTTATATATACATGCAATGGAATGTTATTTGGCTATAAAAAGGAATAAAATACTGAAACATGCTACATACAACATGGATGAACCTCAAAACAGTAGGCTAAGTCAAAGAAGCCAGACACGAAAGACTACATTTTGTATGATTCTATTTATATGGCATATCCAGAATAGGCAAATCCATTGAGACAGAAGGCAGATTGATGGTTGCCAGGGGTTGGGGGAAAGGGGCGTGAGAGTGAGAGCAACTGCTTCATGGGTACAGGGTTTCCTTTTGGGGTGATGAAAATATTCTGGAAGTAGCTAGAGGCAATGGTTGCACAAAACTGTGAATGTACTAAATGCCACTGACTTGTTCGCTTTAGTCAATTTTATTTTACATCAATTTCACCTCAACAAAACAATCTTTTGGAAAGTGCTGAGTTCTATTTGTGATCATTGCATCATTACAGCTCCTGCCCACTCACCTCCCCGGTACTCAGTGTTATTCCGCCAGTCATTTAGGTCGATTTCCGCGGTGCCAGCTATCACCAGCTCCAGCTCCCTGGCATCAAACACGGACACCAGCCTCGAGTCTACAACCTGAAATGCAGGTTAGGCTTCAGCATCCAGGTCCAAACACATGGAAAGGCTATGTTCATTATTATATTTATGTGGGTTAAACTGGGAAATTGACCATCACTGGCAATACTTTTTTTGAGTCTGTAATCATTTTTAACTTGAAAATTATTGCTATGATCTGAATGTTTATATCCTTTTCCTTCCCCAAATTCATATGTTGAAATCTTCACCCCTGAGGGGATCGTATTAGGAGGTGGGGCCTTTGGGGGGGTGCTTAGATATGAGAGCTTCATGCTTTTATTAAACACGCCCAAGACAGACCCCGTGTCCCTTCCTCCACATGAAGACACAGGGAGAAGGTACCATCTATGAACCAGAAGGTGGCCCCTTACCAGACACCAAATCTGCTAGTACCTTGATCTTGGACTTCCTAGCCTCCAAAACTGTGAGAAAAAAATGTCTGTTGCTGCAAGCCACCCACCTCACAGTATTTTGTTATAGCAGCTTGAACGATGATCATTGACTTAAATATTTTAGAACACAAGCCTTCATGAGCGGGGAACAGAAAAAAGAATCGCATGCTCCACTCCTAATGCTCCCTCTCAGAATGATTCTGTAAACAAATCTGACTCGACTTTCTTAAGTCACATTGAAGTTTTCAAATAATATTGGATTTTAAAGGCCAAGAGTCCACATCACTTTGAAGGACTTATTTAATAGCTATTAGTATTACTATTTCACTTAAAATGTAACCTTTCACATGCAATTATGACTTATTTCCTAAAATTGAGCATTTGTATTAAAACGACTGTATTTTCCATCCCTTCTCAAACCATGACCCTAAGATTAAAAGCCTCATGCTCACTGGACTGAGCTAGCTGGGTGGAAATTTGTCTTTTCCTTCTCTTCTTCTCTCACTTCCTTCCTCCCTCCTTAGAGATCTGGGAAGACTTGTTTTGTTAGGGTTCTGCATTCTGACTTTGCATCTTGTGCCAAGTGTACCCAGGCACAACTGAGGTCCTGTGGTGGTACCTCCTTTAATCAAACCAGTGGTGGACAAGACCATGGCCAGTGCACTTCTCCATTCTGGCAGGGAAGGAGAGCCTTCCACGACCCAAGACCTGAGAAAACGTTTATAGCCTCTGGTTTTTAAACTGGAGTTCAAGGACATCATAGGATGTCTAGCGGCCCTCCCTGTCTTCCTCATTTACCACTCAGCATAGATTACGTGGCACAACATGATGCTATAACAAAATAAAATTCTAGTGACAGTGGACAATACCCCCCAATGTCTTCACTTCACTTATTTTTGTTTCATTGACTGAAAGGAAACACCAGCTGCATATATTGTGACAAGAGATGCTAGATGTTTTCACGTCTGGCACGCCAGGGTCACATGCCAGTTGCTTGAAAGCATTTTTCACCCATAAGAGTTGAGTTTCCCAGAGAACTCTGACCCCTCAGCCCTCCACCACAAGAAGATCCTCAGTACTCCCTGGTGAGGAGCACTCGCTGAGCCCACTGCCCACCTTGGCTCTCCCTCTCTGTTTTCACCACCTGAGCTGCTGCTCCCTCAGGGAGCCTGGAGGATGAGGCCCCGTGAAGCAGCACCCTGGCCACAGCTTGCCTTCCCCAGGCCACCGGGCCTCACCTCGTAGAAGCCGCGCACCAGCGCCTCGGTCTGCTGTACCACGCCGCGCTCCACCCGCCACTTCACCATGCGCTCGATGTACTCCTTCTTGTTTTTCTCCGTCACCTGTGTGTTGGCTCCTCCAGACTTCAACTCCCTTTCCGTGACCTTGTAGGAAAACAGAAATATTGCGATGCTTGTCAGTTCTGCTTATCTCTCAGGGAGGCACACTGATTTTAGGGGGATGACCGTATGCCAAAAATCCTCTACAGGGCATTATTCAGCATTATTATCCCTGGAGTCTTTTTTCCTTGCTAAAGGTCACTAAAAGAGCTCTGGCTGTTCTAAGCAGATTGGAGCACAGTGGTGCAATCATAGCTTATTGCAGCCCTGCATTCCTGGGGGCAAATGACCCTCCTGCCTCAGCCTCCTGAGTAGCTGGGACCACAGACAAGCCCCACTCCGCCTGGTTAATTTTTTTTCTTTCTTCTTCTTCTTCTTTTTTTTTGGTAGAATGTGGTCTATGTTGCCCAGGCTAGTCTTGAACTCCTGGCCTTAACTGATCCTCCCAACTCCAAAGTATTGGGAGCCACTGCACCCGACCTCTAAGCAGATTGCTAAGCACCTTGGAAAGGCTACAGTTTTTGTTTTATACAGAGGAAACAAGTTTCCTATACTCAAGAGGCATAATGGAAATAAAAGGAAAATGTCCTAGGTTGTCCCTAATGGTGAAGCTGAATGTCTCAACACTACAATCACATACTTGATGCCCCCAAATCTCAATGACAGCAAATTCTTAACAGCCATCAGCTTCCACTCCCACAGCTGGCCAGAAGACAGTGGTCTTCTGGCAGAGGGTGGGGTATAATATTACACAGCCAGGGCAGCCTGACCCTGGGAAGGGAACCAGAAGCATGTAGGCACACACAGCAAATGGCGCTGCCACTTGTGTGATGATGCCTGTTTGTTAGGACATGCTTGAGTCATCAGGGAAGGCTATTATCTGTGTATCATCTTTTCACAGGCAAGGAGGTAGATAACATGCTAGACATTTTTTAAAAAATCAAAATATGTTCATGTATGAAGGGGGTAATCTTCAGTCATCTTAAATTCACTTAAGGGCTCACTGCAATGCTCAATGCTGCAAGACAAATGAGGCATCACTGGACTTAGTTACTGGTTTAAAGAAAAAAATACATATATGTTTGGCACTTGTGGACACAGGTACCTAAACAAAGCAGTCCATAAGTAGTCTGATGGTGACTTTTTCTTTTATCACTTAGGTGATTAGTGCCAATTATAAAATATTGGCTAATGATAAAATACTTGTTACCACCCAGCATCCATATTCTTTGGAATGTCTGATTTTTAGCGGCCCAGTTAAAGACTTTATTTTCCAACCTCTCTCACAGCTAGGTGTGGCATGTAAGTAAATTCTGTCCAATGGGATGTAAGCAGAAGTGTATGGCACTGTCAGGAGGCCTCCTTGAAGGGATGGGCTGTGTGTTCCTTTGTCCGGCTGCACTGAACACAGTTGTGATGGTTGGGATGCTGTACGCATCTGGGCTAAGAGTGCAGGGGGCCTACCCTAGCGATAGCAGTGGGGAGACCTGGAAGGAGCTTGATCCCTGAGGATTTTATCAAACAGAGCTTTTTTTGTTTTTGTTTTGAGACAGGGTCTCACTCTGTCACCCAGGCTGGAGTGCAGTGGTACAATCTCAGCTCTCTGCAACCTCTCTCTCCCAAGCTCAAGCGATTCTCCCACCTCAGCCTCCCAAGTAACTGGGACTATAGGTGCATGCCACCACACCTGACTAATTTTTTTTTATTTTTAGTACAGACAGGGTTTCGCCATGTTGGCCAGGCTGGTCTTGAGCTCCTGGCCTCAAGCGATCCACCCGCCTTGGCCTCCTGAAGTGCTAGGATTATAGGCGTGGACCACCACACTCAGCCTCAACAGGGCTTTTATATGAGAAAAAAAAAGCTTCTATTAATTTCAACAGGGTCATTTTTGGCTTCTTCACTAGTAGCTGAATCTAATCCTAAAGCCTACGGTGTCTTTCACCTGCATCCCTCTGCTCTCCACTGTCTAACAACTTGACAAAAGAAGGGCTGCAATTCAATCTTCTAAAACCACTCATTGTTCTTGGTGACCCCCTTTTGAAGAGAAATGAGATAAACTTTAAACAGGTATACAGGCTGACCCTTGAGCAGCGTGGGTTTGGACTGCATGGGTCCACTCGTACATGGATTTTTTTCAATAAATATATTGGGAATTTTTTTGGAGACTTACAACAATTTGAAAAAACTCGCAGATGACCTGCATACCTAGAAAATTAATAGAAGCTTTTTTAAAATGAAAAAAAAAGTTAGAAATGTAATGAGTCCATAAAATATATGTAGATACTAGTCTATTTTATCATTTACTAACATAAAATGTACACAAATCTATTATTAAAAAGTTAAAATTTATGAAAATGTACACACACAAACACTTAGAGCCTGTACATGGTGCCACTGGCAGTTGAGACAAATACAAACATCAAAATGCGGTATTAAATCATAACTGCATAAAATTAACTGTAGTACATACTGTACTATTGTAATAATTTTGTAGTCACCTCCTGCTGTTTTTTGCGATGAACGCAAGTGTTGCTGATGAATAGCCTCTCTCCAGTAAACTGTGTATCACAGTAAAAAGTGATCTTTCTTGTTTACTGAATATTTTCCACTGTGTTTAAGTGCAATATTGTAAACTTTGAATAACATTGTGGGACCCACACGAAGGGCCACTAATGATGCTGGAAATACTCCCAAGAAGCAGAGAAAAATCATGATATTACAAGGGAAAATTGAATTACTTGATAGGCACCATAGATTGAGGTCTGCAGATGTGGTTGCCCATCTTTTCAAAATAAATGAATCCAGCATAGGGACCATTGTAAAAAAGGAAAACGAAATTCATGAAGCCATCACTGCAGCTATGCCAGCAGGTGTGAAAACCTGGCACTTTTTGTGGAATATCTTTTTATCTCATATTGAAAACACAGCTTTTTTTTTTTTCTTTGAGCCAGAGTCTCACTCTGTCGCCAGGCTGGAGTGCAGTGGCGCAATCCTGGCTTGCTGCAATCTCTGCCTCCTGGGTTCAAGCGACTCTCCTGCCTCAGCCTCCCGAGTAGCTGAGATTACAGGCACGTGCCACCACACCTGGTTAATTTTTGTATTTTTAGTAGAGATGGGGTTTCACTATGTTGGCCAGGATGGTCTCGATCTCTTGACTTTGCGATCTGCCCACCTTGGCCTCCCAAAGTGCTGGGATTACAGGCATGAGCCACCATGCCTGGCTGAAAACACAGCTTTTATGTGAGTGCAGTATTGCTAGAACAATGGCATACATACCTGTAGACTCTAATATGATTCTAGATAAAGCAAAGTCATTATATGATAACTCAAAGCAAAAGGAAGGTGAAGGATCTAAAGTTGGAAAATTTAATGCCAGCAAAGGACGGTTTGATAATTTTAGAAACAGGTTTGGCTGAAAAAAATGTCAAGATAAGAAGAGAAGCAGCTCGTGCTGACCAAGAGGCAGCAGACGAATTCCCAGACACCATTAAGAAAATCACTGAGGAGAAAGGATATCGGCCTGTACAGGTTTTTAATGCAGGCGAAAGTGCCCCGTTCTGGAAAAAAAGCACCACAAAGGTCCCTTATTAGTAAGGAAGATAAGTGAGCACCAGGATTTAGGGCAGGAAGTGATAGGCTAACTCTGCTGTTTTGTGCAAACACATTTGGATTTATGATCAGGATTGCCCTTATCCATTAAAGCTTTAACCCCCGAGCCTTGAAGAGAAAAGATAACACCAGCTGCCAACAAGAAAGCCTGGATAATGAGAACCTCTTTTCTGGATTGGTTCTGTCAGTGCTTTGTTCCCGAAGTTAGGAAGTACCTTGCCAGAAAGGGACTACCTTTTAAAGTTTGTTTGTTTTTTTTTTTTTGATATTGGACAATGCCCTTGGCCACCCAGAACCCCTTGAGTTCAACACCAAGGCATCAAAGTGGTCTACCTGCCCCCCAAAACAACATCTCTAATTCAGCCTTTAGATCAGGAGTCATAGGAACTTTATGTCTCATTACACATGACACTCTATGGAAAGGATGTCAACACTATGGATGACTTCAATAGAGAGAACATTGTGAAATTCTGGAAAAGTTATGCCACTGAAGATGTTATAGAATAAGCCATGAAAGTCATCAAGCCCCAAACAATAAATTTCTGCTGGAGAGAACTGTGTCCAAATGTTATGCATAACCTCCCAGGATTTATGACAGAGCCAATCAAGGAAATCATGAAAGAGACTGTGGATATGGCAAAAAAAAAAAAAAAAAAAAAAAGGTTGGGGGTAAAGGGTTTCAAGATATAGATCTTGGAGAAATTCAAGAGCTGACAGACACCACGCCAGAGGAACTAACAGAAGATGACTTGATGGAGATGAATGCTTCTGAACCAGTGCCAGGTTCAGAAGGGGAAGAAGATCTAGAAGAAGCAGTGCCAGAAAACAAATCGATGTTAGACAATCTGGCAGAACGGTTCTGATTGTTTGACTGCTTTTGACTTCTTTTATGATAATGAACCTTTCTAGATATGGGCACTGAAACTAAAGCAAAGGATTGGTACTATATAGACACATTTTTAGAGAAAGGAAAAAGCAAAAACGACAGAAATTATGATGTATTTCCATAAAGTTACACCAAGTGTGCCTGCCTCTCCTGCCCCCCTTCCACCTCCTCCACCCCGAGACAACAAGACCAAACCTTCCTTTCCTGCTCCTCTTCAGCCTATTCAAAGTGAAGACAAACTTTATGATGATCCACTTCCACTCAATGAATAGAAAATATATTTTCTCTTCCTTATGATGTTCTTAATAAGGTTCTCTTTACTCTAGCTTTCCTTATTGTAAGCATGCAGTTTATAATACCTATAACCTACAAAATATTTGTTAATTGACCATTTTTGTTATTAATAAGACTTCTAGTCAACAGCAGGCTACCAGTAGTTAAGTTTTTGGAAAATCAAAAGTTATGCATGAATTTTCAACTGTACAGGACTCAGCGCCCTAACCTTTGCATTTTGAAGGGTCAACTGTACATTATTATAGATCTACAACACATTCTTATTTTTAGCACTGGGAACATTTAAGCTTTTTTTCTAAGTTGTCGAATTCCTACACTTTACACTAGAGGATTGTTCTTCTGTATCTTCAACTTTATTTTTTCCTCTAATTTTATGCATTCAGTTATTTGTAGTTGACTTCGTTTTCTTGAATAGACAGTATATGGCCATGGAATAAAATTCAAGTGGTGTAGAAGGCCATAAAATGAAAAGTCAGTTTTTCTCCCACCTAACCTCCCAGCCATGCAATCTCCCTTTCTGGAGACAGTCATCTCTACTTCCCTTCCAGGGAGATTCTATGCATATGCTGGGGAATGTATATATATCACCTTTAAAAATTTTTAGAGATGGGGTCTTGCTATGTTGCCCAGGCTGGTCTTGAACTCCTGGCTTCAAGAGATCCTTCCACCTCTGCCTCCCACAGTGCTGGGATTACAGGCATGAGCCACTGTGCCTGATCAACATAAACTCTTTTTCCCTGTAAACAGTAGTGTGTTTTACACACTGTTCTTCACTATCCTTTTTCTCTTAAAACTATATCTTAGACATTTTTCATGCCAATTTAGACCTGTGTTTTTCTTTCTTTATTGTTGTTAGTGTACCCTGTTTATTGCTCATGATTATATGTGAATTGAGGGGTTGGGGTGTCCTCATGCTTTTTAATAACCCCACATGATTTCACTACTTCATTTAGTAAATGTATCATTTATTTAACCAGTGCTCTACTGCTGGACATTTAGACTGTTACAGATATTTTTCAACTATCAACAAGGCTGTGATGAAGATCCTAATATATTAGTAATTTTAATTAGGTGTTAATGTATCGGTAGGACAAATTTCTAGACGTGTGCTGAGTCAAAGGCATGTGATTTAAAATATGAACCGATATCACCAAAGTGCCTTTCATAGAGAGTGAATCACACTTCCACCTACAATGGACAAGAAGGTCTGTTTCTCTACACCATCCCAAAATACTGGTAAATTTTCTGATTCTTGACATTCTAATGAGGGAAAATGGTATCTCACTATAGCGTTAATTTATTTTAAAAAATTGTAAATGAGATTATCTCCTTGTCTTTCCTTTTCTGGGAACTATCTATATTCTTTGTGACTTTTCTATTAGGTTGTTGACTGATAATTTCTTATTGATCTGTGGGATCTCTTCTGATATTGAAAGAAATAGTCTTTATGTTATGTATTAAACATTATGTTGCTTTCAATTTGTTTATAGTATAGTTTGTCATGCAGAAATTTAAAAATAATATTTGACTATGTCAGATGACTTCTATGACTTTGAGAATTTGTGCGATATCTGTATCAGCATTCTTTAGTGCAAGATTAAAAATAAAAATTATCTCTTTTTTCCTTTTTTAAAAATTTTTACATTCAGGTTTCTGATCCAGCTGGAATTTATTTAGTGTCATGAGTTAGGTTAGGGATCTAACTTAAAACTTTTACAGATGGCTACCCAGTTGTCTTAATACAGTTTGTTAAGTAATTGTGTATATTTTACAAACTTACCCTCTACAATAGGGCATATGTGAAAGATGGGCTAAAAGTAGTCATGCACAGAGAACAGTGTATTTTGCCTGTTCAGTGAGTACATGGCAGGGAAGTTAAATGAGTAGTTTTCTTTTTTTTTCTTTTTTTTTTTTTTTTTGTGAGATGGAGTTTTGCTCTTGTTGCCCAGGCTGGAGTGCAATGACGTGATCTCGGCTCACTGTAACTGCTGCCTCCTAGGTTCAAGCAATTCTCCTGTCTCAGCCTCCTGAGTAGCTGGGATTACAGGTGTCTGCCATCATCCCCAGCTAATTTTTGTATTTTTAGTAGAGACGGGGTTTCACCATGTTGGTCAGGCTGGTCTCGAACTCCTGACCTCAGGTGATCTGCCCACCTCAGCCTTCCAAAGTGCTGGGATTACAGGCGTGAGCCACCGTGCCCAGCCATGAGTAGCATATTCTTGAACATATTTAAATGTGCTCTCCAGAGTTGTAGGAAGAAATATTTTTTTCTCAAATACGTAAGACAGCATTCTTCAGAGGCATGTTTTTACAGAAGAAATACAACAGAATGTTGACATTTTCCAGGACCTAACCAAGATTCTTGACTGGGATGCGGTGCTTGGTGGCCTGCAGCATTCATTCATTCTCATGCAGCGACCCAGTGCACTGTCCACATTGATGTGAGGCACCTCTAAAGCATTCTGATTTAACTATCACAACAACCGCTGTTACGAATTACCTTATGTCACAGACTTTAGGTCTAGAAAATGAGGTTCCCCAAACCTTGTTTGTTAAATCTACTCAGGCTATGGTTATTTTCTGTTAAAATTGTAACCCATTTGATCCGAAGATTTGATGTTATATAAATGCTAGTAGAAAACAAATGGGAAACTTTATCTTATTATTTAGTGTTGAGATATATGTATTTTGGAGGAGTAGCTATCTGGATGTGATAAAAAGAATCATTTCTGTAATGGCACAGATAGCAGAAATCCCTGACGTATGTATGACGTACTTCACAAAAATGCTTTCTGATCCATTATCATATCTGATTTTCAAAAAACTCCATAAAGTAGATCCAGGTCATAACAAGAAAAAGAAGAAAGAGGACACGGGCAGATTTATTAAAGGAAGTAGTTCCCAAGGAATTGGTTTGAATGAATGAGATCCCTTATTCGCTAATTTAAAAACAAAATCCCATTACCACATGATCTAGCAATCTCACTTCTGTGTATATATCCAAAAGAATTGATCTATACAGCAGGGACTTGAACAGATATGTGTACACTCATGTTCATAGCAGCATGATTCACAATAGCCAAAAGGTGGAAAAACCCAGGTGTTCATCAACAGACAAATGGGTGAATGGATAAAGAAAATATGGCATATATGTATATATATTTGTTTATATATATATAATATACACATAATGAAATATTTTTCAGCTTTAAAAAGGAAGGAATATTTTATATACATATAAAGGAAGAATACTATATATATTTGTATATATATGTGCATATACATATATATCTACATAATGAAATATTATTTAGTCTTAAAAGGGAAGTAAATTCAGACACATGCTACAACATGGATGAGCCTTGAGGACATTATGCTAAGTGAAATAAGTCAGCCACAAAAAAACAAATATTGTATAATTCCACTTATATGAAGTATCTAGAGTAGTCAAATTCATAGAAACAGAAAATAGAATGGTAGTTGCCAGGAGTTGTGGGTGGGAGAAATGGAAAGTTATTGTTTAATGGGTACAGTTTCTGTTTTGCAAGATGAAAAAGTTCTGGAGATTGGATGGCCAACAATGTGGATATACTGAAGCACTGAAGTCTACACTTAAAAATGATTAAGATGATAACTTTATGTTATGTGCATTTTCCATAGTAAAAAACAAAATCCCTTTTCCAAACCCCATGTCACACAAACCTGTCCAAAAACCTCTTCATTAACAGTGAAAGTGAGGTCTAAGATGTCTGTGATGTTGTTGTCCTTCATCCACTGCAAACTCTGGTGGAATTCCTCATCCAAATATTCCAGGTCACTCAAATCACAGGGCCTGGGTGAATTCAGTGAGAAAGGCAAATTACCAAACAAATGGCTGCCCAGACCTCACTTCAAAATGTGGTTATATCATTCCTGGCTAAAACATCACAGACTTATCCTAACAATTGGATACTTTTGAATCCACTGATGAATCAGATTATTCAGTCATTTTAGTTCATTCAATGATTTTCCTTTGAAAAGGAAATGTGAAATTGTTTACAATAACAAACATGAAATAACTATTGACTCAGGGACTCTGCATGAAAATTGGAGAAAACTATCATTTTAAAACAGTTATGCTATAAACAGATCAGTTCTACTTAACAGTTTAATGCAATGTTTGTAATATTATTATAATTTTATATAAAATGATTCATCTCCATGATATGAGATTTTGATAATAGAATCTTCCCTTACAACAACAACAAAATCCCCAAATACCTTTTTATTGTGCTAAAAAATGTAAGTGATATCTAAGCACTCAGAACAGGAAGCCACCATAACCCTAACAGGAATGGTTAGGGCAAAATAGTGACAAAAGGGTCAGTGGCACCAGAGAGGTCGGTGTCCTTGCCCTGCAGACAGGGCTGGGTTGGAAGCATGGTCTGCAAAGCACTTACAGTCTCAGGAGTGCCTTGTAGAAGGGCCTCGTGAAGAAAGCGTCAAGAAGGTACTGATGGATCAGAGCCAGACCCAGGATGCGACCGCTAAACCTGAACCTGGAACACAGACAAGGCAGAGAAATCGGTAAGTGGAAATTTACATTGTTAAATATTTTAGTTTGCACTTTTATTTGATGTGTTTGAGCATTCATCTTAAGCTGCTTAAGGAATCTTCTCATTGATGACACAAGGGAGGCACCTGTTCTTGTCCTTTTGCTTTACCATGAACAATCCCTGTGTGCTTGTTAGGGACTAAAGGAAGCCTCCTCTTCCAGCCATGTAGCAGACTCGAGTCATTTTTCCAGAACCTTTTTCAGACCGTGGAGAATGAGGACCCAAGAAGAGAAAAGCACTGGGAAGGGGAATTCAGAAATCTTAGATAAAAAGCCCACACTGAACTGGAAGAGGACCCAGATCCAGTGACACAGAGGGCTTTCTGGATGTGCGTCCTTACCCATTCAAGCATTTTATCTACATTACCTAAGGTCCATGCTGGCAGGTGGAGGGTTTGAGTATGGAGCCCATATGGCAGTTGTGCTTGCAGATAGTGGGGAAGAGTTACATAGAATCACAATATGGTAAGAGATAAGCTGAATGAACATCACTCTTTAAAATTGCCAGCCACATAAAAGACAGAACGAGGTCACTGCTAAGAAGAACTGGCCATACAGATCTGGCCACCTCCAGATGTAAGTGCCTTTACTGATTTAAATGCTTGTCGGAGCATTGACTTCCTGAGCATTTTGCAAGTAACCTGCTTAGCAAAATGCTGAGGCTACCTGGGCTTGGTTCCATTGTTGCCTGCTCCTAAACCAGCTTCTTGCCTGCCTGGTCTAGCATCCTATGCTTTCCCCACCATGTGGGCCTTGCCTATCTCTGGCACCTACTTTCATAACTGGAGTCTTCCTGGTGTCCACTCTAAGTAGGTTTTCACCTTATCGGGGATTTAGTGGTGAATTTTCTCAGATCCTCCCTGGTGGAATTTCCAACTAATCTATCTCCAATGCCTTTTATGTGGCTCTTTTTAGACTCAGAGGGTTTCCTACTCTATAGCTGCTATAAAGATGTTAAAATGAATAGATTATCTGATTCCACAGAATAAATATATTTATAAAAACACTTCAAATTGGTATGTTTGAAGTAGTTGATTCTTTTTCCATGAAATAACATGCTAGTGTTATTGACTCTGAAGAGACTAGAGTCAAACAAAACCTCAGTGAAAGTGCTATGGGGCACTGTGGATAGGGGGCTTCTGGGACAATGGGTCCTTGGGCCTGGGTACCCCACCAGTGCTTCATTCCTGGGTGCCCTTTCCCGACCACCCCATAACTGACCAGTCTCCAAGACAGTAACCACAACCTGTGTATAAAAACAGTTATCTTCTACTCCAATAGAAGATTGGCTCACCTACTCTAAATAGACTCTAGGGCATTGTAACCAATGCTTCTAACATGATAGTAGGGTTGTGGCCATCTAGGTCGAGATGACCGAGATGATCCAAACCAGGAAAAGACTAAAGGTCAGCACAGAGGTGATGGGCCCGTGGTTCCGCACTTAGAGGTGGCCCCTGAGGGTCCAGTAAAGAGAGCTGGGAATCAAAGCAGGTAGTAAATATATGCAGATATGAAATAAATGATAACATTAAATGAGATTACTATTTTCAGCTTAGTGCTAAAAAATTAAATATCTCAATGAATTACAAATTTTCTAGCAAAATAAAAATTATTCAAATTTATTCAGGAAGATGTAGAAAACTTAAATAGACCGATAACCACAGTGCCAAGTAGGAAACTTTGAGGAGAAAGGACTATCTCCAAAATTGATACTGGGACTGGATATACATATTTTTAAAGACATGTTCTTTCAAAAACTCAAGGACAGTAAACCTTTCTGCTATTTCAACAGTTCCAGAAATCAGAAAAGGGTGGAAAACTTCTTAATTCATCATTGTGAGCTACCATAAACACAAAGTGGAACCTGGAAAAGATACAACAAGAAAGAAAACTAGAGAAATTGCACTTGTACATAAATCCTAAATTAACACAAGAGAATTGAACCTACTAGTTCATTCCCAGAATAATGCAAAATGATTAAGGATGTTCAATTAGATAAGGATAGTTCAGTATTAAAAATTCTATTACTAAAATCAAGTATAAGGTCAAAAGACAAAAATCATACCACTTTTTTTTGGTTACAAACTGGAAAGTTACTTGAAAATATCCATCACCAATTTCTGGAGAAAAAAAAATCTTTGTAGTAAACCAGCAATAGAACAATGCTTCCTTAACAAAATAAAGCACATCTATCTCAGCAATATATTTAACAGTAAAAATACTGATGCTTGTTACTACCACTCTTCACAATATTCTGTCAGTTCTAGTCACCGCGGTTAATTATAAATGAAAAATTGGAAACAGATTAGAAGTAACTTTTATCAAATGCCTACTGGGTAAAGGGCACGTTATTTACAATATCTCATTGACCCTTGCAACAATTCTATTTTATGGTTTTGGTCATCTCCATTTTGCAGATTAAGAAACCGAGGGTCAATAATTAGCCCCAGGCAAGTGGTTCAGCGAGGAAACTGACCCACATCTGCCTGACACCAGACCAGGCCTTTTCCTCTGTGTCTATTTTGAGATGTGAGCGATGGAGAGGTTGCTACTCTGGGTTCTGGGGCCAGGCTGCCTGGTGTGTGATCTTGTGCAAGCATTTAACCTCCCTCTTCTCAGTTTCTTCTTCTGGAAAACTTCACTATTTAATTGTTACCTATTTTTGCTATTAGTTTTTTATGTTAGCTACCAACATCTCTTGTGCTAATTAGATATATTTTGGTTCAGGTAATCTTCAACCAGCTTAAGCCCTCTAAGGCCACAGTGGTATCTCAAGGAATCCAGGGTCAGGAATGCAGTTGGGCCTCAGGAACTCCAGGGACATGAGTGATATCGCCCTCCCTCATCCAGTTTCTCCCTTTGGCTCCTCTAAGCTCATTTCTCCTCTCTCACTGCCAACACCTCCTGTGGTTTACATACCAGAGTTCAAGCGCAAGAGAGACCAACTTGACTCCCTCTGACCTAGGTCTAAATTTTCAGCATGATTCTCTGACTGTTCTAACTCAGGTTGGATGCCCACCGGATCAATCATGAGCAACCAGGGAAGAAATCTGAGTCTCGAGTACTTTGCAGCAAGGACCACTTTGCAGCAAGGACCACTCTCAACCAGCGGGTGGGATCACTGTTGCATGCCTCTCAACCAGGGGGTGTGGCGACGGGGTTTCCTAGCCCAGGGGACTGCAGCGCAGACTGCCAACAGAGAATTGTATATTTGCTTTGAATTGGGAAGACCATAAGGTGGAATTTCCAAAGTCAGAATTACACTGGTTTCTCGGACTGACATGGGCAACAAACAAGCCATAGCTTTTTTAAAAAAAATAACTGTGCAACAAAGCTATGATAACGTGGTTTGGCTTTACATAACCACAGACGGGATGACTCTAAGCCAGTCCCATATATACCATAAAATATATTCCAGAGCCATGAACTATGATCTGGGGCATATTTGTATAAAGCAAAATACAGCAACTGTACAATTCAAATCTAAAACAATAGCTGAAGGAAAATAAAACAATAGCTGATGAATTGCTGTGTGTGCAATTCCATGAATGAGAAAACACCTTCTAGTAATGGTGCACCTCCTTTATTTATCTTGTATATTTATCTCCCCTAAACTAAACAATTGCCTGTGGGGAAGTTGATTACATTAGCTGTTAACACAGGTCACAAACGAGGAGGAAGTATGAGACAGAAAGAAAATACTTTTCCTTAGTCTCTGGATCTAAGATAGTGTGTCTAGGTATGAAGAAACTATCCCAATAATTTAAGCAAAATTAAATGCTGAGGTTTCGAGCTAAGTTACTTGGCATAAATAGAGTTCAGAGGATAAAGTAAAATAAGACCCTACAGGAGTAGCGGAGCCGCTCCCTCTGCCTGTGGGTGTGAATCTGTTACTTAAATACCGGGCCCCAGGGCCCCGTTCGAGAGCCTGTGTGTGTGAGCTTGCAGGGCTTTGCTCACTTCTTTCTCTCCATGGATCTCAGGAGTCTCGACCGATGTTGCAGGCCACCCCTGCTCCTGGGGTGTAGCACTGCTCCCCTCTTTTTCTGCGCTGACATTCTGGCGGCCATGCTTGAACGCAGCTTCTACCGTCTCAGCCTCTGCAACTCAGCACATCACAGACGTGTGGTTCATGCGCTGCCTGTGCTGGTGCCGCCGCTGCCTGCCCAGGCTGCAGCCCCGCATCTGTGCTTTTTCCTGGCCTGTGCTCAGTTTTACTTTGCCAGGAGGGAGTGGCTCCTCCGTGTTGTCCTGCTGTCTTAGAGGGGCCTCGCGGAGGAGTTGCCTGGGCCCTAAGAGTTTACAGGGACTCTTTTGAAGTTTGCTCACCGTCCTTTAATCCCTAGGGCAGCCAGGGCCTGGTGGGTGGAGGGAACAGCTACCATGTTCACCTCTACCCCTCAGGCTGTGTTGGGCACCCTGGCTCCCTAGGCCATTCTTCTGCTTCTCATGGGGGCCATTGTATCTGAAGGGCCCCCAGGTCCCTGCTCAGAATCTGCTTTCTGCTGTTTCCCATGTGTGTCTAAGTTCCAACGATGGGTGCCCTTCAACTCCTCTTCACAAGAGAGACCTCAGCTCCCAGGTACCCAGCAGGTGCACATGCACACGTGGCTGAGGAGAGGAGGCAAGGCGGGTCAGCCCATGTAACCTCCCAGCAGCGGGTGGTGGGTCCCAGCCTTTTCCCCATTCTAGCCACACCCAGATGGGTCAGGAATGGAGCCTCCCCTGGGCAGTGGAGGGGGAAGAGTCTCTCTCTCTGGCAATGTTTTCGGTGTAATTTGAAACCTCCCAGGAGATTCTGACATGCCATCACCGTAAGACATATTCCTGACTTTTAAGAAACACATAAAGCATATTTTTCTATTTATTTATCAATTAGAGATGTGTTTCCACCCATTTAGACCTGAGACCACAGAAAGATTAGCAATATAGCAAAATACCAAGAACCCACATTTAACAACAACAACCAAATCCTTTCTATTGAGGATCAATGAAGTCCAAGTCTCCTTGGTGTGGAAAGCATGCTCTGTTTTCCTTCAGATGAAGAGCACAGACAGTTCATGGTTAGATTCCTCAATCCAAACCACAACTCTGTGGTTTGTGGGAACATTCCTGGACTCTGATATAAGTTATTTTCATATCCTTGGTTTTAGTATGTTGCAAGTTTTTGTTTTTGGTATCATCAACCCCTTCCCTCCTGCCAAAGAAAAATAACAGAATTGGTATTTTTTAGTGTAAAGTAAAATACAAGTGATATATAAAATATTTTTAAAAAAGTGAGTCAACTCTGTCACCCAAGGTGACATTTATGGCCCTGAGATGACTCTTCCCCTGATTACCAGTTGGTGAGAGCAGGGGCATACATACGTAGATGGGACCTCTGTGCCATCATGTTCCCACCACGGTACAGTACGGACACCCTCGATACATGCAAATAGTGGTTTTCATTATCCTTTAATACACTGCAAAATATTTCTTTTTAGGAATGCTCTATGCTTGGTTCAGCCGTTTCCCCTCTGATGGAAACATATATGTTTTTCATCCTTATCCTTCTGCTCATAGATCCTGAGGGGAAGCCTGGACCCAGTGTGCACTGGGACTGTGAACTGGGAATGAGCAAATGTCACTCTTGGTGCGCGCACATCAGCACCTCCCCAGATGTCTGGGAGATGAACTTGACCTACGCTGAAGAAAACTACAGCCACTCTGACCTTTCAAAAACACATGGAGGGCTCTTACGGCAGGAGATCTGAAGGGAGCTAATGTTATTGGCAAGGATTTCTCATAGTTCCATCTGGGTTTTGCACATTTTAGTGAGAGTTCAAAAGGTAATTGAGTTTCACACATTTCCAGCCCATCTTCCCAAGTGGCTTAAAGGCCCCAAAAAGACTCAACCCTCCCCTTCAGCGCATTGCTGTTTGTTGACTTGACTCTTCTTCGGGCCATTTGCCAACAATTCAAGGAAGGCAATGTGCTGTGGAGGATGATATCACAAGGTCTGATGTTAGGCTGCCTTGGTTTGGATCTTGTGACCTGTGTGACTTTGGGACACCTGTTTAATATCAGTTAACTTGCCTGCAAAATGGGAATCATATTGGCACCTACTGTATAGGACAGCTGCTAAGATGCTAAAAGTCCTTTGTACAAGGACTAGTGGAGGTCAGTCCACCTGAGAGTCTAATGAATTCCTATCCATAGACTGGCATGTCTAGTTTCTTACATCACACTCAGAACCCTAGGCCTAAAAACCCATTCTGAATTGAAGAGTGAAAACGTGGATTGGGCTGACAGTGGCTAGCCTGAAATTTCCTGCTGCAAACTTCTGCTCTGCTTACAAACAGCATTTATGTATCATGGTACCTGGCACAGTTAAGGTCTCAATTAAGATTTGTTGAATGGAATTAAACTGAAAATTATCATCTGGTTTTATCCCAGTGGAGCGCAACTATACAAACCCACAGAAAATGTCTGAAATGTCTTATACCATTTGAACCCTGTTTGACTAGGTTAATTGCTCAAATTTCCAATAGCTGCAGTAGGTCTCTACCCAGGAAGATGGACAGAAAGCACAAACTGCAGAGGAGAATTTAGGGGCTGAGTCAATGTATGGAAAGATGTGGCAAATGTTTTACATCAAGGGGCTGAAATAGCAGGTCTCCCTCTCCCTTCCTTCTCTCCCTCTTCAGTTTCTCTAGTGAACTACTGTTGGGGAACATGTTTTAGCAGGAATTAGTATGTAATGATTTCAGTGTATTTTTCAACAGATTATTTAAACGAAAGCAGTTTTTGTAATGACAAAAAAATGCAGTTGGGAAGTCTGCAAGAGGAATCTCTTATTTACAGGCCACGATTTATGGAAGGGGAAGCGGGATAGTTTGCCAAGCCAAGAAAATAAAAGACCTAATGATACTCTGGAAGGACATTTTGGATAGTGAAAGAAAAGACTTTAAAAGCCTTCTAGTTAATCCTTTTATACGAAAGTGATATAAAAATTGAGCGAAACCCTCAGTGCAGCACCCAGGCAATATGCCAAGTCTGAAAAGGCTCTGTAGGGCATTTCTGGCAGTTTGATTTCCCGGCATTAAACTTGGGCTGCTAAGGATTGATTCAAGGGGTCTCCTGCTTTGGGTGACCTTCTTAGTCTCTTCTTCTTGATCTGTTGCCCCAACAGATCAGGCTACTCATCTCCTTCTGCTTAATTCTTGGCTTCTGCATCTTTTGATGCATCACAGCTCAGCATGAAAAATACTCCCTGATAAGCTTCAGACTTGGGAGACCCAAAGCTGGGTCTTCCTGCCTGGAGAGCTGATCACATGGTGTACTGGGCACTGTAAAGAGGCTGGGCATTTGGTGATAATGTGCTTGGCTCTTGTGCCTTTGGTGAGGAGGTGGGGGCTGAGGCAGATGCAGGAACATGTGGCAGGACACTGAGGTCTGTTAAAAACCCTGCACGCAGTCGTTAGTCTATAAAGGCCTCTTCTAACCACTATGGCATCTTCTGGAGCACAAACGTCTGTCGAAACAAGCACTGTACTGGCAAATTTTGGGGGTTCACACATTTTGTTGGGTCAGTGAATGAGGCCAGAGGGTTGCTATAACTGCATCCATGCCTGGATGCCTCCAGGACACCATTGTAATGTCCTGTTTCCCAAGCCATGACTCTGGGGACTGCATTCACCTATGCATTGCCTACCACCTGTAGGTTGACAGCCAGGTGGTTTGTGTCAGCTGAGTTCTAGAAGATTCTTTCTGTAGCAGTCATGTTTTCTATCTCTGATACTTCCTGGATCTTTCCCAGACACTGCTTCCCTGGTAATGGACCAGGACTTGCATGGGTTAAGTTCCTTTAAGGAGTCTTTTGCAGTTCTCAAAAGAATAGAGTTGGTTCCTCAGCCTCAGCACTGTTGATGTTTGCTTTCTGGTGTATTATAGGATGTTTAACAGCATCTCTGACTCCTACCTACTAGATGCCCAGTAGTACCAGCCTCCCAAGCTGGGACAACCCAAACTACCTCCTGACATTGCCAGTGTCCACTGGCGGTGGAGAGTGATGGTGCAAAATCAACCTCTCTTGAGAACCACTGGAATAGAGCACAGGGTGTGGGAAAATATATCTAAACAGGTGATGATATACTCCTTTCTAACTTGCCTTTCTTGAAAACTTGAAGAAGGCTGACTGGGCCCTCTGAGGCAATGCAGGTCTTACCCCTAAGGCTTTGTGCTCCACTCTGCACATTTGAGCAGCTTTTCATCATTCTCTGAATCTGTAAGTGTACTTCCTACCCCACCAAATATCATCTTAAACTCCCACCAATAATTTGGGCTCCAGGTTTCTTTTGGGGAAGTGATGATGGGGGAGAATAATTCCTTCTGAATGTGCCAGGGAGTGTCAACATTGCTGAGGGGATGATGCAGGACCTGAGTAAAGAAAAAGAGTGAGCTCCTGGAGAATGAGCATCACAAGCTGGGGGACAGCTTAGGGGATCTAAGGTGGGAAGGTGTGTGGTTTGCTTGAGCAATGCAAAGAGGCCAGTGGGGGTGGACTCCAGAGAGAGAAGGGGGAAATGGCAGAACATGAGTTTGGAGAGGCACCCAGGGGATAGATCATGCCGGACTTGGCAGGCCATGGGAAGGACTTTAGATTTCATTCTAAGTATGATGGGAATCCATTGGAAGTTTCGTGTAGGGTCTTTGGAATGAACCGATGTGTTAAAATGATCACTCTGGATGATGCATGGAGAGAGGTGAGTCTGGCAAGAGTGAAGGCAGAGGCCTGTCTGGAGGCTTCTGCATCCAGATGGGAGGTGATGGTGGCTTATACTGGGGGTGGTAGTGGAGGTGAGGAGGTCAGAGTCTGGATGTATTCTCAAGATACAGCCAAGGGAATTTACTGATGCATTTAAGGGGAGAGATGAGAAAAAGAGAGGCACCAGGAACAGTCCACGGCCTTGGGCCAGAGCAACCGGGTGCCATTTACTGAGATGGGAAACACCAGAACAGGGCTTGGAGGAGGAAATGGAGAGTTCTCTTTCAGACATATTACGTTTGTGCTGCCTATTTATATCTGAGTGGAGCTGTGGAGCAGGCAGTTGTACTTAGGAGTCAGTACCTCCGGGCACAGGGCCGCACTACAGATGTCACTGTGGGGCCGTCAGGATGCAGATGGCATTTGAAGCCAGGCATCTGGACAAGATCATGGAGGAAGTTTGTGCAGATGGAGAGGCGGACCCAGGGCTGAATGTTAATTGATGCAGCATTCGGGGATCTGGAAGATGAGAGGCAACAATAAAGTACATGAGAAAGAACAGGTGGCGAGGCTGGAGGAACAGGGATGTGGAGCGCATGGTGCAGGAAGGAGGCAGAGGCCGACTGTGTCAAATGCCTCTGAGATCAGGTAGTAAGCAGTCTGAGAGGTCACCAGATGGTTTTGGCAATCTTCATTAGGGGTGCAGGGGAGGAAGCTGGCTGGAGAGAATGGGAGGAGAGGCAGTGGAGAAAGCCAGCACAGATAACTCTTTCTAGGAATGCACCTCTAAAGGGGAGCAGTGGAGTGGTCAGTGGAGGAGGGCATGACATGGAGGTTTGGGTTGTTGTTTTTTCAATGTGAGGGAAATTGCAGTGTGTTCATACGTTTCCAATTTCAACAAACTTATCAAGTGCCTACTATGTGCCAGGTGCATAGGAAGATCCTAAGGTACTCATTCATTTTGAGTTTACAAGCTAGGAAGGGAGATAGACACAGCAATGCAGTATCTCATCACCACAGAGCAAGTGGTGAAGAGAAGTGCACAGGGTGCTGTGAAAACTCCGGGGAGGAAGCATAGCTTGGCTCTGGCGGGGTTAAATCCAGGCAGGCCTCCTGAAGGAGGTGACAAGTGAGGTAAGCCTAAGAATTAGCCTGGAAGAATGAATAGAAATTAGTTTGCTTAAGAGGACAGGGAAAGGCTTTCCAAGAAAATAAAATCACATCGGAAAAGAGTCAGGAAAGATAATGGTATGTGTTTAGAACAGCGTGCAATTCATGATTACTAGAGCATACAGAATGAGGAAGGACAAGATGTGAGATAAGGTTGTGGAGAGAGATAGCAGGAGGTCCTGGAAGGTCTTATTTTCCATGCCAACAAGTTCACCCTTTAAACTGTAGACGATGAGAACCCATTGACAGGTTTAAACAGGGGAGTGACATGCTTGTTTTGGCATTTTTAGAGAAATCACTTTGCACCCATATGAAGGATATAGATTTTAGGAGGGGGCAGATTTGGAGGTTATTACAATATGTCAAGGGCATCATGCCGAACAATTTGGAGGTAAATCAGCAGGACAGTGAGCAGCAGCAGAAGAGAAGGATGACAGGAAGAAGTGGCTTGGTGGGAGAGATTAATTATTAACTTGGAGGAGGATCAAAGTGGAGATGTCTAGTAGGTATTTTGATAATAAAGTTTGAAGCTCAATAGAGAGGTCAGAGCTGAAAATATAAATTTAGAATTCATATGTTAGTATGGAGAGAAGTTTATAAAGCAGTAAACTTTGATTACATTGCTATATTTTATATAAAATTATATCTGTCTTTCCATCCATCCATCCATCCATCCATCCATCCATAAAAGATATGGAAAAACTTAGGTCAGAAGAATAATGGCATTTATTTCTGTATGGAGATATTTTCTTATGTATATTAAATTTTTTCATAATGAGTATACCTTACTGATGTGATAAAACTATGTTTATTTACTTATAATAAAGATATAATAAAAACTAGGTGACAATGGCATGTCAGAATCTAAGATGGTAGAGTTTCAAATAGGAGTTTGTATCTACTGCAGTAAAGTGTCGATTACAGTAAAGCATGAGCCAGGCATGGTGGCTCATGCCTGTAATCCCAGCGCTTTGGAAGGCTGAGGTGGGTGGATCACCTGAGGTCAGGAGTTTGAAACCAGCCTGGCCAATGTGGTGAAACCCCATCTCTACTAAAAAAAAAAAAAAAAAAAAATTAGCCAAGCATGGTGGCACAGGCCTGTAATCCCAGCTACTTGAGAGGCTGAGGTGGGAGAATCGCTTGAACCTGGGAGGCGGAGGTTGCAGTGAGCCGAGATTGCACCACTGCACTCCAGCATGGGTGACAGAGCGAAACTCTGTCTCAAAAAAAAAATAAATAAAAATAAAAAAAGTAAAAAGTGGTAAGAGTTCACTGGCTCTGTTGATTAGATGGTCTCTGCTGCTCATGGAAAGGGCAGTGCTGGTGACGATTACTGAAATCAGACTTCAGTAGGTGAGGAAGTGAGTGAGGGAGAGGAGCAGAGCAGGGGGAGAGCATGAAGTGTAAAGATCCATGAGAAAGGGATGACTGCTGGAGAGGCATGGAGATGGGGACTGGTGGGCCTAGAGCCTGAGTGGGCAGGTCCAACTTGAGTGGAGGAATGGACTCCAGCGAGGGTGTTAAGGTTGGGTAGCATTTTTATTTGGGGTGAGAAATTGAAGTGGTCACCTCAGTGTTTCCATTTCAGTAGGGTCTGAAGTCATCTCACAGTGGACGTGATTTTGGTTGATGGAGGCTTTTGGGACAGTCAAATGGAAGATGCCCCTGTAACAGGACTGGTGAGCTTTGCTGTGGCACTTTCTGAGGTCAGGGAGTGTGATTTAGAATTGTACCCTTTCTTGGAATTATTTCATTTTCTCCAGGGCTAGAGCTATAGAAAACTACCCTGGCATGGAATGGGGAAGAGTGAGTTACAATACTAATCCACAGTGGCGTTTTGTCCTTCAGATGGGGTGCAAGCATGGAGCAGGGAGGGAATTGGGTGTGCAGGGAATGAAGGCGCTCAGGAGGCCTGGGATGAAGGAGGCCATGCCAGACTATGAGGAGACAGAGAATCCAAGGTGAGAACGAGCTTGGCAAGGAGCGATGGTAGGGGGAGGAGGTGGGAACGCCGGCTGTAGAATGATTGACAGTAGGATTTTAGAGTTTTCAGTTTCTGACATGGCACAGTTCTGGGTGATAATGAGGTTGAGAGGGCCACTGTGGGAGCAGGTGGCTGGAGTGGAATGTAGGTCACTGCCACGGGGGTTAGGTAGGTTTGGTCTATTCTCTACACCCACCTTTATTCAGATACTGTTTTGGGGAATGTGTAAAGAATCTCCTCCCCAATGCCCCATAAAAATTGTTTAAATATTGCAGATGCAAGTCATGATTTATATTTGGTTTTCATAGCTTCCCTTTATGTGGAAATGATTTTACAAATTAGCTGAGAAAACTTGAAGTTTTCTTCATCTGCCATGAAAGAGACTCTGCCAACACAGGATAATGACAGGATATTATCTTCGGATTGCTAATTAGCAACTGAAATGAATGTCTAGCCCTGGTGCCGCCAAGTCCCCTCCATTAATATCTGCCCTGCAGGGGGGCAGAGGAGTGAGACCAGAGCTGCTTCCCCTCAACGTGGTGGGCCAAGTGTGCGGTGTGCCTCTCTTTTAGAGAAAGCACTTCTAAAAGTACCTTATGCAGACTCTTAACAAACCCTCTGACCATATAGAGATGGCAAATAACATACTTAGTATTGCTCTTCAATTCAATGAAAAACCAGTTGTGGTAAAACTGATCATTCGAAAGTGTGATATTTTTTGACCCATCATTCTGGTTAGCTTGTGTTAATACTGAATGTATCAATCACATTTTCCCAGATTATAAGGATTAAATTAGGTTAATGTGGAAAGGAGTTAAGGAACAAAGATCCAGGAAAATAAACCTTCCCATAAATATAGAGAACATTACCCCACCTTTGATTTCCTCCCGTATCTAGATGTGTCCAGGTATGTTACCACTCTGGCCCTCAAAGATGCTTTCATTGACCTCTAAAGCATGATTTCTCCTTAGCTTCCAAATATTCTTTACTGGGAGAGTTGAAATATTTTGTTTTGCGATATCATGGATGCTCATGACTGAGATTATGTCTACAAGTCGCAAAAACGATGTGCATTTAGTTATCCAGGCAAGCAGCCTTTCATGGTCAAACGACTGAACAATTCACTCTACAAAATTAATCAAAGTAGTTAATTAATGGACCAAAATAGCTTAGCTCTCAGTTTAGCTATTAACGTTAGCTAATAGCTCAGTTTTTAGTTATTTAACTTTCTAGCTATTTTACCGTTGTCTGAGCCTCAGTCATTAGTTCTCCAGGTTGACTTTTTTGTGAATTTGCTTTATGAGCTCAGGCAAACAGTTGAAATTTTTTTCACTGGTTTCTCTGTTTACCTTGGGAGAATACTACCAATTTCTTCTCAGAGGCCTTTGGGGGCTTTTGGAAAGATTGGTGAATTTTCTATCAAAATCTGGTGTATTCTTTAGAAACAGACACTCCAAAGGTTCAGAGTGAAACATAATACTGCATTATTAAACTTGGTGGTTTCCATGATGGGAGGTATCTGAATGGGTTGAATATTGGCTCCCACAAGATATGCCCATATCCTAAACCCTGGAACCTGTGAACGTGATGTTATTTGGAGAAGGAGTCTTTGAAGATATAATTAAGTAAAGGACCTCAAGATAAGATGATCTTGGATTATCCAGGTGGGCCCTAATCCATCGACAAGCGTTCTTATAAGAGATAGAGAGGAGAGGACACAGGAACCGATGAGAAGGCCATGTGAGACAGAGGCAGAGACTGGAGTGATGCAGCCACAAGCCAAGGAGCCGTTGAAATCCCAGAAGCTGAAAGAGGTAAAAAAAGGGTCTCCCCTGGAGCCTTCAGAGGGAGTGTGGCCTTGCTGACACCTTGATTTTGGCCTTCTGGCTTCCAGAACTGAGAATGGCCAGTTTGTGGTAATTTGCTATGGCAGCCTTAGGAAAGTGAGGGAGTGCCCACCCGCAGCATAGCCCTCCTCCTTGCTTGTCCAGAACACCTTTCACTCAGCATAGGATCTTGGAATTTGTAAGTGTTCCACTAAAGTAATATATTTAATTTCACGCAAGAAGGGAATTTATCTAGTTTTAGAATGAGATACAGTGTCTAGTTCCAAGCCCAGAATTATATAGAAAATTTGACCATAAAAGGCTGCTTGCCTGGATAACTAAAGTGCTCTGAAACCTGCTATAGCCTCAAAAATTTTTTCTTTTTTTGAGACAGAGTCTCACTCTGTTGCCCAGGCTGAATGCAGTGATGCGATCTCGGCTCACTGCAGCTTTGACCTCCTGGGTTAAGTGATCCTCTCGCCTTAGTCTCCCGAGTAGCAGGGACCACAGTTGCACACCACCATGCCTGGCTAATTTATTTTTTGTAGAGACAGGTCTTGCTATGTTGCCCAGGGTAGTCTCAAACTCCTGGACTCAAGCAATCTTCCTGCCTTGGCCTCCCAAAGTGTTGGGATTACAGGCGTGAGCCACTGCACCTGGCCCTGCTATATCTTCATCTAACTGGATAATACAGGAAGGTGAAGGTTTAGAAGCCTTAATTATTTGAGCTGCACAGACCAGAGAATACAGGAATGGCAATGCCATTGTGTTCCGGGCAGAACCCAGAGTGCCTTATTGACCCTTTAAATGTTATTATCTCTTTCTTACCTGTGATGCATTAACCAATGCACAATATTTCCATAAATCTGAGTCAGGTTAAAAAAAATCAACTTGGGCTAAACCAAACAATGTTTAGAATTTCCACTCCATTCATTCATTCAATCTTTCTATGAATCATAAGTTATCTATCATCTGCAAGGCACTGTGCTAACTGCTGGAATACTTAGTGAACATAATAGACAAGGCCCTCATGCTCCCATGGAGTGTACAATCTAGGGACATTATGCTTCAGGAAGATGTTAGAATTATTTAAATATGACCTAAGTCTAAACTGATGTAGCATTCTGTAATTTTCACATGAATGGCAAAATAATAATGGCTCTGACAACATCAAGTTGCCATGCCACACAAGATCTATGTACTGATACAATCAGGATACCAGAAATACCTGAAGCTATTTAAGTAATTGGTTCTGAATTAATTGCATAGATAGAGGGAAAATATGGAATGCATAAGCCAAATAAAATACTAAATCAGTATAATATTGAGGCTTGTGACTATGTTCTATGATGCTTTATTGTTTTGAAGATTTACCTACTGATGATATTTTTCTTTAGATAATAGAATTTATTGATACTCTTTAAAATTAGACTATAAAGAGAAAGTCCCTAGAAGTCTGGATAGTAGGGACAGCCAGTGTAGCCTTTGTTTTCTATTCATCATCTGAAAGTAGGAAGCCTCCCCTCTCCTCTGTACCCCTAAAGGTCCCAAGGCTGATCTGCTCTCAGCCTAGGCTGGAGGATCCATTTCCTGGATTACATCACACACTTCCCTAGAGGTCTATAGTGATTCCCATTTATCGTTCACAATGATATTCCTGATCATTAGTTTTATACATCTCCACCAACATCCCCCTTCTCCGATCCTGAGATCACTGAGCTACCTTGGTTCTGTTCTCAATTTGATTAGGATTGTACCTCTGTCCCTGGTCCACCTCTGCTAATGCCATTTGCAGTACTTTTTTCAGCTGCGCTATTTTTAATTGAGAATAACTGATGCTAGGTGGTTTACAATGGGCCCACCCCTCCTGTCATTCCAGTTTCTGTTGTTGTCAAACTCTTTACCCTCCACCCCGCTGAATGTATCCCTCCTCTCATGAAACTGGGCTGAACAGAAAGACGTCTTTATACTTTCATATAATTTGCTTTTTAAACCTCTCCCAACAGACAAAAAGACTTTTGAATGCAATATATTGATTCTGTCCATTCTATTTAGCATTTAAATATTCAGGAAATGAACTGATTTCATGGAAATTACATTTTCAGTAATTTAAATAATAGTTCCAATTTTGTTAATTTTCATACTTAGAGTCAAGCCTAAAAATTTCTCAGCCATGATGCTGACCACATATTCCGACCGATTATTGGGCTTGATATTGTTACTAGAGTGCTTTACTTTCCTTTGTCCTTGAAGCAAATTTCTAAGGTAGGCAGCATCGATGTTCATTTGTGTAATCATGCCATAATACATTCATAAAAAAGAGTTTTGAATCAACAAATAAAGCATAATTTTTAATCCCTATTTTATATTAGGATGCTGAAATAAGATAATGTAAAGAGTCTGCTCAAGTTAATTAACGCTGATTCTCGTGAAAACCTCCTCAGTTTAAATCCTGATATACCAGGGAAATTTGGAGACTTGTAAATAGCATTTCATGCCCCTCTACAGGACACAGGAGCTCCTTCCACCTCCCACTAATGCTTGCTTACATAATTTTGCAGTAACTTCTTTTCCAAATATTACAAGCACACGGGAGAGCTAGAGGTGAAACAATAGCCCCAAACCTGGGTCTCCACAGTCTCTAGTAGGAACTTGTGAAAAAAGAATTCTTTCAATTTTAGCTCTGCATGGGCATGTCAAAGCCTCTCCACTCCTCTCTTCCCATCTACAAATAAGGGATAATAATGTTAGTATTTGCTTACTTACCTCACAGGAGAATGAAAAGAAAGAGTAATTTAATGTTAATAGGTTCTTTGAAGATGAAAAGTACTTCATAATTGCTAAGTTCTATTACATTTTTAAAAACCCATCTCAAAGATACCCCTCTTTCCTTATCCTTCTAACTTTGTTTAATTAAAAATAATTATCCTTTCTCAACCTCATTATTTAAGTAATAAGACTTCATGACGTTCCCACACAATGTATGTTTCCATGCTTTACTCAGTGTTACTGCCTTCAGGTTTGGTCTTCTCATATTTTCTAACTTCTTATATATTAGAAAATCTAGTGAAAACCTGTTGTGTCTGCCTGGGGTAGATTTCATTTCAGAGTGTGAAAACTGCATGAACAGCCAGCTTTTTTTCTCACACTCTTTGAAAGACTCTTGACGCTGCTAACATCTAAGGCAAAATTTCTCAAAGGTGGTGGTGACCCTTCCATTGGTATCTGAATCCCTGGGGTGTTTGTTAAGATCTAGGTACCTGGAGATCAGACTCTATGGGGTGGGTTATGGAAATCTGCATTTAAAATAAATTCTGCAGTTGCCGACTAAAATTTGAGAACCACCCATTCCAAGTCCCTCATCTTTTTTTTTAAGATGAAAAACATAGTCTGAAGGTCAAAAGTGAAGTTTTTTGCCTTAGGCATCACTCATTGCATTTCCTCATGGATACTGGAAGAAGGGATGGAGGACAGAGGCTTTTCTAGAAGCTGAGAGTATGAATGGCTCCACTTGGCCTCCTCTCACACCACCGCCTGCAGGCACATGCATCCTTGCCTCCTTACACCCCACTAATTGGGGGGGTCTTCTTTTTATCTAATCCCCCTCATATCACCAGCCTCTCCCTCCCTCTGGTTCTTGCTTTCGGCGCCTCTCTCATTAGTAAGTACATCTGCAATCTACACTTGCCATTTATTTCCCTCGATCTCAAGGAAAAAGGGGCTGACTCTTTTCTTTTTTTCGAGATGGCGTTTCCCTCTTGTTGCTCAGGCTGGAGTGCAATGGCGAGATCTCTGCTCACTGCAACCTCCACCTCCCGGGTTCAAGCAATTCTCCTGCTGGGGCTGACTCTCTTTCAAAGCTAATGTCTTCACTTGGGCTATCTATTGTCTTTCCCTGCCTCCTCTGGGCTCTTCTTCCATCCACTTTTTGCTCTCTCTTATAATTCAAGATTTCTCTCTCTTCTGACATTGTCTCCTCAAAGGCCTTGCATCCTTCTAGCGGCCCCACAAAGCCAAGCTCCTAGAAAGAGCAGTTTTCAGGGCTGTTTGATGCTGGTGTTTAAAAATACGAGCAAGGCCAGGCATGGCGGCTCATGACTATAATCCCAGCACTTTGGGAGGCCGAGGCAGGTGAATCAACTGAGGTCAGGAGTTCGAGACCCCCCCCGGCCAACATGGAGAAACCCCTTATGTACTAAAAACACAAAAATTAGCCGGGCCTGGTGGCACACACCTGTAATCCCAGCTACTTGAGAGGCTGAGGCAGGAGAATTGCTTGAACCTGGGAGGAGGAGGTTGCAGTGAGCCAAGATCGCACCATTGCACTCTAGCCTGGGGGACAAGAGCGAAATTCCATCTCAAAACAAACAAACAAACAAACAAGCAGAACTACCTTTGGAAAGAGAACACACAGTACAAAGAGTAGGCGGAAGTGCCAGCAATAACATCCCCACCACGGAGCTGTTTTTGGAATAAATATTAGGGAAGCAGAGTTTTGATTCTCTGCAGCTCCCTGTCCTCCTGGCACAATCAAATTTCCCTGCTCCTGGCTTTTATACCAAGGCCAGCATTGCTGTCATTCCCTGTGCTCCGTGCACATTCTTGTGGGCTGAGTTCAGGGTTTGGCCACAGGCTAGTCTCCTGTCTCCACAGCTAATAGGGGGTTTGGTGTAGGCCCTGGCATCCCCACCAGTGGTTTGCTTTGTAATTTTTCCCTCTTGGCCTGTGGGAGGACTGAGGCATGGTGTCTAGAACTCCTGCGCAGCTGCAGGCCTGCTTGGAGGGTGAGGTGGCTGTTGTGGGGCAGGTGAGAGCACGCCAGGGCCATAGCTAACCTCCAGCCTTCATGAAGAGCCCATGGCAACTCTGTGGGAATCCTTCCAGCAGCCCGCTTATGGCTGGAGACAGAGGTGTGGCTTCTATCTAAGCTTTTCCCTCTGACTCAGTCCAGGAGGCAACTGTCTTGGGAAGCAAATGATAACAGCATCTGGGAGATTCTCTTCTGGATGGACTAGCAGGGAATCAGGACATGAACTCAGTGGACTAACTGCACCGAGACTCACCTGGTCATTACTTGAAGGTCATTACTTAAAGTAAGTTCTTCAGTTGCCAACATTTGAAAACTAAAGTGTGTGGTTCAGTTATGCTGGTCCAATAATCAGAGAAGTCTAATATGTGAGTGTCTTAGTTCATTCCTGTGGCTATAACAAAATACCATGGCTTGAGTAATTTATAAATAATAGAAATTTATTTCTCACAGCTCTGAAGGCTGAGAAATCCAAGATCAAGGTGCCAAAAGATTCAGGGTCTGGTAAGGCCTTGTTCTCTGCTTCTAAGATGGACACCTTGCGGTATCCTCAAATGGCAGAATGGGAAGAGCAAAAGGGACTAGGCCACTCCCTTCAACCTCTTTTATAGGGGGACTGATCCCATTCACAAAGGTGGAGCCCTCATGACTTAATCACTTTCCCAAACGCCTCACTTCTTTTTCTGTTGTTGTTTATTTTTGAGATGGAGTTTTGCTTTTGTTGCTCAGGCTGGAGTGCAATGCAATTAGGCTCACTGCAACCTCTGCCTCCCAGGTTCAAGCGATTCTCCTGCCTTAGCCTTCCTGAGTAGCTGGGATTACAGACATGTGCCACCACGCCTGGCTAATTTTTGTATTTTTAGTAGAGATGGGGTTTCACCATGTTGTCAGACTGGTCTTGAACTCCTGACTTCAGGTGATCCACCCGCCTTGGCCTCCCAAAGTGCTGGGATTACAGGCATGACTTTCCTTGCCCAGCCAAGGTCTGACTTCTTAATACCATCACCTTGGGGGTTAAGTTTCAACCTATGAATTTTGGAAAAACACATATATTCAACCCGCAGCCATGACGTATTCCAAGGCTGAAAATGTTTTCCTAAAACTCTAGGCCTACAGAAATACTTTTAATCCTGCAAAAATTTTGCTTAACCTTTTCTTTTTCCAGTCTTCCATCATGAAAACAGTGATTCTCAACAGAGTGATTTTGCCTCCTAGGAGAATTGTGGCAATGTCTGGAAACATTTTTGGTTGTGACAGCTGGGGGTGATCGTGGTGGTGCTACTGTACCTAGTGGGCAAACTCACTCTCTCAAGGCCTTTTATAAGGGCCTTACTCCCATTCATGACTCTGCCCTCATCGTTTAATCACTTCTTAAAGGCCCCACCTCTTAATATCATCACGTTGGTGATTAAGTTTCAACATATGAATTCTGAGAGACGCATCCGTCAAACCACATCAGGCACTCTTATGTCCTTTTGGTGAACTAGGAGGCTGAGACTCAGATAGGTTAAGAAAGCTGCCCAGGTTCTACTGAGAGTTGGAGCAGGCATGAAACCTGGGTTTGCCTTTTGCTGTGTGGCACCTGCCTCAGGACCTGAAGGGTGCTGCCTCCATGCCAGAAACCACGCTGGCTGCAGAGGGCAAACCTGAACAATAAGATGTTGCCCTGATCCAGTTTAAAAGCTAACACAAAGTGGCCAGGGAGGGATGGAAGGAGAGACGCAGACAGTAGATTAGAGCAGTGCTTTCTCAAGCTATTTTGCACAGAAGCATAGAGATGGGGAGGAGGAAGAGCCTGAGGGGCTCAGTGAACCAGGCACCCCTCCTTGCCAGAGGCAAGGCTTCACTTTCGTCTGTTCTAGATTGGAGAACAAGGTTCCAGCTAAAAGGGTTTGGAAACCTTTGTGTTTTTTTTAAAAAAAACCTTAAAGTAGAATAATAATAATAAAAAAATAATTCAAGAGAAGATGAACATATTTGTCTTGAGAAGGTGCAGGAAATCATGAAGAAATCATGAATGAACTACACAGTATTTTAAGTGGATTTTCAGGGTAGGAAATTTGCGCCCATGTAAATGAGAGAAGAAGAACAGAAGAAACAATCGCGCACATATGGGCAGCAGAGCAAAGCCTAAGGAAGCGTGGGGAGGGCAGAGGAGGAGCTGCCCGGGAGAGGCAGATGGTGTCTCAAGGCAGGTGGTCCTCGTGCTTTGGCTGTCCTGAGAATCCGAGGAGTCCAGACTCCATTTCGTAGACAGTAGGGAATTAGTAAAGAGGTCTGTGCTGAGTAAAGGGGGGATAAATGGAAAAAGAGATAAAGAAGGGAAGAGACCCAGGGTAGGGTGAGCATAGTTGTACCATATACATGAGGCATTCACAATATGCCAGGAGCTCATGTGTAGAACAGTTTGTAGAACCCAGCATCAAGTCCTTAGGTGATAAGAATAGTGCATTGATGAATGCATATCTAAGACATTTGTTTACCACTAATAATTAAGCTAAGACATTTTTACCAAATGGCATCTTGGCTGTAAGAGATTTATTTATTTTTTACCCACAGATGTAATTTTTATATAGACTTTGGCTTCTCCTGGCATGGCTGGCTCCTGTTACCTCGGCTCATCTCCTGTGACACATATTGATAATCTAAAATGTGCCCTTCCATATTTTTTATCTGAATCATATAATCACATACTAATATATTTATATTTACATATCTCTAGCTACATACACACAGGCTTGGGGTTACTATTTTTCAGTTTTTGAATTGCGTTTTTCATGCTTTTCTGCTTTTCTTCTCTCAACAATATCTTGAGGAAATCTTTCTCTATCACCTGGTAAGGTTCTAATTCAGTCTTTTTTATGCCTCATATGACTGTGCAGTGTGGATCTGCTGTAATACATTTAACCATTCCCCTGCCGATGGACATTTGCATTGCTTCTAGGTTTGTGTCTTTACAAACAATGCTGAAATAAACACACCTGGGTGTTTTGTGCGGCAGTCCAGCATAGCTTTTAAAAGTCTGCACTAGGCCAGGCGCGGTGGCTCACGCCTGTAATCCCAGCACTTTGGGAGGCCGAGACGGGCCAATCATGAAGTCAGGAGTTTGAGACCAGCCTGGCCAAAATAGTGAAACCCCGTCTCTACTAAAAATACAAAAATTAGCCGGGTGTGATAGTGGGCGCCTGTAGTCCCAGCTACTCAGGAGGCTGAGGCAGGAGAATCGCTTGAACCAGGAAGGTGGAGGTTGCAGTGAGCCAAGATCGTGCCATTGCACTCCAGCCTGGTGACAGAGCAAGACTCTGTCTAAAAAAAAAAAAAGTCTGCACTCTAGAGTCAGACTGCATGTGATTGCTCCCTACCTCTGTCACTTACTAGCTCTTGTATTGGGCAAGTTTAAACCTCTATGGGTATGAGTTTCCTCATTTGTAAAATAGAGGATTATACTAGGTTATGTAATTCATGTTGAGCCTTTGCAAAAATACCTGGCCCATAATAAGGGCTCAATAAATATTACCTGTTATTACAAAAGTACTGAATATTAGTGCTTTTGTTTCTATGAGATAACTTTATGGGCTAAAGGGTATAGGGGTTTTAAAAATTTTAGTTTATATTGTGGATTGCATTCCCCCCTGAAAGGCTATAAAATTGCTTTCATGCATGTTTCTACCAACAATGCATGAAAGCATCCTTTTACTTATGTCCCCTCCAAAAATAAATAACTCTTCAATTTTTGGCAATTTGATCGTTATAAGGTGATATATCATTGTTACCTTAGTTTTCATTTCCTTCACCACTGGAAAAGTTGACATTTTTTAATGGGTTTATCAATCATTTGAATTTGTTCTTCTCTGACCAACTTTTTCATATTCTTTACCAGTTTTCCCAGGGTTGTATCTCCTCTTTTTTTCAAGTTGCAAGAGCTCTTTGAAATTTGTATTACAGATTTTCAACCTCTGATTTTCTTGAGTTGCAAAGATTAATTTTCAAGATCAAAGCTTGTCTTTTGACCTTGTTTATGGTATTTTTGTCAGAAAGTATTTTAACTTTTATATATTCAAATACGTTTTTTTTTTTTGAGATGGTGTCTCACTCTGTTGCCCAGGCTGGAGTGCAGTGGCGCAATCCAGGCCCACTGCAACCTTTGCTACCTGGGTTCAAGCAATTCTCCTGCCTCAGCCTCCTGAGTAGCTGGGATTACAGGCATGTGCCACTAGGCCTGGTTAATTTTTGTATTTTTTAGTAGAGATGGGGTTTCACCATGTTGGCCAGGATGGTCTCAAACTCCTGACCTCAAGTGATCCACCCGCCTTGGCCTCCTAAAGTGTTGGAATTAGAGGTGTGAGCCACTGTGCCCGGCCTTTCTTTTCTTTTATAGATTCTAGTTGTTGATTAAAAAGATTGTCTCTAAAAAGGTCTCTACCACTCAAGGTTTCTTGAGTTCATTTTATGTTCTCAATAATTTTTATGTTCTAGCATATGCATAAATTCACCTAGATTTTCCTGAAGAAATTTCATTCCTTTTTTTCACGTATTTTCAAAGTAGAGAGGAATCTAACATAATTTTCTTTTGGTTGCATACCCAGTTACAGTACTGGCATCATTAACTAAATAGTTAATTCTTTTCCTACTGGAAGTTTCTCACACATTCTGAAGAAAGCTGGGTTCAGAAATAGGACAGGCAGAATCCCAACCAATCCCGTACATTCTATGGTGACTTCTCATCTAACTTTTGCTCCACATCTTCTTTGAGAATTGATAGGGAGGCTACTGAGATTCAGCCAGAGATGGGGTCAGCAAAGCTCTTGTAGGTGTTCGTGAAAGAACCCAGGGGCTGTTGTTAGGGGTAGGGCTGGGGCTGGGGCTTACCTGATCTTAAACTCAGATCAAAAGTCCACACTGAGCTCTTTTGTCAGGAGGGCCCTGGGAGGTTGAAGGGCCATGAGACACCCAGTGGGATCTCATAATGTTGTGGTTTCTACCTACTAATTCAAGACTCTGCAGATGTAGCAAGGGATATTTAAAATGTGTTATCCGGGACTTCTTAAGTTCCATAAAACTCTACAATTACACTTAATACCCACTTACCCACTTGGCCAAACTCTAAACATGCACAAAAGAGCTTCCCTCCTCCCCCACTTCCCCTTGCTAAAGACCTGAAAACAGAAGATTTTTACCACCCAGGTAGTATCTGCTTGGGAAGGGAGAGAGGTCGGGGCTGGGGCAGAAGGGGGCAGGGGAGTCTGTTTATTTTGCAGTTAGCAAAGGGCCTTGGGATCCTCTTGGAAATTTTGGTTTGAGAGGTGGTAAAATGTCTGATTGTGACAACTGTAAGGTTAGATTCGTCACCACCACAGACATAAATGAGCTCACAGACATTTTGGTGGCTGCAGAGAAACTGATTAACAGCATCAAATCTGAAATCTGGCCCTGAAAATCCTTCTCACACTGACAATTATGTAAAGAGTGACTCATAACGTAGTCGTTTCTTAAAATGATACATGTTAGCACAAGCATAGGCCACATAACCACATTTCAGTTAATGACAGACCACATATACAACGGCGGTCTCAAAAGATTATAACGGAGCTGCCCTATACAGGTGTACCATTTCTTATCTTCTATACAATAATTTTACTGTACTTTTTCTATGTTTAGCTATGTTGAGATACACAAATACTTGCTATTGTGTTACAGTTGCCTAAGGTATTCAGTACAGTAACATGTTGTGCAGGTTTGTTGCCCAGGAGCAATAGGCTATAGCATAGAGCATAGGTGTGAGGTAGGCTCTGCCATCTAGGTTTGTGTAATTCCACTCTATGATGTTCACGCAATGATAAAATTGCTTAGTGATGCATTTCTCAGAGGTATCCCTGTCGTTAACTGACACATGACTGTACTTAAGACAAAGAAAATGTGTCTGAGGCGCTGGTATTCTTCCTAGGAATAGAGAAGGAACTCACCTATTTCAGTTGTTCAGACTTTTAGGGCATCTCAGATTTGCTCCAGGAAAAGTGACATTCAGAATGATTGGGACAAAAAGAATTTCCAGTGGTGATTTCAGAGAGAATAGTTGGTAGGAGCTTAAATGACACTCAACAATGAGTGAGAGGCTCCAAATTTACTTATTTATTTTTACTGTTTTTATTTATTTTATTTTAGTTTAAATATTCTGAACTAAAAATTGAAATGAGATAAAAATTCTCATTAACCAAGAAGTTTTACCTGAGAAGTATTCCATCCGTCCATCCATCCTTCCACTCAACCATCCGTCTATCTGTCCAGCCTGTCTTCTTCCCTCCCTCCTTTCTTTTTTTCCTTCCTTCCTTCCACACATATTTACTGAGCGCCAAGTATGTGACTAGGAAAGCTACAGCCAAGACTCTGGTCTCACTGGGCTTACATTTTCGGGAAGAAACGACAACGAATTATAAACATATTAATACTTTTTATAGTGATAAATTCAGTCAATATATTAAAGTAAGATGTTAAGTTGGAAAATTATAAATGGATGCACTATTTTAAATTGAGTGCTCAGGAAAGACCCTTAGAGAAGGGAATGTTTGAACTTAAATGTGAATCTTTCCTATATAAACATAATAGTTTGAAACTATATGCATTTGCAATATTCATGCATTGTATTAGACATAAAAATAAATTTGGACCTTTCACAATTCATTTATAGTTTTGTTTTTTATGCCTCCATTCAAAATATGCGAGCATTTTAACTTGGTAGTTTCTTATATATAATTTTGCAGCAAGTAAGTGAAGAGTTTCCAATGACACAAAGTTTTGGTAAATATTAAAAATGTTGAAATAACATATCTCACAGCATCTGGGAGTGTGCTACTATAATCTGGCTAATTCAGATTATAAAGAAGTATCATTTAAAATAGAGGGTACTACATAAAGAAGGAATGGTAGGTTGATTTTTAAAAAGGTGTCTTTGCACTGATAAGTATTTGGTAGAATTTTAGGTGCTCACCAGTGTCATTTCAAGCTATTTAGCCTGTCATATACTTAACTTCCCACCATTTATAATCTATCACCAAGTTTTGTTCATTCATTTGTTCATGCTCCTTCTGAAAAATCTTTCCATTTCTACTGCTTCTGCCCTATTTTGATTCTTTAATATCTCTTCCTACAACTATTTCACTAGCCTCTTAAATGACACCCCTATTGCCCACTCCAGTTCATCTTCCACTTGTAACCAGAGTTGACTTTCTGAGTTTAATAAAGATCTGATCAGGCTCTTCCTTTACTAATGAAATGCCTGGCTCCCTGTCATTGTCATCTTCATGACAAAACCCAAACGCCTGGGAATGCCATCAAATGCTTTTCCCTACCCGACACCAGGATGCCTTTCCAGCCTCTTTCTCTCTTCTGAGGCCACACCAAACTGACATCTGCTGTGAATGCTGGGCCCTCCATCTAGAATTCCCCACTCCTCTTCTCTGCCAGCCAATTATTCTCATTCATTTTTCCAAAGTTCCTTGTACCTCATTATTACAATACAATGTGATAAGCACTATAATAGAGGTATGCACAGCATTGGTCACATTGTATTTTAATTTGACCAATTATATATCTGACTTTGCCTTTGAATGGGGGCTAGATCCTGATGATAGAGCCATGATACCTGGGTTCCTATTCCTACCTGGTCCTCGACTATCTCTGTGGCTTTGTTTATGTCTGCACCTCATTTTCCTCATCTGTAAAAGTAGGATAACTCAGTATGTGGGTTATAATGTTGTAATAATAACATTATATCTGGGTTATAATGTTGTTAGACAGTGCCTGGTATATTTAGCATGTTCTCAATGGATCCTTCATTATTTAGCTTAATTATTAAATTATGTATCCCTAAAGATAGAAAATCAGGATACAATAAATATGAAAAGGATAAAAAAGTAGCATATGAGTGCCTCATCAATATGCAAATGACATCATCATAATCAAAGAATGAAGATATGAAATGTGGAATAGGCTGGGCACGTTGGCTCACGCCTGTAATCCCAGCACTTTGGGAGGCCAAGGAGGATGGATCACCTGAGGTCAGGAGTTTGAGACCAGCCTGTCCAACATGGTGAAACCCCGTCTCTACTAAAAATACAAAAATTAGCTGGGCGTGGTGGCATGTGCCTGTAATCCCAGCTACTTGGGAGGCTGAGGCAGGAGACTTGCTTGAACCAGGAGGTGGAGGTTGCAGTGAGCAAAGATTGCACTCAGCCTGGGGGACAAGAGCGAAATTCCATCTCAAAAAAAAAAAAAAGAAAAGAAAAGAAAAAAGAAATTTGGAATAGTATTCCAAGACTTCTGTCATCAAAGACACAACAGACACATACTGTTCTGTAAATTATAAGATTTCTGGTGGATGGGTTGAATGTCCTGAAATGTAGAGGCTCTTGTGGTAATTTTCCATTCCCTGCTCTCCTGTCCTCCACTAATTTCCCATCTTTTTCTGTCCTGCTCTGTGACTTAGGGACTGGCCACTGTGGGTTGCAGTATCTGGAGAGCCTCTGTCCTCTGGTTCATGGTTGGGTTTGGCCATTGGGACTGGAGGGTGGAAGAAGAGTGTTGATTGAGAGTGTTATTTCCCTGCTTTGCCCTGCTGTGGCCAGGTCTCGCAGGGGCTGTGTCCTTGAGTGACCACAGTGTCCATGGGTGGTCCCTTATAGGCTCCAGCTTTGAAAGAGCTCTTCTGACTCTAACTCCTCTTTCTCTTTGGCCTGAATATTATCACTGCTGACTTTGACATGGTCCTTTCAGTTTGGAAGTCAGTCGTACAAATAAGTAATGAAACAGCAATTGCAGAAAGTCTCTTTAGGTCAAAGGCAACAAAACAAAACAAAAATCAAAAATCCTGACCAAAAGCAAAAAACAAAAAAAAACCAAAACCCACAAACAGTTTTTTTTTCCAGCTTACTTAACGTGTGTAACACAGAATTTTCACTATATTTATTCATATTCGTATGTCTCAACACTGCACGAGAAAGAAAGGAAGTGGGTGGAATCATGATGCCCTGCTAGGGCTTTTGATTAAGCTGGCTCTATTCCAATGGATACAAAGCCCACACACAGGGAGCAGGAAGCCCAGAATGTCAAGTACCCACTCTCAAAGGGGAGCTTTCAGAGGAAGGACACACTGTCAGGGGTTTCTCCATTGATGTCTTTGGGCAGTGCCTTGCCTGGAAGTGGCCGCTGCAGGACCACGTGCAGTGTGAGAAGAAGGAGGAGGCCTTCCTTCAGTAACAAGCAGCATTCACGCGTCGTGGAGAGCAGAGTCCCAGAGTGTAAAGATCTTAAGGGACATGTGCATTTATCACTGACTTTGCAAGGGCTTTAAAACCACAGATAATACAGAAAAGTGTGAAATTTGAGCAATTAATTGCACATGGCAGGAGGGAGCACTTTATTAATCTTAACCCTGGTAGAAGGAAGAGACTGGTAGGACTTGTGGAATAATACTCATTTATGCACCCAGTGGTCGGGGAGATGTTCTGAACACCTGAAAGTGCCAGGTGTTGTGCTAGAGTGAAATAAGACAAAAGTGTCTCTGCTCCAATAGAGCTTATTTTTTAGAGGGAACTCAGAAAATGTGTAAGAGGATGGGACGCAGAAGAAGGTCAGCGAAGGATAAAGAAGCAGAATAACAACAACAAAAAAAGATAAAATTGACCACTGCAAAGTTGCTGCCTCCAGCCACAGCTGAGTACCGTGTCAATCCTGAGTGATGTTTAATCCTTTGAAGCCTTATAATGGATTTTTGCTAGGCATTAAAAAAATATAATCATGTAAGAGCAGCTGTGTTGAAACATTCATATAAACTCTACTCAGTGCATTTGGTTTCTCAGTTATTCCTCCATAGCAAACCAATCGGTATTAAATGTGTGTATGTTAAGCAGTAATAATTCTTCCAGTTAAAGGAAAACTCTAGTCCTTTCACTATTTCACTAGCCTACAAGCAACTGACTTTTAAATTCATCTAATTTTTATTAATGATTATGATAACATATAAAATTATGCTCAGCAGTACAAAATAGATCCATTTAGCTCATCAGCGTTTTACACATTTATAAATTTTATAAAATATGAATACCAATTTCACAGCATTTTCTGATAATGCCTCACTAGAGAATAAAATTTCTATTTTTGGAAAAAACCAACAACAACTTTTGAAGCTGACCTGGTTTGCCATGTTTATTTCGGGTCTGTGGTTATGCTTATCTCTGATTCCAGAGTGAAGGGAGGTGGGCAGGGCGTGGGTGTCCATTAAGGCACCTCTGTCCTTCCTGCAGGCCAAATCCTGCCCTGGCTTGTCCTGTGTCAAGGGACAATGTCCTGCTTTACAAAGTCAAGGCTGTGCCCATAGAAAGCCTTGTAATCTTTTGGTTTCTCCGTTTCCTTATGAGTGATGCACAGGCTCTGATGATTGTCATCCTCTTCACAGCCTCCATGAATCTCCTGATGAACTCCCTCAGAAGGTGGAAGGAGCACCTGACACCGACCCGAGATCAGCAGCAGCTACGCCCACGCTGTGGGCAGTTAAGAGGCAGCCAGTGGTACCAGTCGTGAGCGATCAGATTTGAGGACTCAGGATTCTGGTTTCCTGAGTGTCATGGACCTGCGGGCTGCAGAAATGACAGCGACAGGTCTTCAGGCAGGTGCCACAGCACCCACACACTGCCAGCATTTTGTGCAAAATACCCAAAGCCACATCACCAGATCTGGGCTCTCCTAGCTTCCCTTTGCTAAAATGCTGGCCAAAGAGCTTAACGAGCCACTCAGGGGCACAAGATAGGTGAAACCTGCATGTTTTGTTTGTTAAACTATTTGCCACATGGCACAAGAAAATAACAAAAAATAAACAAAAGGAATAACTGCAGCATCATGGTTTTGTTAAGATGTCCCAAAGCTGATCAGGGCTTCCTGTTGAAATCTAAATGAGACTCTTCCTAGGTGGCTTACATTCAGTCAGCTGTGGCTCTGTGCAAAGAAAACCAGTTTCCCTTGCTCAGAAATTTGGAGCCACTGATAAGAGAAGAAAAGTGTGATTCCACATGGAGGGTCATGATACAATCTGATCTCTGACCCCGTGGAGGTGAAGGGGCTTGTTCTGCATGCCAGGCTGAGGACTCTCGGGACTGAGGCATTCAGAGTCGCAGCTTTAAATCATAAGGGTTCCCTGCCCATTTCATCACAAGTCAGCAGCATCCAAAGAGTGGCGTTGAAGAAAATCTCATCACCGTGGGCTCAGTTTAGATTGCTAGTCGGCTCAGAAAGCTACCTGCAATTGCGTTTCCAGGATGCACCACAAATACTCTCCACATGAGGGAGAACATCAGTGGATGAAACTCAGCATGCTTAGTGCGGGGCCAAGTCCTCTAACAAAGGACACAGCGGTTAACCTGCATTTCGAGGACAGGCACTGTCAAGCCCTCATCAGGGATCCATCCAGAGAACTTTGGTAATTCTTGCAAAATCCCTGTATCACACAATTTCCTTCCTTAATGTGATGAAGTGTAACGGACACATCTATAAAGCTTCTTCAGTCCTGCAATGCATAGATGAGCAGAAGGCCACAAAGCCAGGTTGGTTGCAGGGACGGGGCAGCAGGCAAGGCATGGTCACTGTGGAAAGTGACGGAGGCCACTTTTAACAGGTAGTCCAGCCAAGTGTGGGCCACAGTATCTTCTGTGCTTCCCATCAGGCCTTCACCTGTGGCCTTATTTTGTGGCTGCACTGAAACATGCTTGACACCAAGGTTTTCTTCAAACGTCAGCTTCCATTCATCCCACCGTGGTACTTGTCCCTGTTGTCCTATGCCACCGTCTCCTCTTTTTGAAAGATTCACAGACTCCACTCCCCACTCCCTGACCCCCTAACTTGGACAGAGTGCGATATTTTTCCCTTGTGATTGAATACAATTCTCAGGCTTATCTATGTATCTCAGGCAAACATATGCCCACATATGTATATGTGCGTATAAGTGAGCATTTAAGCTATTGTATTGTAATTGTTGGTTGGCTCATGTGTTCCTCACACTAGTCTCTTTGAGGCATGAGACCTTGCTCATTTTATGTTTGTATCCTCCCAGAACATACTATGTGCTTAATTTATAATTGTTAAATTAGCGAAGGTATTCCTGATGCTATCCAGCATAGTCTTATATGGTAAGATATTTGATGAAAATATTTCTCTGTTGATTGCTGATTCCAATTCATGATCTCTAAGACACCATCTTAAATTTCATGCTCACAAACTAAGAGCTAGTTGAGGGATTGTATTAGGTATAATCTGTGTATGTGTATATTCCTGTGTTACAGGTCATAGCACTCTCTACCATCAGAATGGAGCCTGCCTGAATGTGAGCTCAGTGAGAGGCAGATTCCATTCTTGGGCCCGTCCACGGTGACTTGTCTGCTCTGCTCCATCATCCACTTATTCACAAGTTCTGGGGCAACAAAGGGCACGTTTTGTTTCATCTTGTGCCAAACCCTCGATGTGTACTCACTCACTCTACCTCATCTCAAGAACTTCAGGGCTGGGAGTGCATTTGGAGAGAAGGCATGTGCAATATCTGGAAGCCTTAGCACAGGTGGGTTATACTGATGCTCTATAGCCAAACTATAGGAACTTGGGTTCTAAGGCCAGCAGGCCCAGGTGTCACCCCAATGGCTCCCTTCAACAGCAGCATAAATAAGTCATGTCAGAAGAACTCACATTAGCCATCTCCAGGACTCATTTCCCTCTCAACAGCAGGAGCTCCTGCAGTCAGAACAGCGGTAATTTTCAAATCAGGCATGTGGTGATGCAGCAGGAAAGTGCCTGCATCCCAGGTGTCCCAGCAGCTTTCTGGAGACCTCTAATACCCACATCTGCACCACAAAACTGCACAGCATTGAGTGATACCAATCTTCTTATACATATAGGTAAGTGGTAATAGAATGCCTCAACAGCAGACCACCCAGGAACCAAAGACATACTGGATTTTCAAGTCAGAAGAATGCTTAGAGATCATCTGACCCAATAGCCATATTTTACAGTAAGATGCAGAAGCCAGTGTCCACAGTGCTAAAGCCACTGGTCCAAGGTGAAAGAATTTCAAACCCATAAATACCTCCAAGAAGCTTCCACTGGGACCCTATGATTTTAGTAAAATTATCAACATTCATGACCTATGTCTACTGATCTTAGCGTCTTCTCAGTAGGCAATTATTCTTTCTCACATCAATTTGCAGTTGCTATATTATCAGCATCCTTGGTAAATCCATCTTGTGTTCTGGGTGAAGACTAACAGATTCTTCCTTCTTGGACTCTGTCATTCACTCTCATCCCTCATAACATCTGGCCACTGCTCTAAACACAGTGGCCTTTGAGAAATGCTGCTGAATTCTGACTAAGAAAGAGGAGAACTTTCAAATACAAGAAAGTGAACATTATAGAGCTTACCACTCAAGATGGTTTTCTACAAATGCGGACATGGGGCTGATCTGCACCGTGTAAGTATCATTTGCCGAGTACTCAAAGAGTCCATAGTAAGGGTTGAAGAGCTCCTGAGACAGAAGGAAGAAGAACTCCCGCGAGGGGCCACTGTAGTCCAGGCTGCAAAGAAAGCAGAGGTCCAGGAAGCTCATTCTGTGCCCGGAGGTGGGGGGACCTGTTTGCACCCAGATTCTAGTGTGCCCTTTCAGAGTTGGGTGCTGGGGAAAGCAGAGAGCAGCCTCTGCTCTTTGGAGTGAATGCCAATGGCAGCATCAATTTGCTGTAGAAAATGAGGATGCAGTAATTGGTTTGGAGATGTTTCTTAACCAGATGTCCATGAATAAACTCTTATGGCAGCTTTCCTTAGTGTTTTCTTTTGATCATCTAACACCTCTGAGCTAAAACACACAGCTGGCCCATTGAATACAAGGCCTTTGTTGTGGGACACATAAAAGAATTTCCTGCAACAGTGAATGTGTGCATGCATGTGTGTGTGTGTATGTGTATGTGGGTGGACTGAAAAGGCTTCCAAGTTCATTTTGATACGCCTTCCTACATGGGCTTGCCCTTCATGGTTGAGGTGGTTTCCCATGAAATCACTGAAATGATATGAAAAGTTTGGCATGAAGTTGTATACATGCACTTTAAGAGAAAGAGTTTTTTAAATTAGATACTCAGAGGGGTACACCACCTAAAAAGGAAAGATTCAGTGCCCTGGGACTGTATTGTTGGCATATCCTCTTGTGCATGTCAATAATCTTAGGTTTTTGAAGATCATGGCATTTTTTAAAGCTTGGCAATACCTGAAAAGAAGGACCTCCTGGGAGAATGTGATCAGAATCGCATTGGGGTGAAGACTGACAGCTACTGTGCTCCTTCTTGAGAAAAATCACCCCTGACCCTGAGGCTCTGGCCCACCCTTGCTTAGGTGTCTGCATAAAACTCCTGGTGCCTCACCCCTCCTCTCCAACAAAGGTGACGTAGAGCTTGTTTCGCTGGAGCTCTTTCCGCGAATAGGCCATCACCTGATTGAAGGTTCCCTCCAACAAATGATCCCGGCGAATAATGAGCCTGAGAAGGAGAAGGGGTGGTGAGCAGTGGCCCTGAAGTCAGGATGCTGGACAGGGTTCTAAGTGAGTTGTGAGTCCAGGTTTAGGTTCTCACTCCCCAGCCTCTCCAAAGAGAGAGGAAAGAGCAGGACCCAGGTTCCGTCAGTTCATCGAGGGATTATCTGAACACACTTTTCAAAACATCAGGAGCACAAGGAAAATGTGTACACTTCTCGTGCATTCCATCATATGGAACTACTTTTAAGATAATTCATTTTGATCAACTCATAGGATATTGCTTAAGATTCCTGAGTTTGGGTTCAGCTTTTTGAGATGAAAATAATAAACCCAGAAGGGAAAATATAAACAACATTTTACTTAGACTTCAATTACAAAGTTACCAAGAATTTAAATTTGACCAATGAGTTAAATTTTTTTCCCAAGAATAAGTGAAGGGAAATATGAGATTTTTTATTTAGTTCAAGATTTCTTGTTTTCTGGAAAGGTCTACCCTGTGATTTTCGACATGCCTTTGTCTAAAATCTTCTGTTCTTTCTCATTCTCTTTCCCTCTCTTACCTTCTCTTCCTGCTTCCCTTCCAATTTCTTAATGTCCTTTCCTCTTTCCTTCCAGCTTCCCAACTTCCTTCTTCCCCCGCTTCAGACCATAACCACTACCACACCAGAGTAGCCAGTCTCAAAAACAATATTACAAGGGTGTAGGGGAGAAAGGGATTGAAAAATCTACTGTCTGAATTCAGTGCCAAGCACTGGAGCACTCACTTAATTTTCCCCGGACCCTGACCAAATCCTTTGGCTTCCAGTTTTCTGTAGAAATTGCGGAGCTTGGCCTCAAAGTCTCTTCGGTAGGGGGAAGGGGCTCTTGCACTGGCTCTCTGTAAACCTGCAGAGAGAAGCACACAGAGGTCATCACTTTCTTTCTTCTTCTTCTTCTTCTTTTTTTCTTTTTTGAGAAGGAGTCTCGCTCTGTTGCCCAGGCTGGAGTGCAGTGGTGTGCTCTCGGCTTACCGCAACTTCCACCTCCTGGGTTCAAGCGATTCTGCTACTTCAGCCTCCCGAGTAGCTGGGATCATAGGTGTGTGCCACCATACCTGGCTGATTTTTTTTGTATTTTTAGTACAGACGGGGTTTCACCATGTTGACCAGGCTGGTCTCAAACTCCTGACTTCAGGTGATTCACCCGCCTTGGCCTCCCAAAGTGCTGGGATTACAGGCATGCACTACCACACCCAGATAATTTTTGTTAATTTTTGTATTTTTAGTAGAGATGAGCTTTCACTACATTGGCCAGGCTGGTCTGGAACTCCTGACCTCAAGTGATCCGCCCACCTAGGCCTCCCAAAGTGCTGGGAGTACAGGCATGAGGTCATCAATTTCTGTGGAAGAACAAATACACAAAGTGACAGTGGAGCAAGAGCTCAACAGAGGCACATTCTGGCATCTCCATATTTTTCTTCTCCCACAAGCCCTTCATTTCCATCACTCTCTCAGTGACTTTTATAATAAATAGAAATAATATACTAAAGTATAAAAATAATATACTACATTCATTTATGAGTTCTAATGAGAATAAATATTTATGTCTTCCTCTCTAATTCTTTCAAGTTGTATTTCTCTTAAAAGGACATGGATGAGCATTTTTCTCAGCTTTAATTGTACTTGCATAATCTAAAATAATTAACATAAGCTGAACTAGACTAAACTTTTCTTGTAAGTTGCTACAAGAAGTGATTGAAACTATAATGAGGTAAGTAGGACTTTAGTACATGTGTCCATCATGTTCCTGTATTGATATTGATGCTCAAATAAACATACCTGTACACAAAGGCTCAGAGCATTTAGGAGTTTATATTAGATTAGAGTTTATATTAGATGACCTTGCATCATAAGAGTAAAGTTTACAATAATAATAATTCACTAACTCTACATAGAGGAGAACTTTTGTCTCATTTAGAGTGCTTTGTAAATACTTTACTATATATACCTTTTAATTTAAAAAAGGATGGAAAATTAACATTCTTACCCAAGTTTTAAAGGTGGTCAGAATCAAGGCTTGCCCATTCAATAACCATTTATTAGTTACTTACTATATTCCAGGTACTAAGCTTACAATTTAGAGAAGACTGATGCTGGTAAACTCTCAGAAATGAGTATATAATACAAGTTACAATGATTGCTATCCATGAAGGAAAGAAAACCAGTTCTTTGAGATCACAGAATCTGCTGGCTAAGTCTGGGAAGGCTTCTCTGGGGACAATCTAAAGAATAAATAGGCACAAATTAGATTGCATGGGTCAAGAAAAGCTATGCTTTAACTAAGAGAGGAGATGAGCTGGGAGAAGAAGAGCATTCCAGGTGGAAGATCAGCATGTGCAAAGGTCCTGTGGCGGAATGGAAAGCGGTACTCCAGTTTGTCTGGAGCACAGAGTCCAAGGACCAAAGTGGTACAAAAACAAGGCCTGAGAGGTGGGCAGGAGCTGCATGAAACAGGACAAGGTACATTGTTAAGCAATTTTGTTTTATGCTAAGTGTAGTAGGAAGCCCTTGCATAGTGGCTGGCATGATGTCACTTGAATCATAAAAACATTCATCTTCCTGCAGAAAAGAACAAAACCCCAGAGGACCAAGGGGGATTCAAAGAGCTCAAATGGGACTAGGCTGGCGTCAGTGGAGATGAAGTGAAGTGGGCAGAGAGGAGATGTATTTAAGAGGCAATGAATTGGATACAGGTAGTGGAGGAGAGGTGGGTTTCAGATTTTGTAACTGAACACCCTGCGGTGACATTCACTGAGACGGGGAGGAGTAGAAAAAGAACACATTTGTGGGGGAAGAGCATGAACTTGGTCTTTGATGATAGTCCCTTTGTCTGGAGAGATACACAGTTTGAGTGGAGAAAAAAGCCTGGGTTTGAGACTTAAGGATGATAGAAGGGGAGGATGAGGCTGCGGGAATGGCCAGGGAAGTAGATGAGATGTCTGGAGTGGTGTCCCAGAAGGAAACTGAAGAGGGGATGTTGGGGGACAGCAGTTGGTCATGTTACACGCTGCCGGAGATTAGGAAGGCTGAGAACTGCCCGCTGGATTGGGTGGCCAGAGTTCATGGCGACCTTAGTGAGGACACCTCCTTTCGTGACCTCCAGAGATGACAGAGAAGATGTGTACAGGTTTGCTAGCCTTGTGGGCAGGCCTTTGAAGAAGTTTCTGCTGGATGGCTTCAACTTCTCAGTGAGGTAAAACAGGACGTCATTTGCTAGGAGAGAGGAAGGGTGCTGAGGGTTGGAGGCTTTAGGGGAAATGTTTGAAATAATAGTAGAGGAGATCGAAAAAATGTGCTAGAATTTTCCTTTGGGTGTTCAAGGTTCATGTGAGATGAGAGATGACTAATTTAGAATTAATAATCTGCCTTGTGAGGTGAATTTACCCAAGAGTGCCTGATTGCAGAAGTGGGGGAAGCAGACAGGAAGGTTCATCTAGGGGTGAAGCTCTGCCAGAGGGTAGAAACAAAACGGAGAGGGCCAGGGGAGTTCAGGGCATTGGCAAGGGTGCTATTGAAATGATGAACCGCAGAATCTACGCTGCATCAGGGAAAGACGTTAGAAAGGAAAGGAGAAAAGTCCGTGAACCAGAGGCCTTGATGAGGCCAAAGGGTGGTAGTAGGAAGGGTAGTGGATCAAGCACATTGGAAGAGAAGAGGAGGTTTGAATTAGCGATTGTGGAGATGATCACAAGGTCAGGAATGTGATTTTGGGAGTAAGTGGTTGAGGCAGGGGAGGAGAAAGTCATTGCAGACAAAGTCTAGAGACTGGGAAGCCAGGGAACGGAATGAGGGTCCCTGTCGATGTTGAAGTCATCCAGGAGGACGGAAGGACCTGCTTGGGAAGGAGAGGAAGACTACAAGGCAGGGGCCACAGGCCTTGAGAATGAGAAAAAGGTTGGTAGATGACAGTAACTGGGAGAAAGGGAGGGGAGGGATATGGCTGAGTGATAAAAGCAAGGAAGCGTTGGGGCCCCGCCTACCTGGGCCCCAAACACCTGGGCCTGAGGGAACCAATGGCCACCACTTGAAAAGAAGTGGTCTTGGTGGAATACCAGGTTTTGGGATGTACACAGAACTAGAATACAGGTCTGTAAGTGCAAGTATAATTTTCTGTCCAGCACATTTCAGTATATTTTATTAATTATGATTTTCACTACCGCTGGTACTATCACCTGTCCCCATGATGACTGCTGTGCATTTTTCAAATAATTTCTGCTTTACAGAGTACTTTGGCATAAACTTCATGATTCACCATCTCTGTAGCACCTGGGTAGATTTCATACCAGTCTAAGAGAATGGGGATTGTAAAGTTTAAAATCAACGTATTTGGATTACATATTCTAGGACCCTGTGGTCAATGCTAGAGAATAAAGAAGTACTTTGACAAAATGAATTGGATGATTACTTAGATTCACGGCATCAGTCATATCTCTATCAGGAAAGTTTATTCCTTTTAGAATATCCAAATAATTCTCATATAGGAAATAACTCTTCATTTACTCTTATTTTTCTATTTGCAATATGATATCTCTCCCATATAATGATGTTAACATCATAGTCTAGTATCAAAGTCTGTAGACCAAAGCATAGGCACATTATCAGGCTGGGACAATCTCTACAACATGGCAGACCATCATGCAGTCCTACAGCTTCTCCAAACTTTTCCCCCCAAACCCCTTACTTTTGTCTTCGCTCCCCAAAAGTAGGTCATCCTATGAGTGCTAAAAGTGTGTGACTGTATTGATGTCGGCTCCAGCAAAGCTCCTGGTCTTTTTAGGCAATGGGATTTAATTATGTTGTGCGTCAGAGGTAGCAAGCATTGCACATTTCCTTAACAATGCTGTTGGTACACTTGTTTGGAGGAAGTGACAACAGGGAGATACTATCTTGAAAACATATTTTAACGACGAGCACAACTACCTCTAAGAGGGACTTCTGAATGCTACAACTTGGAGGAACCAGACTAAAAGATACTCTAGTCTGGAGACCTACGGCAGTACTGAATGATACTAACTCTGAGTGCGACATCCCTTCTCAGAGACAAAGCTTATTACCAAGTTCTGTTTCTCTTGGGAATTTTACCACTGGCTTCAAAAACCATGCTCCAACCCTGGCCCTAGAGCTTCTGAGATAGGATGTTCCTACATGTTTCAAACTGATCTCTTTTACTTTAAATGAAACCTACAACAATGTGATAATGCAAGTCAAATACGAATGGAAAAATTCTCCAATATCTGGATCCAGTCTGGAGGTATGGATTTGACCTAAGCTCTTTATCTTGATGAATCCAGAAAATATCTTTTTTTTCGTTTGTTTGTTTTTTGAGACAGGGTCTTGCTCTGTTGCCTAGTGCTTGGAGTGCAGTGGCACAATCTCGGTTCACTGCAACCTCTGTCTCCTGGGTTCAAGAGATCCCGCCTTAGCCTCCTGAATAGCTGATACTAAAGGCGTGCACCACCACACCTGGCTAATTAAAAAAAATTTTTTTTGGTAGAGATGAGGTCTCACTATATGGCCCAGGCTGGTCTCGAACTCTTGGGCTCAAGTGATCCGCCCACCTCAGCTTCCCAAAGTGCTGGGATTACGCGGGTTAGCCATTGTGTCTGGCGAAAATATCTTTTATTCACTAAACAGTTCAACATATGTATTCTCTCACTTGGAATGGAAAATACCTGCAAAGAATTTTTGTACCACAAGTTCATTCTCATACATAAAGAAAACAGGAGGAATAATTTTGAAATGTGTAAGGAAATTCTTTGGAATCTTTGTGGAGATATAACAATGGTTCCTAGTAGCTGTATCACCAAAAGTGGTGTGCAATCGATTCAGAGTCACAAGGCAGAATGTTTCAGAAAGGGCTCTTCCGTTTGAAATGCTCGGAGAGTGACTTTGGAATGCAACAATTTAGAGCAGGGACAGTAACCTTTTTCTGCAAAGGACCAGAGAGTAAATATTTGAGGCTTTGCAGACCATGTGGTTTCTGTTGCTATTACTCAAGTCTGGTGTGAAAGCTAGCATAGAACAGGCATGGCTGAGGTCCAATTACACTTTATTTATGGACACTGCAATTTAAATTTCATACAGTTTTCACATGTCATAAAATACTGTCTTAATTTTTTTCTTTTCTTTCTTTCTTTCTTTTTTATTTTTTTTTAGATAGGGACTCTCTTTGTTGTATGGGCAGGAGGGCAGTGGTGAAATCATAGCTCACTGCAGCCTCAACCTGCTGGGCTCAAGGAACCCTCCTGCTTCAGCCTCCCTAGTAGCTGGGACTACAGGCACATGCTACCTCACTTGGCTTAGTTTTAATTTTTTTGTAGAGAAGGGGAGCTCGCTATGTTGCCCAGGCTGGTCTTGAACTCCTGGACTCAAGTGATCCTTCTGGCTTGGCCTCCCAAAGCCCTGGGATTATAAGCATGAGCCACCTGCCCAGCAAAACATTTTTTTCCCAACCATTTCAAACTGTAAACCCCATTCTAGCTTGGGGGGCATTACAAAAAACAGGCAGCCATTTGTCAAAACCTGATAGAGTGCATTTTCAATTAGGGAATTGGGAAGGCCGAGAGAAAGAACACACACATACAGTTGCCTTTCATTCACCTTCACTGGAGGAAACACACGTGGCCACTTAACAGGAGCTATTAGGCCAGATTCCTGTTACCTGGGGAGTTCTGAGGTGAAGAACAGGGTGAACATCGGGGAGAGAAGCTATACCCAGGGTGGAAGGCAGCCTGCAGGGGGACGTAGGACATAATCTCTTCTTCAAAGAGACTGCATATGAAAAAAAAAAAAAAAAAAAAGAAAGAAAAGAAAGTCAGTTTTACATCCCTGAGAAAGTGTTCACGAATTGGGGTAGCAGCACTTACACTTCTCACAAAGCAACAAAAGCAATTAGATTTAAATGTAGTACAGAAAGATAGGTACATGCTGCTTGCAAATTCTCAGTGTTGTTTTAAACCTTGATTAATCCTACAACAAAGTCTCCATCAAGTACTTTACGCAGCTCTTGCTAGCTCAATTGCAAATCTAAGGACTGTGATGGACACAGGTACAAGGGTGGGGTCCCACTTGCGTTGCAGTTACTAGAATCCTCTAGAACAAGCGGTGAGTTTTTCAGTCTAGGCCATTTTCAGGGTGGCCGTGATGGAGGAGAGCTGCCCAGGGAAGCTTTTCCAGAAGGATTTCAGGCCTAGCCCCCTACCTCAGCAAAATGACCAGATCCGCATCACAGGACAACTTCTCAAGCCCGTGATTACCCTCAGTCCGAATGTAATGGATTTTCTCCCTGAATCATGTGAGAAAGAAGAGGAAAATTAGATGCCAACACATAAACTCAGAAATACATTTTCTTCTGATCTCTTATTTCCTCTTCCAATACTGCTGAATAGCAATGTCCTAACGTCCTATGTATTTTGCAGAATTCTAAGTTTGTATCACAGGCTCTCAGGATGCTCTATGAGGGATGGCTTTTCTACAGACTTGCACAGGTACAGAAGCTGAGGAACACAGCAAAGTTAGGTCCTCAGGTAGCTAAGACAGTCAGGAGTGGAGCTGGGTAAGAGATTGCTCCTGAAAGACTGTTCTGGGGCGGGGCACAGTGGCTCACACTTGTAATCCCAGCACTTTGGGAGGCTGAGGCAGGCAGATCACGAGATCAGGAGTTCAAGACCAGCCTGAGGAATATGGTGAAACCTTGTCTCTACTAACAATACAAAAATTAGCCAGGTGTGGTGTTGCCTGCCTGTAATCCCAGCTATTCAGGATGCTGAGGTAGGAGAATCGCTTGAACCGGGAGGCGGAAGTTGCAGTGAACTGAGATCGTGCCACTGCACTCCAGCCTGGGCGACAGAGGAAGACTTCATCTCAAAAAAAAAAAAAAAGACTGTTCTTGGCTCATGTCGTGTTGGAAGCCATGGGAGGAAAGAGTGAGTTGCGGGGTGAGTGTCTCTTGAGAAATCTTGTGCCTGATGGAAAATTTATGATGCCACATTGGGCACAGAGGGGGCCCGGCCCCAAGAACCAAGAACAGTCTCCCAGGTCAGTCAAGGCACAGGCATCAATTTTGTCTCTGTCAGCTACAACTCGTGTATTCTGATCCTTTTAGACAACCTCCAACTCCAACTCGGCAAATTATTTCAAGTAAGTCTATGGATAAGTAGGATTTTTTTGGATCAAATTAACTTTTTAATTTGCTTCCCTGATGTTACTCAAATATTACAAACACCATATCCAAGAATCTTTCTATCGTATGCATGCTTCAAAGGAGTTAATATTTTTTGCCTTTTTTGAAGAGATGCAGCAGAAATAGGGAAAATTAAGGATGTTTTTTTTTAATCTTTAACTTTTTTCTTTTCTTGTTTAATTTTTACACTTTGAGGTAATTTTAGAGTCATGTGTAATTATAAGAAATAAACAGACAGATCCTGTATACCCCTCACTCAGTTTCTCCCAGTGGTAAAAGATGGATGATTTTCTTTTCTTTTGTTTTCTTTCTTTCTTTCTTTCTTTTTTTTTTGAGACAGAGTCTTGCTCTGTTGCCCAGGCTGGAGGGCAGTGGTAAAATCTCAGCTCACTGCAACCTCTGCCTCCTGCGTTCAAACGATTCTTGTGCCTCAGCCTCCTGAGTAGCTGGGATTATAGGCATGCACCGCCACACTCAGCTAGGTTTTTGTATTTTCTTTAAAAAATTTTTTATTTTTTTGAGACAGGGTCTCACTCTGTTGCTCACTCTGCAGTGCAGTGACCTGATCACAGCTCACTGAAGCCCCAACCTCCCAAGGCTCCAGTGATCCTCCTGCCTCAGTCCCCCCATGTAGCTGGGACTACAAACGCACACCACCAGGCTTGGCTAATTTTTGTATTTTTAGTAGAGACAGGGTTTCACCATGTTGCGCAGGCTGGTCTTGAACTCCTGGGCTCAAGAGATTCGCCTGCCTCAGCCTCCCAAAGTGCTGGGATTACAGGCTTTAGCCACTGAGCCTGGCCCAAAAGATGAATGAAAAAAAAAATCTATTTTCCAAAATACTGCAGGTACAACTTTTTCCTCTCTTTGATTATATTAATATAAATCCAAATCTTCATCATAACTTAGAGATTTTCAGGCAAAAAATATAGTCAATTTGACCTTTTGGTATGGAGATCTTTTTTTTTAAGGCAAGGGAAGATTTTGAGCCTCTACAAAGATAGACAGAATGGGATTAAACAGGGAAATGCACTCTGATCCAACTTCAGTGCGGGTGAAGCACCGTTGCAGGAAATGGCATCACCAGAACCTGGGGGGTGTTCACAGTGGCTTCTTTGACTGGGTTGAAAAAGGGAGCAGCAGTGTCCACATGTCATTTAGCAGGGAACATGTGAAAGCCCAGCAAAGAGAACAGAACATCCCCATCTCTCTCATCACCTTCTTCTCCCTCTGCCTATGTCCTCAACCCCAGCCCTGGGCTTTCTCCTCCAAATCCTGACACCACCTCACAGCCCCGTTATTTGGAAGATGCTCTTGAATCTTCTCTAATTTAATGATTTTGGCCTTATGAATGACCTCAAATCTATATGCTCTCCCAATGATAATGTACCCTTGGGCAGGTTATCCTCCTGCCCCAAGGGATCAACATCTGGTTAAGCCACTGGCCTCCCTCCCTGCGGGAAAAAGAAGCCCAGAGAGGGCCATCTCCACTAGGGCAGCAAAGTGCAGTCCCCAGTTTAGAAAGTGCCACCCAGCACAGTGGTTCTATCGTGGCACCACCATATGGACCACATCCAGGTGTCTGAATGCTAAGCCCGATTTTCTGAGAGTTTTGGTGGCTCTCCACCAGACATTATATCCTCTGTCATGTCTGGCAACATGTCATGCATAGCCAGTGGTGTAAGGGACCTCCAGATGCCCCTGGGACTCCATCCCAAAGTGCACTGAGAACTGAGGAAGCCATCTAAGGGCAAGAATGCCAGCTGTCTCTCCTACATATATCCCTTGACCATCGGGAGAACTCCAGAGCACACTTTCCCTAGAGTTCAGGACAGGACAGGCGACTGCCTCCTTGACATCTTGACATTTGAAGCCGCTTGTGGCTTCAAAGACCTCAAAACTCAATATCCAAAATAAAATCCTTGACATTCTTCCTCTCCTCAAGCCAGTTCCTCCTCCACTCTTTCCCATCTCAGTAAATGATGCCATTATCCATTCACCTGCACAAGCCCCACACTTGGCTGTCATTCTTAATTACTCTCTTCTCCTCACCCACCATGTTCAAGCTGTCATCAGCTCCTGTTGTTTTTGCATCCACAGTATCACCCCAAACTGCTCCCTTCTCTTCATCCATATTTTCCCATTATCCACACGACCATCATCATGGATGAATATAATAGTCTCCTGCATAGCCCCTGTTCCATCTTATGCCCCTCCCCAGCCTATCTTTTCCCCACAGAGCTGCCTAAACATTGCATCTGTGTTTTTAACGACCACAGCTGCAATCATATTTCATTGGTGGTCATGAAAAACAGATGAAATATGATTGCATCTGTGGTCACTAAAAACACAGATGCAATCATATTTCTTTCCAGCTGAAAACTTCTCAATCACTTCTCAAATAGAATCGCAATTCAAATAAAATGTTTCCGGTTGGTGATAGGGCCTCCCTCTCCAACTTCACCATGGTAGGTCTCACCTACCCTCCCAATCTACTCCTGGGCCACACTAGCTTTCTTTCATTTTTCACCTACATCTAAGCTTTTCCTGCCTCAGGGCCATTGCATACTCTCTCCCTGATCTCCACTTTGCATCTCAAGGGACAATGCCTTCTCATCCTTCAGGTTTCAGCTTAAGCATCACCTACCTGGAAAAGCCTTCCCTGTGTTCTGTTTAGGATGTAAGTCCTCTTCCTCTGCACCAGCATATTATCCACTATTGCTGAATTCTAATCATGTTCTTCATGGCACTTAACATATTATGCAGCTGTATATGGCTTAAAAAAACAAACCCCAAGCTTGTCTATTATCTGTCTCCCTCAGTAGATTGTAAATTCATTGAGAATTTACAGGTCTGTTTCGCTTGCTACTGCATACATAGCCCTGGGACAATCCTGATTCAGATGAGTGACACAATCAAAGCACTAGTTGAAGGACCACCTCCATGCCCCTTGAAGATAACAGATGCCATTAACCTCTGGGTTTTCTGGCTCCATCCCCTTCTCTACATGTGGCTTCCTGCTTTTCACCGCAAGTCACTGCTGTCAACTGGACAGTTTTCTACATACTCAAACCCAGCAACTGGCTTTGCAGACCCAAGACAGAGACTCCATGACTCCCTGAGAATAGCAATGGCTGAACAGGGGTCACCATCTGCTCTTGGGGACCACAGAGGAAGCCATGAGTTCTTCTGGGTGGGGTCCTGAGGAGAGTGGTATTCTCTTCAACTCCTGAACCTTCAAAGTGGATCTGACTCACCCTGACATGGCACTCAGGGGCAGGTGGATGCCTCCTCATGGAAAGCAGGGCCTGGCTTCCTGCATCTCTTAAGCTTGACCTCCTGAAGAACAAGTTCTTGCTCTTTGCTTTCTGCTGTTTTAGTTCTATCATCACATAGTCCAGTTTCTGATAGTCATCGTGAGCCTTCTGTTTTTGATGAAATATTTGGGTTCTCAACCTGGGTCCACAGTTTCCTTAGGGTCCATTAACTATTTGAAATTATATTCAGAGGTTTATATTTATATGTGGAGGAGAGTCCATAAGTGCTTCCATCAGCATCTCAAAGGAGTCCATAACCTTAAAATAGGTTATTAGTTTCCATACTAGATAATTTCCAAGTTTTTTTTCCAATTCCAACGTGGCCTGATTTCAAGTTCCCCCAGCTCTGCAAAATCATAATTGTACAATCCCATATTGCAACAAAACATTTAAAGTTTCTTGGATTGTTGTAATGTGATATATAATAGGGATGAAAACAGTCTACTGCCTTTTGGAAATACATTCCACTCACTTATGTAGGGAATTACTTAAAAAAAAACCTTTTCTAATGATTAAAATGAGACTTTTGTGTCTTTGGTGAGTTGAAATTCTTCCACAAAGCAAGCAGTGAACTCACTACTTAATGGTAGAATCAGTAACGTAAAGAATGTTCAAGAACAACCACGCGTCAAAAACCCTTAAGATAATACAACATCCCTGGAAATCCCTTGAAAATTCCCTTGGGTTGTTAGGTGAGTCAAAGAGCAGCCCATGAATGAATGACCCAGGTGGCTGAATATGACTCTGCCTTCTGCAGCAGTGCAGTAATGAAACCAGGGGAGAGAATTCTTAAGAGTTGAACATAAATGAAAGTGGCCATTCATCACGCTAAAGATCACTTGTTCATGCTAAAGATCTTTCATTCACTCTAAAAGTAATTGGTGTTTCCTATTTTCAAAGTAGAGGACCAGGTTGTAAGGGGCAGAGTGGGCACAAAGACAAGGAAGAGAAAGGCCTTGCTCTAAAGAGCTTAGAGTGCTGTAGGGAGACACAAGTAAATGACAGAATACAAGAGATCTAAAAATATCTTCGAGGCACAAAAAGCATACTATCAAAGCAAGACAAAAGAAATACTAGGAAACCATCATTCTCAGCAAACTAACATAAGAACAGAAAACCAAACACTACATGTTCTCACTCATAAGTGGGAACTGAACAACGAGAACACATGGACACAGGGAGCGGAACATCACACACCGGGGCCTGTTGGGGAATGGGGGCTAGGGGAGGGATAGCATTAGGAGAAATACCTAATGTAGATGACGGGTTGATGGGTGCAGCAAACCACCATGGTGCATGTATACCTGTGTAACAATCCTGCACTTTCTGCACATTTATCCCAGAACTTAGAAGTATAATAAAAAAAATTAAAAACAAACAAACAAAAAAACAAATGCCATGGTAACATCAGGAAGTTCCCACCCCCTCAAAGAAAAAGAAATACTAAAGCTTGCCTAGATCACTGAAGTTTTGCTTTTGATCTGAGCCTTTAAAACGGGATGAGATGTCCTTAATAGGGAAGTCATTCCCGGAAAGACAAAGGCAGGAGAGTACGCAGCCTGTGTGGTGGAGGTGGAATACCCTGGAAGGAAAAGCTTAGTGCAGGATGGAGAGTTAGGTTAGGGCCAGACTTTGAGACCATGGACATTATGCTTAGAAATCTTGACTTTAGGCTGGGTGAGGTGGCTAACACCTGTAAGCCCAGTACTTTGGGAGGCTGAGATGGGTGGATCCCTTGAGGTCAGGAGTTTGAGACCAGCCTGACCAACATGGTGAAACTCCACCTCTAATAAATGCACAAAAATTAGCAAAATTTTGCTGGGTGTGGTGGCACATGCCTGTAGTCCCAGTTACTTGTCAGGTTGAGGCTCAGGAATTGCTTGAACCTGGGAGGCAGATGTTGCAGTGAGCTGAGATTGTACCATCTCACTTCAGCCCAGGCAACAGAGCAAGACTCTGTCTCAAAAAAAAAAAAAAATCTTGACTTTATTTCATATGTGATGGAAACCATGAAAGCTTTTTTGAAGGGTAGGGAGGTCATGATTTAATCTATGCTTTACGTAGGTAACTCTGGTTATGATAGGGTGATAGGGAATATTTTAGGAGAAACCCCTGTATGGTCCAGAAGAGAGATGATGAGCACCTAAACTTGAACCATGGCAGGGAGAAGAGAAAATGAGGATGGAGGAGAGAGTATGAGGAGGTGAATGTTTAGGTGTGGAGGTGGAAGAAGAGGGAGGAGAGGAGATCAGGGACAGCTGGGAGGGTAGTGGCTCTAATTTACAGAGTGAAAATACAGGGAAAAGAGGTGTCAATGAGGGGGTGTTGGAGGGGAAAGAATAGTGAATGATCCATTCTGGCGGGAGTGGCAAGGGTTGAAAAGCAGAGACTACTTGAAGCTGTCAGTGATTCCCCGAGGAAGTCGGAGTATGGTATTGCAGGTATCAGCCCCATTCACAAGACTGCACCACATGGGCAGGGAATAATGAAATGCAGCCGTTGATGGGATTCTAGCCTGCCCTGCCTTAACCTTTACACATCCTCAAGTAAGTATTGCAACCATGCCCACTTTGTGACCCCCATTTGGGAGACTAAGGGCAGAGAGTTGAATAACACGCCTCCATCAATAGTCCCTACCTGTTGGAGTGAAAATTCAAACGTCAAAGAGATGTACTCTTAACCCCCATGCCTCTCCAGATTTTGGAACGTTGGAGAGTAAACCGAAGGAAAAAGATGTTTGAATATTTTGGTGAGAAAGCAGGATTTAAGTTCAGGGAATATTTTCTCTTTTTATCATTTCAGATCGCTATCCCTTCCACATGTGATTCAGAGTTTCAGGGCACTTGTTCAAAAATGACCCTAATGAAGCATAAGATGTAAGTAGTTAGAACACACAAGAAACTTTTTGTTTGCTTTTTTATTTTCGAACACGGCTGCTCAATATTTGGTTTACCGTTCAACAATTATATTTCAAAACTAAAAGTAATTTATACAGTGCTGTACATAAATAATTTTTTAATGGAAGCTATTTTGTTTCCTTTCTGTCCTTCCCCCCCCTACATCAATGGAAATCATTTCAGTACCATATAAATGATATGTAATCTGATAATATGACCATCTCTGATTATGCCATTTCCCAGAATACAGGAACCCCGAACCCTTCATCTTGAGGATTCAAGTTCTCATTTAAATGCACAAATACAATGTATAATAAGCTTCCGCTCTGTCTCCACAGAGGTGTTTTCCCACCGGGAAAAATGGCTGGAAAGACCTAGAGTTCCAGGGAGTGAGGGGCGAGGCTTACCTGAGTGTGTGGTTTCTTGCTAAGCTTGGCTGACGCTCTTGCAGCATTTCAAAAATGTTTGGCTGGCGAAGAAATGCCACAATCTTGTCATTATATGCTGAAACAGACAAAAGCACAGTTGTGGTTGAGTCTGCAGCCCAGAGATAATCACTCTGATGATTGGAAAATGGCTGCTTGATACCAGGATTAATGAAGGAGTTTGAAGGGCAGGCAGCATACTCATCAAAAAAATGCAAGCTCTTGAGAGTTTTTAAAATATGACATAATAACATTATAATTTTTTAAGGGATCAAACTAAAAGTGAACCAGATCTCTGTTAATCGTCCTTAACGTTTCAGGATCTTTACTGGGTATTAATGCATCTCTGCATGAACAGGTAAAGGAGAACAAAATAGCTCTCCCATAAGAGGAGTTCTCCTCTCTTCCTTCTAACTTTTCTTGGTCATTTTGCTGTAGTTATGGAAAAGATTCTTTATGAGTGCAAAGTAATCCATGTGTCGATTTCCCAGTAGTGATAATGGAAATACCATTTAGATGCTCTCATTTCATTTTCCTCGATACAAGTGGCATATGTTTTGGAAAGAGGTGGCTGAAGTTAGGAATGGACACTGCAAACTTTATGCCATACATACATGGAAAGAGAGGTATACATTAAAAACTGTCTAAAAACAGTAAAATTCACCTCATTTAAACCTTGCTCTTGTGCACGGGATTAACAAATCACTGAATAGAATAAGGAAGAAAGGACCTGAGAGTTTGGGAAAGAACAGAAAAGACAGGGAGGGGAACAGATAGGTGAGGAGGAAGGGAGAGGGGAAAAGGACAGAGGGGTGGATGGTAGCAGGGGTCGGGGTGTGCACTATATCCTAAAAGAGGAGAAAGGAAAGACAGAATGTTGAATAGTAAAGGGTTCATGACAAAAACCAGAAAAACAAACAAAAAATCAAGTCTAGGTGTTGCTATTCTTTGAGCCAGGGGCTCAAACAAGCATGATACATACCCAGTGGCAATGACTCATGTTGATGTTGGCTTCGAATAGCAGCTACTAAGCTGTGTCCTGGCCTGGCCAGTAAAGAGGCTCCTCTGTTTCTAGAAACTTCTGAGGCCTAATTTTAGAATAAAAGCATAAGCATTAGAAATTTGTATCAATTTCAGATGTCTCTTGATACCAGTTTTTCAACCTAAGGGGTAAAAGATTTTGAAGTCACCTAAGTTGAAAAAGTAAAAAAGTGATGGAAAAGAAAGCTTACAAAAGTGTCTAAGTAGAGTTGATGATGTGCTATACTATGGTTAAGAAAGCCATCTGGCTCACGCCTGTAATCCTAGCACTTGGGGAGGCTGAGACCTTGATAACAAGGTCAGGAGTTTGAGACCAGCCTGGCCAACATAGTGAAACCCCATCTCTACTAAAAATACAAAACTTAGCCAGATGTGGTGGCAGATGCCTGTCATCCCACCTACTTGGGAAGCTGAGGCAGAAGAATCACTTGAACCTGGGAGGTAGGGGTTGCTGTGAGCCGAAATCACTCTGGCCTGGGCAACAGAGGAAGGCTCTGTTTCAAAAAAAAAGAAGTGATCATGTCAAAGTCATGAATATTAATCAAATTAATACACTGAATAGCCCAAGAAACATTTCTCATCATAAATTTGTTAAAGAGAGATAAATCCTAGATAAATATCATTGGTAAGGTACGCCTATAACTTTCCAAGGTAGCATTGAACTTTAGTACCAAATGTATAATGGACTTCTTGTTTAAATAGTATTGATTACATTCATTCTTTCTTGAATGCCTGTTATTGCATTCACTGTGCTGGCTTCTGTTCACATAGCATCTTATATATCCTAACAAATTCTGCAAGATAAGCATTATTAACCAAAATTTACAAATAGGGAATCTGAGGATCCAGGAAAAGTAAAGTTTCCCCAGGTTTACAACCGTAAGACAGGGGGATAACCAGGATTCTAATACTTGACTGCAAAGCACTTGTTTACTCCTTCCACACTGCCTGCCTGCTTCCAATATCTTGGTTCAGCTTAGGCATTTTGACAAAACTTCAGAGATAAATAACTTGCTTAGCCTAAAGTTGATACTTGTGATGATTAACTTTAAACTAAATTAGCTCAATTTTGCCAGTGCGGTGGCTCACACCTGTAATCCCAGCACTTTGGGAGGCTGAGGCAGGTGGATCACTTGAGGATAGGAGTTTGAGATTGGCCACCAGGGTGAAACCCCATTTCCACTAAAAATCTAAAAATAAGCCAGGCATGGTGGCGCATGCCTGTAATCCTAGCTACTCGGAAGGCTGAGGCACGAGAATCCCTTGAACCCAGGAGGCATAGGTTGCAGTGAACCGAGATTGCACCATTGCACTCCAGCCTGGGCGACACAGCAAGACTCTATCTCAAAAACAAAACAAAACAAAACAAAAAAACTAACTTAGCTCAATTTTAAATTTTGTAAATTAAAAAAAATCACCTTTGTAAAAGGTGAAAGAAAACTTTGCTGATCAATAAACTATGCAGTTCTAGAGCATGATAATGGACATTCTCACTGTGATTCTACATACATTTTGTTTTTTAAGACCCTTGCAGAGTAAGATGTTAAAATCTATAGAGGCATTATAGATTTTCCACATTGCAGTACATTCACCAGATATATGGGATTTAATGTAGAGTGTAACTCATCCTATGATATTTGTCAAAGTATGCTAAAATAGGCTTTAAAATAGTTAAGAATTTTGAAGTGTTAAAGACTTTAGACAAAGTAAACTTACAGAGTTTAATTGATCAAAGAATGGTGTGAGAATGGGGTGGTCCTCACTCAGAACCAGAACCAGAAAGGGAGGAGAGAGCTCCATTCTGCAACCATGGGCAGGCAGCATTTACGGTTGGGGAATGGGAGCATGGTACGGAAGCAGCTCAGTGTTTGCCTTATTTGAACATGGTCTGATCAGTTAGCCACCTGCAACTGACTGAAGCTTGGCTGTTGTGATTGGCTGAGACTCAACCCTTTGTTGCCAAAGTATACTCCCAAATTAGGCTTTCAGTTAATTCATGTCCCAAGTGAGGTGGCAATCCATTACGTAATGACTCAAAAGTATGAAGGCATCCTCAAGCCAAGTTTAATTTAATGTAACAGATGATAATTTTGTAAGACACTTAGAAAGAGTTCAAACATCCAGATTTAAAAAAAAGGAAAGACATTTCTCCCTCTGAGACCAGCATAAAACTCACTCACACAGAATTCAGGAAGGTGATGAGGACCAGTGCTACAAAGTCTAGACAAGTCAGTTCCAAACGGCCACTTAAGAATAGGCCATGTGTGATATTGCAGATCGTAATGTAGGGCAAATTACTTAACGATCCCTAATGACAAACACAGGCATTGCTGATTTTCCTTTGGTTCCCACTTCCATATTCCACACCCAAGGATAACATCCTTTGTATGCAGACAGGGGCCACCAGTTCACTCTCTGTGTGTGGTAGTCTTTGCTGCTTTTCTGGAAGTTGGGTAGAGATGCAGATGCATCTGTTTTCTCTCCTGGTCCTTCTTATTGCCCATGGCCTACTTGAAGGACAAGGGAGTAGATTTTGTGCCACTTTGGTGGACTTCTCACTTTGATGTCATTAGATCTCAGCTCTGCTCAGCTGGCAAAGCCAGACACCAGGGTTTAGAAGCTGGTATTTCTGCAGCAGCACATTCCAGTCTCAAATGTTTACAAAGCAAAAGATGAAAGAAAAGTTTGCTGATCAATAAACTATGCAGTATTGAATCCTCATACTTCTCTTTTTTCTCCATGAATAAATAAATAAATAAATATGTAAAGGCTTTCTGGGATTGAAATTATAAGTCTCTTTTTCTTGGAGGGAATCATGCCAGTTTGCCTTAACGTGTATTTAAAATATTATTGATCTTGTAAAGACAGGATTCTCAGAGACCCACCAGCTGAAGGTTATCTAAGTGATAAATTACAGAGGGAAACTGGGGAAACAGCCAGATCTGCTGGCTGAGCTCGGGAAGGCTTGGCTGTGCACTGGACTCAGGAAACATTTGTTGTTTCGCCCTGAGTGAAAGTGTCTAACTGTCAGGGCATCACCCAGAAATGAATAAGGCTTTGAAACAGAAAGAGGCTCACTTCTATTCCTGGCCTTCACAGGAAATTCATTAATGGTGCCTACTTCTGAGGTCACCCACTCACGGGTAAAGCTGAGCCAGATTGAAAAACTTCAGAAACCAGCTGAAGTCCAGTTAGCCCAAAGGCAGATGACTGACTGACAAACATTCTTCATGCCTAATATGAGTGTGATAGAGGAAATAACACAGGGGGAGATACGGCTTGCTGCGTCCCTGAGCCACAGAAATGTCTGCAAACGGTTGGTTGGTACTGGATGGCTCAAAGACCAGAGCCTGGAGAACAGGAGGATTGGATGGAAACGCCCTTCTCCAACAAGGGGCCCAGGAATGGACAGCGATGAAGACAGTTTCAGGCAGGGCTGGAGGAAATTCCGAGGGTCTGTTTGAACTAGGATTTAGTATGTGCTAGGATCCTTGAAGCCCTGTACTGGTACTAAACAATCCATCCCGAGGGACGTCTGACAGCAACTGAGTGACTGATTTGAATCTCACTGCAAACATGATGCCAACATGGCTTTCTTTCTTTTTCTTTCTTTTCTTTTCTTTCTTTCTTTCTCTTTCTTTCTTTCTTTCTTTCTTTCTTTCTTTCTTTCTTTCTTTCTTTCTTTCTCTTTCTTTCTTTCTCTCTCTCTCTTTCTTTCATTTCCTTCCTTCCTTCCTTCCTTCCTTCCTTCCTTCCTTCCTTCCTTCCTTCCTTCCTTCCTTCCTTCCTTCCTTCCTCTTTCTTTCTTTTTTGAGATGGAGTCTCACCCTGTTGCCTAGGCTGGAGTGCAGTGGCGCGATCTTGGCTCACTGCAACCTCTGCCTCCCGGGTTCAAGAGATTCTCATGCCTTAGCCTCCCGAGTAGTTGGGATTACAGGCATGCACCACCATGCCTGGTTAATTTTTCTATTTTTAGTAGAGATGGGGTTTTGCCATGTTGGCCAGGCTGGTTTTGAACTCCTGACTTCAGGTGATCTGCCTGCCTCGGTCTCCCAAAGTGCTGGGATTACAGGCTTTAGCCACTGTGACTGTCTGCCTGGCTGGCTGGCTGGCTGGCTTTCTTTCTTTCTTTTTTCTTTCTCTCTCTCTCTCTCTCTTCCTTTTTTTTTGAGACAGTCTCTGTTATCCAGGCTGGAGTGTAGTGGTGCAATTATAGCTCACTACAAGCTCAAACTCCTGGGCCCAAGCAATCTTCCTGCCTCAGCCTCCTGAATAGCAGGGACTATAGGCACACATCACTGTGCCCAGCTAATTTTAAAAATGTTTTTGTAGAGATGGGTTCTTGCTATGTTGCCTAGGCTGGTCTTGAACTCCTGGCTTCAAGAGATCCTCCTGCCCTGCCTCCCAAAGTGCTGGGATTACAGGTGTGAGCCACCATCCGCGGCCTGCTTTGTTTTCCTAAGGTCAGAAAATGACTACAGGACTGATTTTCCATTTAAAACCAAAATGACATGACTCTAATTTCCTGGCATTTGACCCCTTTGGTCTTATTAAGTTTCTCAGGGGTGTACGTGCGTGTGTGGGCACATGTGGTAAGGGGTGAGCGAGGGGAGAGAGAGCCCTTGGTGGCCTGCCTTTCCCCAGACATGCTGCAACAACTCTTCCATAATTGGGTAAAACCCAGTTTGTAGTAGGGACTACTTTTAGGATTTCTTTTTCTTTTGATATCGATCGCTTTCATCATAATTGTAAATGTGAAAACTTCAAACATTTAGCTCTCCAGACAAAACAAAATAGATATCCTCAGAAAATAGTTTTCAGCAACTGGTAAACAAGCTGCTCTTCAATGTTGCAATTTGGGAATGTACACTTGTGGGTTTCCTTAAAGCTGTGATTGAAAATTGCATGTTTTAGACTGAATTTGGGTTAATAATCAGCTAACCCTCTCTCTGCAAACACTGGAGACTTGATAAAAAAAAATGTAGCAAGTTCACAGGAAGGGCTCAAAGGACGAATTTACATTCCTCTCTAGATTCCTTCTGTGTTCTGAAAATAGATCATTAACAAAGTTGTCAGAATTATCTTAAGGAAACAAAAGAGAGATATTTGAGTTGTTCAATATTTTTATAATAAGAAGCGGGCAATAAACATCATGTTCAAGAAAGGCTTGTGTTAAATGATGGTAGATCCATGTGATTAAATATAGAAAAATGTTAATGGTGTGGAAACTGTCTACGAGGCACTAGGATATAGAACCATAGACAACACAATCTAATGTCTTTATTTTTATGTGTACCTGTGTCTCCAGATGGGGAATTATGCTTTTCCATCTGTGTCTGTATTCTGCATTCATTACATATTGTTCATACAGTGATGTGCCACATAGCGATGTTTCAGTCAACAATGGATGCATAGGCAATGGTGTTCCCATAAGCTTATAATAGAGCTGAAAAAGTCCTATCACTGGTCATGTCATAGCTGTCACAATGTCAGGTGTAATTGCTTTAAAAAAATAAAATTAGGCCAGGCACGGTGGCTCACGCCTGTAATCCCAGCACTTTGGGAGGCCGAGGCAGGTGGATCATGAGGTCAGGAGTTTGAGACCAGCCTGGCCAACACGGTGAAACCCCGTCTCTACTAAAGATACAAAAAATTAGCCGGGTGTAGGGGTGCGTGCCTGTAGCCTCAGCTACTCAGGAGGCTGAGGCAGAAGAATCACTTGAACCCAGGAGGAGGAGTTTGCAGCGAGCCAAGATCGTGCCATTGCACTCCGTGCCATTGCACTCCAGCCTGGGAGACAGGGTGAGACTCCATCTCAAAAAAAAAAAAATCGAACCAACCCAAATGCCCATCAATGATAGACTGGATAAAGAAAATGTGGCACATATACACCATGGAATACTATGCAGCCATAATAAAGGATGAGTTCGTGTCCTTGGCAGGGACATGGATGAAATGGATGAAACTGGAAACCATCATTCTCAGCAAAGTAACACAAGAAGAGAAAATCAAACACCTCATGTTCTCACTCATAAGTGGGAGTTGAACAATGAGAACACATGGACACAGGGAGGGGAACATGACACACAGGGGCCTGTAGTGGGGTTGGGGGCTGGGGGAGGAAGAGCATTAGGAGAAATACCTAATGTAAATGATGAGTTAATGGGTGCAGCAAACCCACATGGCACATGTATACAAATGTAACAAACCTGCGCATTGTAAACATGTACCCCAGAACTTAAAGTATAATAATAAAAAAAATTTAGTGTAGCCTAAGTGTGCAGTGTTTATATTCTACATTAGTGTACAGTAATGTCCTAGGCCTCACAGTCACTCACTCACTGACTCACCCAGAGCCACTTCCGTCCTTCAAGCTCCATTCACTGTAAGTATCCTATACAGGTGTACTATTTTTTAAATCTTTTATATTGTATTTTTACTTTACCTTTTCTATGTTTAGATATGTTTAGAGGCACAAATACCATTGTGTTACAACTGCCTACAGGATTCTGTACAGTTAATATGCTGTACAGGTTTGCAGCCTGGGAGCCATAGCCATACCGTACAGCCTAGGTGTGTGGTAGGCTATACCATCTAGGTTTGTGTAAGCGCACTCTAGGATGTCCACAGTGACAAGATTGCCTAACAACAACATTTTCAGAATGTATCCCTGCTGTTAAGTGATGTATGACTGTAATTAAACAGTTTATTTTCAAAGGTGTCTGAATTTTACAAACTTCCAGCCAAACCTGTGATCAAGTGCAGGTTACATTGAGCCAAGAGGAAAATGACCAATTTTAAGAAGCAATGCAGCAATTACTCTCCCCAAAAGCAAGCTTCCTGAATGAAGATTCCTTCATGTCACCAGAGCCCATGAAATGACTTCTGCCATCAAAGAAGCTCACTGCAAAGAATGACTAAGAGTGACTTCTGCTTCTAAAGTGAGAAGCAAGCTTCTCTTCCCTGTCAGACTCTTGCCCTTTCCTGAGGCAGTCACTGTCAAGCTTTTTTTTCGGTGTGTACCTTCCAGAAATTTTCTATGACTAACGATTTTCTAACCTGACCAAGATAAGATGGCAAAAGAAATGAAAATTATGTGCTCTGCTTATCCTTCCTTATTGATGTCAACTTATATTAGGAATTGCAGTGTAAACAAGGCAAATGTGTTACCCTTTCGTGATTTCCTTGCTAAGATGGGATCCAGTATTCATAGCACTCCACTTATCTGTGACCTATTCTGGTCACACATTCTGAGGAGAGATAAGGCCTGCTTTGCTGGTGCTTGAATATATTGCAGACAGATGTGCCTCCGCCTTAAAATGCAAGTGAAAGTGTCAAATAACGATCTTTTTATGTATAAATCCTATATTCGTAATAACTGCTTTCAGGAATCTGTCTGAAAATTTTCCAGGTGAGGTAAAGGACAATCCAAAATATTTTTAACAATGTTTCTATTAATAATCTGCCATTGGGGTTTGAAGAAAAACATTTTACCATTTAGGATCCTTAATATAGAAACCCATTTTAATTCTGTCCTTACATGCAATTTATAAAAAAATCAACTGCTGAATAACACTCAAGAGAATGGCTTATGTAGGTGAACAGAAAATACCCACACTTGTAAGTTGTAGTCTAAGAAATATCTATAGTTAATTCCCTATTGCCTGTGATACGGGACACAGAAAAATAATGGATTATGGAAATAACCCATCGATGATTGCTGAGTCTCATATTTCCATCTGTTTAACTGTCATATCTAATCAGATACCCTGCTATTTTCACACACATTATCAACTTGCCTAAAGACAAACCTGCCATCCTTCCGTCCTGCCTTTCCTGCTCCTCTTAGCTCTATGTAGTTAATGGGTCTCTTAGTTATGCGGTCCTGAAGACGTGGAATCAAGCCCCACAGACTCTGAGAATCACACAGCTGGAACACACGTTAGTGGTCACCCATTTGCAGAGGAAGCTGGGGTCCCTGGCAGGGGAGGAATGAACAATGATTGATACTCAGCTCCTCTGTGGACATGCCGGAGCTGGAACGCCTGTCTGCAGACTGAAGTCCCAGTGACTTTTTCCTCCACAACCCCTGACTTCCTTGAGCCTTCTCCCTATGGGCTGCCCTTTGTTTTCTCTTTGTCACCTCAACTCGGCCTCATCCCCTTCCATCTGATTGTGGCAGTGGTCTCTAGCAGGCCTCTCTCGAATAGCTCTTTGCCACAGCCCTTCCTCTTCTTGGCTTTCATTGTCTTCTTTTAAAAATATAAGTTTGTGGCTGGGCGTGGTGGCTCACGTCTGTAATCCCAGCACTTTGGGAGGCCGAGGCAGGCAGATCACTTGAGGTCAAGAGTTCGAGACCAGTCTGGCCAGCATGGTGAAACCCCGTCTCTACTGAAAATACAAAAATTAAACAGGTGTGGTGGTGCACGCCTGTAATCCCAACTACTTGGGAGGCTGAGGCAGGAGAATCGCTTGAACCCAGGAGGCAGAGGTTGCAGTGAGCCGAGATCGCACCACTGCACTCCAGCCTGGGTGACAGAGCGAGACTCTAGCTCAAAAAAAAAAAAAAAAAAAGAGTTTGCATGGATGACTGTTAGGAAACCTGAGCTGTGGTCCTGAACTCCCTATGTGAAGTGAGCTCTTGGTATTTCAGTTTACTGGACTGTAAAATAATGGTTCTTCACTGGGGTAATGCTACCATCTATGGGTGTGTGGAAATGCTGGGGGGCTGTTCTGTTTTGTTTTGTCATAATGACTTGGGGAACTGGGGGCACTCCTGACATTTAATGGATGGGGTCAGGAAAAAAAGTCCTGCAAGGTAATGGGATGATTCCACACATCAGAGAATTGTCCTGCCCCAAATGCCAAGAGTCTTTCCCCATCTCTCAAATGTGTTTTAGAGATGACTTCACCCTGAAACAATGGATGAATCAATTACTTTCCTCAAATTCATTCAGTGGTCCCTTAAAAAAGTTCCAACTCTTCCATGCAGCACTAAAGTTTTCTGAAAACCAAGGCACAGCAAGCGGGAACCTGTTGCTTGGCTCAGACCGAACTAGTCACTGTCTCTCTGTGAGCCTTTCTCAATCCGACCTCTGCACCTTTGCTTAGGCTGTGCTCTGTAAGGCTTCCCTTCCCCATCCTTTGTACCTATTCTACCAGTTTTCAAGTTCTAGTCAGGTACTTTATTTTATTTTATTATTTGTTTTGTTTTGTTGAGACAGAGTCTTGCACTGTTGCCTAGGCTGGAGTGCAGTGGTGTGAACACATTTAGCTTCAGCCTCTACCTCCCAGGCTCAAGCCATCCTCCCACTTCAGCCTCCCGAGAAGCTGGGAGCACAGGTGCACGCCACCACATCTGACTAATTTTTAAATTTTTGTAGAGAAAAGGTCCTGCCATGCTGCCCAGACTGGTTGCAAACTCCTAGGCTCAAGTGATGCTCCCATCTCAGCTTCCCAAAGTGTTTTCATTACAGGCATGAGTCACTGTGCCTGGCCAGGCACCTTATTTTAAAAGATACTTTTCCTTGGCTTCTTTTGAACTTTTGTGGCACTTATCCTAACATCTCTCTTGCCACTCAACCATATTCTGATTTCTCTCGTTACTTAACTCTGTATGTATTTTTGGCCTGGCTTCAAAAGTGGAATACAAACTTCTCTAAGGCAGGGATTGTCTCATATTTTGCATTCCACAGTGCTCATAGCAAGCCATGCATGGAATCAATTTTTGCTGAGCAAAATCACATCACAGCAAATGCAGTCAACATTTCCTACCACCCACTCCCCTCTATTTTGATACCAGAGTCCCTCTGTCTCCTTATCCCTAGGCTGAGGGCTCTTGCAGTGGGAGGAACCACATATTTATTTTCTTAGAGGCCGAGTCTTTGTTTTCTCTGGTGCACTGCCTCTGGATCAGATACTCTCTGCCTCTTGGCTTCTCTCTCCGTTGCTTTTCTTGGTGTCCTCTTCTGTCAGCCAAAAGCTACCAGAAGAGAGAGGATGGGCATAGGGATGGGTGAGGTTTGGAAATGTGACGAACAGTCAGGGTGGATGCATTAGGAAGCAGACAGATGGCTGGTACACAGCAACGCCCTTTCATCATATGTGTTAGAGTCTTCCAGCTAGTTCTTTTTTTTTTTTTTTTTTTGAGATGGAGTCTCGCTGTGTCGCTCAGGCTGGAGTGCAGTGGTGCCATCTCGGCTCACTGCAAGCTCTGCCTCCCGGGTTCACGCCTCAGCCTCCCGAGTAGCTGGGACTACAGGCACCCGCCACCATGCCTGACTAATTTTTTGTATTATTTTAGTAGAGATGGGGTTTCACCATGTTAGCCAGGATGGTCTTGATCTCCTGACCTCGTGATCTGCCTGCCTCGACCTCCTAAAGTGCTGGGATTACAGGTGTGAGCCATCACACCTGGCCCCAGCTAGTTCTTAACTGATACAGATGGCACTTTGCCATACATGTTATGGCAAATGATATTAATGATTTAAATGATATTAAATTAACTCTATTTGGGCTATTCAATCACATGAAACACATGTTTTAAAACAGGTAATGCAAGTGGTGTCCATGGTTTCAGTCTTGTTCTTTCAGTTAGAAAGGTTTTAAATATTTACATTTCAGACTAATTTCTTGTAATTGTAAGAGATCTGTATTTTAGGGACTTAATCTTGCACAACTGAAGTTTTTGTTTTATTGACAGTGAATCTGTCTGCAGTACTCAGCTACTTTATCACATGTAGTTACCCTATGTGGATACTGAAATTGTCTTAATGAGATTAAAGAGCTTGAACTTTTTAAAGGCATATTCAACTTCATGAAGAATTTTGAATTTATTCCCTATAATCTCAAGACAACCCACCTTGTACTTTGTGAAGTGTTACAGGAATGCCACCAGGGAGGGAGACTACGCATGTTGAACTGGGAAGCTGGGGCATTGCTTTCTGTAGTCTGTGAACACGTCTGCATCTAGCAAATCCTGACACCCATGTAATGCTCAGGGATGTGTAGTACTCCCTCTCTGCCTAGTCACATACACCTTATATATATGAAGAAAGAAAGATTTAGCATGCTTTCAGCAGTCTCCTGAAACAATGATACTTAAGACGACTCCATGAAAAAACATTCATTTTATCACACTGGCATTAAGCCATGAGTGCCACTGGTTGGAAATAGTTATGTTTCTCAGAGTATACACAGGACTCCTTCTGAAAAAGTGGTAAATAACTGGTGCCGATACATCAACAATAGGCTCTTCCCTTGAGACTTATGTTTGCTATCTGGAGGAGGTGGCTGCAGGGTGAATTGTTATCTTCCCAGTTTCTCTGGAGAGAAACTCCCTGGCTCTCCCTGGAATGACTCACTGTGGCATATGTGTGTGTGTGTATATATATATATATATGCGTATATATGTGTGTGTGTGTGTATATATATATATGCGTATATATGTGTGTGTATATATATACACACACACACACATATGTACACACACACACACGCACACACACACAAACTCACTCACCTACATACACATATATTCCTTTCCTTCCTACTCCATATTTTTGATTTTTTAACCTTATGATAATCCAATTCTAAAAGCTGTTTTATGGGAAGTAGTTCTCAGAAGCCACATCTCTTGAGGTCCTGGTGGTTTCCACAAAAAGAAGGCACAGATACTTGGGAAATGTCAATTAGGACATAAAAAGAAATTTGCTCATGATATTGTCAGGAACTGATCAGGAGCAAAAAAAGAGCTATGTTTTGAGTTTTGGCTCGAGAAAGAAGGGCAGGAAGAGTATGGGATATAGATACTAATTCAGAAAGGCAATGAAGTGATCCTTAGCCTTTCATGGTAGCCACAAAGTGCTGCCAAGGAAAGAGCACATTGTAGAGCGCGAATAGAGTGGGAATAGAGCACCACTTCCTGTGGCCTGGTTAATTCCCCCTAGTTTCTAGTCCATGGATACATTATTGAAGTATTTTCTAGGATGTTTTGGAGAGGTAGAAGTTTAAAGTTAGTCAGACATACCATGGCAGTTCCATGTATTCACACATGACAGGCCTCAGGAGGCACAGCTCCAGCCATAAGTGTAGGGATCTCCTGACAGTGCATTTTCAGTTTCCTTTCAACTAGACAGGTTTTTAGTAGTGGTGATTGTGTGGGACAAAAGGCAAGGCAGAAAAGGTAACTGAAGACAGCTCTGGGGTGTTAAGTGGGTGTCCCGGTCATCATTCTTCTACAAAGCAGGGTGCATATGGCTTAATCTCTTCCAGCGCAGGCAACCCTAGATCCTAGCCACTGAAGAACTGTTCTGCTCCCATGGAAGAGGCAGAGACTGTGACCGGTGAACAGTAGGGCGGGGTGTAGGGAGGGTTACCTCTCCAGCGCTGTAACTTCGGAGCCTCTGGAGGTGCTGTCGGTGAGTTAGATGATTGGGAAGACGACCGTTCTGAAGAGGGATTCGGGGGTCAATGAAAGTGGTAGCTCGACTGTTGTGGTCCACGAAAAAAGACTGCGAACAGACCAGTGAAAAAAAGCACCGTGTGGTGTGAGAATAGGCCAAAATGGAGTCAGTAATATACAGGAGTGCTACAGGGCCCAGGCCTCAGGTTTATTTCTGCCCAGCCTCCCCTACCCCTACTTCCTTTTTTAATCTACTCAAAACTCATCTATCTAGTTCAGGTTAAAAACTTGGCTGCACAGCAGGAGGTGAGCCACGGGCGAGTGAGCATTACCACTTGAGCTCCACCTCCTGTCAGATCAGTGGTGCCATTAGATTCTCATAGGAGCACAAACCCCATTGTGAACCGTGCATGTGTGGGATCTGGGTTGCACACTCCTTATGAGAATCTAATGCCTGATGATCTGTCACCGTCTCTCGTTACCCCCAGATGGCAGCATCTAATCACAGAAAACCAGCTCAGGGCTCCCACTGATTATACATCACAGTGAGCTATAGGATTATTTCATTATATAATACAATGTAATAATAATACAAATAAAGTGCATAATAAATGTAATGTGCTTGTCTTCCTAAAACTATCCCCTACCCTCCCATCCGTGGAAAAATTGCCTTCCATAAAACTGGTCCCTGGTGTCAGAAAGGTTGGAGACCACTGATCTAAATGGGGAACAGGACACTGTGCCTGTTTGCTCAGTAGCTGAATGAAGCAGTATCAGTCATAGATAAAACATGGAGTTTCTAAGTAGTGACTATAATACTTTATTCAACACAGAAAGTAAGAGCAATAGAGCCTTTACTGGGTTAAGATAATACTAGTAATTAATAATTTGTAGAGTATTTTATTTATATTTAAGATAAATGCTCTTTTTTATTATAGAATGTGTATATTTTCACTGAGAAAAAACTTTAAAAAGATAAAAAAGTAGAAAGAAGATAATAAAAATCACCCCAAATCAAAAAAAATTTTGATTTTTTCCTCCTTAGTTTTTTCTTTTCTATACATTCAAATATATACATATTTTCTTCACATCAAGATCTATAATTTTATGAGGTTTTTCACTTGTTATTTTATAAGTATTTCCCTAAATTATTAAATATTCTTTTAATGGAGAATTTTAATGACTACATGATATTGTTTGATGGAAGTATAACAATTAATTTTAGTACCCTTAATTGTTAGACATTTGACTTTTTTACTGTTTTAAAATAATGCTTCAATGAACACTTTTTTTTTGAGACGGAGTTTCACTCTCATTGCCTGTCACCCAGGCTGGAGTGCAGTGGCGCGATCTCAGCTCACTGCAACCTCTGCCTCCTGGGTTCAAGTGATTCTCCTGCCTCAGCCTCCTGAGTAGCTGGGATTACAGGTGCACACCCCCACACCCAGCTAATTTTGTATTTTTAGTACAGATGGGGTTTCTCCATGTTGGTCAGGCTGATCTCGAGCTCCTGACCTCAGGTGATCTGCCCACCTCGCCCTCCCAAAGTGCTGGGGTTACAGGCGTGAGCCACCAAGCCTGGCCGAACACTCTCGAATATAAATCCTTGTGCCATGTCTGAGTACCATATATATTCCAATATATGGCAACATTGTTCTTTAAATTTAAAATTATCTCTCATAAAAGAGAAAGTTATTACCTTTTTTTTCAACAAAACCCTTTGTACCATAAGACAACTTTTTAATTACTCTCTTTTCAACCAACAGTAACATTTGGTGAAGTCATATCAGCTTTAAATGACCTCAATCAATGCTAGTTTTAGATATTTTTAGGTTTACCTGACAAAAGTAGTTAAAAGAAATTTTATACAGATTTAGAAATTATTCTTGGAAGGTATGAGCTTATAATTTCAAGTATTTGATGTCACTGTAAACAAGCAGTTTAAAGAGCTTTATAAAAACTCATACAGGAAGTGGTTTCATAATTGAGATAAAAATACACCCCCCAGGAAAAAGGTAAATAACAACACTACTAATATCATGTGAATCAATATTTGTGACTTGCAGTAAAATTCCCCAAGATAGCATGCCACACAGATTCAAAAAGGGCTGTATGTTCAATTGGAACTGAAGATGATATACCCTTGAAAAATTGGTAGAGGACTCAAAAAATGACACTAGTGACGTCAAAAATACAAGGAAATGGAATGAGACTTAAATGGGAATGGGAAAAAACAAAATGCATCAACATGCTTTTTAAACACACAAGTGTAAGCTAACCTAACAAATATTAAAAATAGACTTTTCATTATTCAAATACATGCTGAGATGTTTAGAAATTAAATTAAATAGGTTCCTTATATTTGTGTATCTGTGGCAATTGTTTAGTATGCATTTCTAAAAGTTGAATTAATTACTTGGTTAAAGTTAGAAAAATATTTATGATTATTGATCCATACTAATAAACTATCTTCACAACAGTTGTCCAGATCTATCATGTTACCATTAGTTCATGAATCTTCCTCTTTATAATGCTCTCACAAATACTAATTTTGAAAGAACTCTTAGAAATGTTAAATGGTAAATAATGATGAATTACAATTTCCCAGGGAATCTACAAAAGAAAAACATTTTCTCATGGGCTAATTAGTCATTCCTTCCTTAGTGTGTTGCCTGCGATGTCTGTTCCCTTTTTTGCTATTGTTGTCGGGATGTTAAAGTTTTCTTATTTATTATCCAAGTGCTAAGTTATACATCTGCTTTCAAATTTGCTTTTGATATTTGTTTGCTTTATTTTCTAATACACTGAATTTTTAATATTCCTATGTATTCAAATCTCTCAATCATTCCTCTCCAGGGGTCAGTTAAGTGTTTAACTATATTTTTCTAGCTTTAGTTTAGGTGAGTTAATCGTTAACACTAAATCTTTACCTTTCTGAAACTTATTTTGGTATAATATTAAGTTGTAGTTTGACAGTTTTCTCAGAGAGCTCACTTTTCCAAATCATTCATTTCCTATTGTTTTATTATAAATACATTTCTTATAAATACTACTGTGTTTCAGGATATTTTATTTGCTCCAGTGGCCTGAGGCTTTTCACTGGTACCGCACTATTCCAATTATTAACATCTGTAGGGCAAGTTTCCTCTTTCTTTTCCAATATTTTCTTACATATTCTTGTCTGTTTTCATTTTTCCAGAGGAACTAATATTAATTTTATTAAGTTCCAAAAATAGTTCTATTGGGATTTTGTTTAGAATCACTTTGAGACTGCAAATGATTTCGGAGAGAATTCTTTCCTCATGATAGTTGGTGTAACCATTTCCCATTTCTGAACATGTCTATTAAAGAATTTTTTTCTTAGTACAGTTTTGTAGTTGTTTTACTGAAAGACACATATTTCTGGTTAAGATAATTTATAGGTATTTAATATTATCTGTTGCTCTTCTGAGTGTATCTTTTCCTATAATGTTTTATAACCCTTCATTGCTGGTACTCAGGAAAGTTATTATTTGTGTATTTACTTTTTGTCTGCTCATCATATTAAATGCTTCCATCAAATAAATGACTCTTAAGTATATCCTCTTGGATTTTTAATTGCAAATCATGTTAATTTTGTCTCCTTCTTTAGGAGGGCTCTTCTATTTTTACCTCCTTTTTTTGTAATATTGGTGAGTACTTCTAGAACAACGTTAAATAAGAAGTGGTGGTTGAAATCTTTTCTTATTCTTGATTTTTAAGGGAAAACTACTAGACCCGATTGTACAATAAGATGTCCACTGTTTTAAAGGAGGCTTTATTAGGTCACGAAAACATATTTACATTCTTAGTTTACCAAGAGTATTTGTTTTTAAAATATAAATGTGTATTCATCACACCTGTAATCCCAGCACTTTGGGAGGCCAAAGTAGGTGGATCTCTTGAGCTTGGGAGTTTGAGACTAGCCTGGGCAACATGGCGAAAACCTGTCTCTACCAAAAAAATACAAAAATATACCAAAAAAGCTAGGCGTAGTGGTTTTGCATCTGTGGTCCCAGCTACTCAGGAGACTGAGGTGGGAAGATTGCTGGAGCACAGGAAGTCGAGGCTGCAGTGAGCTGTGATCATGCCACTGCATTTCAGCCTAGGACACAGAGCGAGACCCAGTCTCACTAAATAAATAAATAAATAAATATTTAATTTTTATCAAGTAATTTTTAAAAAACACTTCTTAATCAACTGAAATTCCCTAATGCTACTAAGTCTTTGAGTATATCCTTTCTATATTTTATTAAGTATTGTTCACATGTATTTTCAACAATTTCTCAATGGTTTCTAAGTCTTTATTTTATTTTAAGCCCAAGAGTCATCTAGAACATTGCTTTTACTTTCCAGCTGGCAAAGATTTTGTTCTTACAATTGTGCTTAAATTTACTTACAATTCAGTTTTATTGCTATATGGCCACAGGATGTGACCTGGCTATATTCTGCTTTTTTGTTTTCTTTGCATTGTAGACTATCACCACTTACAAAAATAATCATGAAAAGTTGTCAGCTTCATTTTTGGGGCCCTTTTCCTTTTTTGTTGTTGTGGCAAAATATACGTAAAACAATAACAATTTTTAAGTGTACAGTTCAGTGGCATTAAGTATAATAAATTCTCACGGTTGTGCAACCATCACCACTCTCCTTCCCCAGCACTTTTTCACCTTCCCAAATTGAAACACTGTATCCACAAAACAATAACTCCTCATTTTCTACTCCTTGAAGCCCCTGGGAACCTCTGATCTACTTTCTATCTCTATAAATCTATTCTAGGTTCCTCATATGAGTGGAATCATAATTCTTGTCCTTCTGTGTCTTGCTTATTTCACTTAGCACAATGTCTTCAAGGTTCATTCATGTTGTAGCATGTGTCAGAATTTCATTTCTTTGTAAGGACAAACATTTCATTGCAGGTATATACCACATTTTGTTTATCCATTCATGTAAACTCTATTTCTAATAAAAGAATTAATATGTTTCATTCACATAAAGTTATATTATTTAAATCTCAAATTATTTTGTCTATTTAATCTGTCAAACTGATGGATATAAAACACATTTTCCTACTACGACTGTATGTCTTTCATCTCCTTTCATTTCTCCTTGATTTTTCTTTATTTAATATAATGTTATTATTTGGCTCATAAGGTACATGATTATTATATCTTTATTTTGCCATTGATTAATATAAAATATTTCTTTGATCCCCATTTAAGGATTTTTATTTATTTATTTATTTATTTTTTGAGACAGAGTCTCGCTCTGTCGCTCAGGCTGGAGTGCAGTGGCGCCATCTCGGCTCACTGCAAGCTCTGCCTCCCAGGTTCACGCCATTCTCCTGCCTCAGCCTCCCGAGTAGCTGGGACTACAGGCACCCGCCACCATGCCCAGCTAATTTTTTGTATTTTTAGTAGAGACGGGGTTTCACCATGTTAGCTAGGGTGGTCTCGATCTGCTGACCTCGTGATCCACCCGCCTTGGCCTCCCAAAGAGCTGGGATTACAGGCGTGAGCCACCGCGCCTGGCCCATTTAAGGATTATGATTGAAACTCCCCTTTGTATTATATTAATACATCACCACTGGTTTTTCTGTTATTGTCTTCACACTATATTAATATTTATTCTTTTATTTCTAAACTTTCTAAATCACCTCTTAGGTATGTCTTTTTGTAAACTGGATCTGTTTGTTACCAAAGCTGAGAGTGTTTTCCTTTTGGTATCTAAGTTTATCATGTTTCCACCTATTGCCATAACTGTTATGCTTGGCTTTACTTTTTTACTTTACTTACTTACTTGTTATCTTACTTTTATTATTTCCATCTTCTTTGCAATTTTTTGTGTGCTTTGTCATACAAACTCTATTTTGTTTGATTTTATCTTTTGAAGGATTTTGGAAGAGAAAAATTCTATTTTAAATGGTACAAACAGTTGCCTTTTAAGCTTGTCAGATTACCATATTTAACCTTTGTTTTTTAAATGATCCCGTTTTACTCCCCTTGAGCCCAACTAGCATAACTTTCCTTCCCCTGCTCATCTTCCCTATTCTCACTTCCTTACTTTTTTTTTTTTATTCCAGTCTGGTGATGTTGATCCAGACTGTTATTATACAACTATTCCATTTGTATTATACAACTTTTCCCATATTTTATTTAGACTTTTCCAATATGTTTTAAAGCATTTTAACAACAATTACTTTTATTTATACTTAGGTATTTGATTGATTTAAATACTCACCACTAGTCCTTTTTATACTATCATTTTCTCACTATTAATGTCGTGCTTTGATTCATTAGTGATCCATCTGGAGAATGGCTTTTGGTGTTTCATCAGTGTCTTAGTGTGTTTGTGTTGCTACACAGGAATACCTGAAACCAGGAAATTTCTAAAGAAAAAAGGTTTATTTGGCTCATGATCCTGCTGATTGGAAGACTGGGTGTCTGGTGAAAGCCCCAGGCTGCTTCCTTCCACTCACGGTGGAGGGTGAAGGGGAGCATGTGCAGAGATTTCATGGTAAGAGATGAAGCCAGACAGAGTGGGGGTAGAGGGTGGGTGCCAGGCTGTTTTTAACAACCAGCTCTAGAGGGAACTAATAAGGTGAGAACTCACTCATTGCTGCAAGGATGGCACCAGTTCTTCCTGAGGGATCTGTCCCTGTGACCCAAACACCTTCCACTAGGCCCCACCTCCAACACTGCCACAGTGGGGATTAAATTCCAGTGTGAGATTTGAAGGGGTCAAACAAATCATATCCAAACTATCAAACTGTAACAATCAGGATGGGTAAAAGAGTAGGGTAAACTCTGATTTTGCATGAGGTTGTTTTTGTGTCTGTGGATTTCTCTAGTTTCATTTTTAGGATGGGAAATTTGAAGCTTGTCTGATTTTTAATCTTTTGTAGGTAACTTTTATATTATCATGGCTGCATATTGATAAGATTTTTAAAGAATTTCTATTTAAAGACATTCCAGAACATGTGTAGATATATAATGTATTTTAATTACCTTTACTGTAATTTAGTGAGCCCAATTAATCTGCTCACCTTAATAATTTGTTTTAAATCAGCAACATTTTAATTTTAATATTTAATTAATATTTATTTAATATAATTAACATTAATACTTAATTATTCCTGCTATACCTAGTATTCTGGTTTCTTCCCTCAGGTAACTCTATAAGTCATTGGTGCAACAGAGATTTATTGAATGCCAACTATATACTAGGCACGATTCTTGGCCCTTGATGTTTTATCAATGAGCAAAACAAAGATTTCTGTTCTTAAAAAGCTTAAAATCCTGCCACAAGAAACAGACAATAAGCAATAAACCTAATAAATGTGTAAGTGACATGGGGGAGCACATGGCCTAGGGGTCAGGGAAGGTCGTGGTATTAACTTGGATGGTTAGGACAGGCATAGAGAAGATAAGTTTTTTCTTTTTTCAGTTTTTGCATTTCTTTTTTTTTACTGTCTCCTCCACTGATTGAAATCTGGTTCCTTCCTTCTGCTTTAGAGGCTGTTTCCGTGTTCATACGCCATATCAGTGATGAGATTTCACATAGCATCAGTGCTGCTCTGTTTTATCCCTATGCTATTATTACCTTTTGCTTTTCCCTGCAATCTTAAAACAGCTATTTTCAGACTACTTATGTCTGTTTCCTCTCAGCTTGTTTTCTGTTTGCGGCTTTTTCCTCTTAGTTAATAACAGAAGTCATGTGCTCCTGTACCATTTCATGGATGATGAATAGATGTCTTTTAAATAGTTCTATTTTCCAAAGAAAATTATACTTTCTGGGAAAAAAATATACTTTCTGAAAAAAAGACATGCTTTTTGTCAGACCAAGATTCTGTTTGCTTCTTGCAGTAGTGTCTCTTCCTAGGCCCCTTCTCATTTTATTTATTCATTCCTTAGCAGAGGCTGCCTTGGTCTCATGTCTGCCACAAGATAGGACCCATGGGGCCCATCACCCTACCTCTCTGATGGTGACTGCCTCCCTCAGCTTAGACTTGGAATGAGGTTTGAGGCACACATGCAATCTCTATAAAATTGGGCAGAAGGCTCTGTCCTCCTTTCTCAGACTCTGAAGATGGCAGATGAGTCAGATGCCAGCGTGTTCTTTGCCCCGGTCCTCCTGAAGCAGCAGAGCTCTGAGCTGCTTACCTCTGTCCCCTTTGTAGAGATGACCACGCATTCAAAGACACCAAACAGCTCTGCCCATCCCTTCTACTTCCTACCATGGTGGATAATAAAAGCAAATGTTGCCATCTTTGAATGTGTAGATAAAGCAAGAAGCAGATTGTCCAGGGTGAGGGGCAAGGACCTGCTCTGGCCAGCTATGAAGGTGGCTTTTGCATAGTGAGCTATGGCCACCCCACTGTTTAGTGAGTTGTATTCCTAACTCTCAGCCTCCTGTGCAGCATATCCTTTCCAAGTTAGAGGGTGAAACCTGTAAGACACGGTCCAAACATACTTTTCTCAATCTATTCCCCTTATCAATGGGCTTTGGCAATGAGATATTCTTTTATTTCCCCCACTTCACAATCTTGATCTTGGATTATTTTTGGGGACATTAAGAGAAAGTGGTAGATACTACTAATCTGTCATGATATTAATAATCATTCCTTCATTAACTTATTAACTTATTTATCTGGTTGTAAAATCATGAAGGCAACATAGGCATTACTGTTGCTATTTTAAGGCTCAGAAATGTGGAGTGACTTGCACAGGGTCATGTATTTAGACTGAGATGGACTAGTCCATGTATTTTTCCCACTATCCTCCTTTGTTCCTCTCTGACCACCCTATGGACTGTGGTAATACATTGCAAGTCTAAGGCTACTTTCCCCAGCAATTCACTACATGGTATGCCTCTTAGACATTCTGTAACTATGAGTGTGTGTATGTGTGTGTGTTCAATTAATAAGAAATTGCTGAGACCATTTATGTGTGTGTGTGTGAGCATGTGTGTGTAGGCACACAGCTAGTTTGTGTCATAACTGAAAGTCTTCTCATTTGAAATTCAGATTTTTTCTTTCTCATGTATGATATCTTCTTGCTAAAGAGAATTAGGGGGAAGAGGTCTTGTCAGAAATTCCCTCATATGCATTCCCAAATGGAACAAAACTCTCACAGTGCATCTCTGTGCTTCCCTGCTGGTGTGATGACCAGGAGATGTCACATCATCTGCATGTGTGCCATGGAGAACTAGGGCTTATTGCATTGGGAAGCCTCCTTGTCATTCCACTGTGCTCCCTGTCATCCTTATCTTGGTGCAAAAGCTGCAGTCATGGAAATCCAAGGCTCGGCAAACTGTTCACATTGGTGTGTGCTGTTTGCATGATGAACATGGTGGTGTCATCTTGGCATCCTGGTTAAGCAATAAATGTAAACGTGGCTACCCGAAACCGAGCTCTGATAAGCCACTCCTTCACTTTCTGTTCTGGCTCAGGCTTCATTTTCCCACCCTAATACATATCACCAAGTCCCCACATACAAATCATTGTCACTCTCCCAACAGAGGCCACGTCCAGTCAATGAGAAGGTCCCAGGGAGCAGATCCTGGCTACAGTGACTTTTCTACTACACATGTCCTTTCCCCTCCCCTAATTCATCCCTGGTTACAGAGGAGCTGGTCCTGGAGATTCATTTTATGAATGGACTTGTAATGAGTCCCCCATTCTTTCCCCATACACTCCAGAGAGTCCAGGTTCTGAGGCATACTAAGGGGTTTATAGGAGAGAGACTCATGGCTTCGAGGGGACATTGATGCCCCATCAGCTCCCTTTGGGGAACGTGGCTTTGCAGGCCCATGTTCACAGAGGAAAGGACACGTCACAGACATGACTGCAGGCAAAGCTTCTGGTTCCTTGGACCATAAAGAGGGAGGGATTCTCTCTGGTAAAGTTCATAGAAGGTTACACAGGTTCAGTTCTAGTACTTGGCCTGTCCTTTGAATACATCGAGATGGCTGATGAAGATTAGGAAAAATCCTTCTTGTTTTCAGACTCAGCTGGTCTTCTAAAGCATGGCCAGGAAGACCCAGTTTGGGTTAAGGTTATACAGAAGCAAAATGTAAGCCAGGAAGATCACATGGGCCTAGCACACCCCACCCTGCTTGTTAGGCTGTTTTACAGAAAACTTAAGGTGTATTAGAGAAATCACAACAAATAATCTAACAATGTCACTGCATTTAACCAATGAGTTCATCCCCTGAGAGTTAGCTGTCTAAGGAGGCAAACAACCGAAAGGTCATTGGACAGAATTCAGTTCCACATTCCAAACCTAAATTTAAAAAAAATGTAGACAGTGGTTCTTAATTACAGGGAACACATAGCAATGTCACAACAGTTGGCATCTAGCAGCGTGAGGGCTAGGAGTGCTGCTAATGTCCCGTAAGGCACAGGGTATTCCTCAGAGTAGTGCTGAGGTTGAGAAACCCAGATGTGGGTGGTTATCAGCCCCTTTACTGCTGGCGGCCGATAGCACATCTCTCAGACATAACTCCTCCCCACACTCTCCTCCTCACGCCCTTGCTAGCTTCACCCTGGGGAAGGAGCCTGTTTGATGAAAGCCCCGCACGTGGGTCACACTCACCTTTCCCTGCTGGTCCGTTTTGATCTCCCAGCCCCGGGGCAGTTCCAGCCGAGTGTCTGCGAACATGTTGATGAAATTCACCAAGTCCCGGTTGTGCTGGTAGCGTTCAAAATTGCGAGCATCCCGTCGGACTTTCAGAATCATGTGCTTTAAGCAGGTGCTACTGGTGAAGACTCGGTAGGCACTCTGAGACAGGTCAGGGCGGACGGGGTAAGGAGTGGGGAATTAGGAAAAACATAGAGCAAGCACACTATGAGCACCCTAACACTGCTAAGTGTGATTGTGACACAGCAGTTTATTGTGAGTGTGAGGTAGAGGCCTCAGAAAATGAGCTCTTGCTCAAGAAGTAAACACCCAGGAATTCGAGACCAGCCTGGGCTACATAGCGAGACCCTGTCTCTACAAAAAATTTAAAAAATTAGCTGGGCATGGTGGCATGTGCTTGTGATCCCAGCTACTTGGGAGGCTGAGGTGGGAGGATCACCTGAGTCTGAGAATAGAGGCTGCAGTGAGCTATGATTGTGCCGTTGCACTCCAGCCTGGACAACAGAGCAAGGCCTTGTCTCCAAAAAAAAAAAAAGTGAATGTGCATTGAATCATGCCCCCTTGGCCCACATGGACTATCTGTGATATCCGTTCCACCTGAGTGCTGTGCAGCTTGGGACACGGCCCACCTCTCTGTGCGACTCCACATGGTTTTCTCGCTGTCTCAGCCATGCCTGGCTCTCCTTGGCCTCCCTCTACCTGCCTGAGCCTCACTCCTCTCTCTCCTCCATGGTCCCTTCTCTGACTATTGAGGTCTGCCTTTGGTCCTCCTACTTGTCTAAAATGGGGAGCATTAATTTAGGGCCTCTGGGGATTGAAGGCTGGACATGAGAGGTCTGTCATTCCTTTGAACCCTATGTAAAAACTTGTGTGTGTGTATGTGTAGGGGGGTTGGAGGATGGGAAGAGATGAAGAAAGAAATGACAATGTGACGGTACACAGGGTTGGTGTGTGTGTGTGTGGTGGGGGCTGGTGGTGAAAGGACAGACCACGTGTAGACGGGGGGTTGGGCCAGTGGCACCTACTGGCCCAGTGCCACCTGCACCCAGGGCTGGGGCATGGCCATGTGCCATGCGCGTTCTCCCTGTGGTCCCCACAACACCTCTGGGGAGCTGCTTGGAATTGAGCCCAGGGCATCCCACAGGCTTCTCAGAAATAACCTGCTAAAAACTGATCCCCCCCTTTGCAGCCACGCCCTCCATCACCCAGTCAAACTCCACCTCCAGCTTAGTGCGGTCACTGCCTCACTCAGGTGCCCAAAGCAGAAACTACACTGTCTTTTTTGAGTTCTCATCTTGCACCCACTCGTGATCACGGTGGACCTAAGTGCTGCTGAGTCCACGAGAAATGTCCCTGAATGGAGCCATTCCTTGCCATGCTCCCACCCCTTCCTTAGGTCAGAGCCAGATCATCTCTCACTCAGCGGTTGAATCAGCCTGTGTCTTAACCCCCTCAGCTCAGTCTCTCCCCGACACTCTGCCAGAGAAAATGCATCATCAACCCCTCTGGTCAGGCAGCCCAAGTGCTACTCTTGGTTCCTGTGGCCTGCTGCAGTAGACCCAGGCTCCTTTGCATGAGTTACCAGGTGATCTGCTGCCCAATCTCAAGCCCCTCCTCCCCTCTCCCTCCTGCCAGCCACCCACACTCACCACCCTGGACTTATCCCCCAGGCCTCCTCACGGGTGCATCCTTTCTACAGATGTCCCTCTGCCTGGACTTCTTCCTGTCCACTTTCGACCTTCAGGACTCAATTCAGCCGCCTCCCCAAGAATGCTCCCTGGCGCCCCCAGAGCACTCTGTCCTCCCTCAGTTCGGCCTGGTCCTGTCACACTGGGCTGATGTTTTTCACGTCATTGCTCCTCAAAATGGGAACTCCTACTCTTTAGGTGTCACCTTAATCTGTCTTTGTGACTCCAGCACCTAGATCTGAGCCTGAACCACAGAAAATGTTTGTTGAATGGAAAAATTAATGAATATAGTGATATCATGCCATTGCTTTCTTGAAAATACCAAAAAAGCAATGAAAAAACTACATATGTAAAATCATATGAAATTTAACTTCAGCACGATATTCGAAAAAACCATATCAAAAGGAAACCTAGTTATTTACCTAGAAGAACTCTGCTTTGAAATTGTATCAGTGAAAATGATTTTATAAAATGATTAGGCTGAAGGGAATCTGGCCAATTCATAATCTTGCTCCTTTAAAATTTTAATAATAATAAAAACAGGTTTGTTTCCAAAGCACTTTCACTGACATTAACACATTTCAGCCTTAAAAAAAACCCAAAGAGGCAACAGCATTTCCAAATCCAGCCTTTTTCCTTTTTGGGAGACTCACGGATAGTCAAAAGAGTGGACTGAGCTGTTTTCTTTGTTTTTTCTTGCTTATGTTAAAATTCTACCCTTTTAGATCTATCAGATGACTTTACAAAGCTGTGTTTTGGGTCTTGCCGAGCCAGGCCGCCCCCTCTGCATTTTAGGGCACTCACATAATTGGCATGTAGCACAGTGAAGAACTCGGGGTTGGTGATGAACTTGACCGCTGGGGACTGCAGCAGCAAGGTGATTTTTTGTGAGTTCACTGGAGAAAGTGACCCTTCTCTCCTTAGATCTGAAAAAAAGTGAAGCAAAGCAACAGAATGCATTGGGAAAAAGGCATTTCAACCTCTGTACTTCGCTCCTGACAGTGGCAGCACACAAGCCTTCACCCACACAGCAGACTGTTGGATTTAGGCCAAGTGTCATTACTTTATGTATGTCAGTTAAGAATCATCATTTCCTTAGTAGTGTTTCGCATAACTTCAGTAAGGCTCAAGTCCTCCAACATCTCTTCCCTTTTATCACAATGATTTTCTTTCTTTTCTTTTCCCTCCCTCCCTTCCTTCCTTCTTTCCTTCCTTCCTTCTTTCTCTCTCTCTTTCCCTTTCTTTCTTTTTCTTTCTTTCATCTTTCTTTCCTTCTTTCTCTTTCTTCTCTCTCCTTCCTTCCTTCCTTCCCTCCCTCCCTCCTTCCCCCTTCCTTCCTTCCTTCCTTCCCTCTGTCCCTCCCTCCTCCCCCCTTCCTTCCTTCCTTCCCTCCCTCCCTTCTTTCTTCTTTCTTTCTCTTTCTTTTCTTCCTTTCTTCCTTTCTTCTTTCTTTCTTCTCTCTCTCTCTTTGTCTTTCTTGAGACAGCGTCTCGCTCTGTCATCCAGGCTGGAGTGCAGCCGCGCAATTGCAGCTCACCGCAGCCTTTAATTCCTGGGGTCAAGCCATCCTCCCAGATACTCAGCCTGCTGAGTAGCTGCGACTACAGGCATGCAGCACCATGCCTGGCTATTTTTTTCTTATTTCCTTCACAAGTTGCTAACCACAGCTGTGATAGATTGTTTGCAGAAAGGACCACAATTCCTCTCCTCCTTGTATCCACACCCAGTTGTATTGGGACTTCGCTGCTCTTCCCCTTGCTGAATTGGGGCTGGCCTTGTGCCTTGTTTCAACCAATAGAACATGTCAGAAGTGACAACGGGTCAGTTCTGCATCAGGGTTTCAAGAGACCTGTGTGTCTCCACTCTCTGGTAACCCTGCCACTGCCATGAGAATGAGCTTGGGCAAGCCTGCTGCAAGATGAGAGGCCACCAGGCCACAGGAGCAGGAACAAGCCACCCTAGTGGCAGCCATCTCAGGTCAGCCTGTGGCCGACTCCGCAGCTGACCCACGATGGACAGGTGAGCCCAGCAGCATCCTGAGGAACCACCCAGCTGAGCTCAGCTCAAATTGCCAACCTGTAGAACTGTGGGGTAGATGCATGGCTGTGAGTTTCAGCCACTAATTGTGGGATTTTTTTCTATACAGTAAATGCCAACTTATTTAATATCAAACTCAGAAATAAACTTTCTGCTGCTTTTTCCTCATGTTTCTAGTTACTTGGCTATTGTACCATGTCTCTCTCAGAAGTTTGAACAAAGAAATTAATAACAGGCCAGGTGTGATGTCTCGTGCCTGTAATCCTAGCACTTCGGGAGGCTGAGGCGGGAGGATCACTTGAGGCCAGGAATTTGAGACCAGCCTGGGCAACATAGCAAGACTCTGTCTCTACAAAAAATGAAAAAATTAGCCAGGCATGGTGGTGCATGCCTGAGGTCCCAGCTACTCAGGAGGCTGTGTTGGGAGGACTGTTTGAGCCCAGGAGTTTGAGGCTGCAGTGAGCTATGATCGCACCATGCACTCCAGCCTGGGTGAAAAAGAGAGACTCTGTCTTCAATAATAATAATAATAACAGAAAAACCTAAACTAGTCAGTTTAGTTAGCATACCTGGTAAAATGAATAGAAAGGGGGAAATTAAAATTGGTGGTGGAACTGTGGATGTGCATTTTGAAAAATCACATGAAAATGTCCAATATTCTGCATTGCTGTAGACAGCTAAGACCTGGCAGGATTGGAATCCCAGTGCTGCCTGCCCAGACTGTTCTCTAAGCCTTCTTTTGGCAAATAAATCTGCCATCATTTACCCAACTTAAAAAGAAAGTGGATTATTAGGATGTCACTGTGATAATCTTATCTCATTACAGGTTAAAAAAAAAAAAGTGGAAGCCAGTCTCATGCCTTTTGATTATCCTTGTCTGAGTCCCACTTGGGCAAATTCAAAGAAATGAAAACCATGAAAACCAGACCAAGGTGAATGCCTACTGTAGTGGGAAAAAATTCCCTCCTGTGGCATGCTGGAAAACCTCTTCACTCCCAGGTTCCTCTCTTGGGGGAACTGAATTTTATTCTACAAACAAGTGATTATTCCTAGTGTTGTCACATGGCTCCTTTGCAATATACTGTGAATTTTTATTGCATGTTTTATTTATAAGTGAAAAAATCCTTAGAACACCAACAAATACAATAAATTTACTTAACAATAACTTATAAATAAATAAAACATTTACTTAACAATAAATGATTGAGCCACTGACAAAGTTGCCTTGCTCCACAAGCACTGTAGCAAACTCAGCTCCATCCCCAGAATTCATCTGCTTTCCTGTCTCCAGATCCCCATGCCAGGGTGGTGGTGTTTCCTTCACTGTGATCACTTCTCCTAAGTTTCCTGGTGGGAAGCTCATTCTGTCTGCTTTCCCTTGCGGGCACCAGGCATGCCTCTGTCCTCCACCCTGGACTTCCACTCTCTTCACCCTGGGGCACATTGCTCCCCATGAGGCAGGGTGGGAGGCTTGTAGCCCTCTGTCACACAGCCCCTGAAAGCCATCACAGGTTGTGGGGACCCCTCCTCCAATACCTAAGCTGGACTGGGAAGATTCGGCTTCTGAGTCACTCCCTCCACCTCCGCCTCCTCCTGCTGGGGCTTGCTCGCAGCTTTGGCTGCCAGAATCTTCTTCGGACCTCTCTGTTGCAATGGTTCGCTGAATGTTTTGATACCTTTGCATTAGAAAATGGAAAGACAGGAGTTAACTTTGGTTTGCTCCTTGGGGGCCAAAACTCTGAATCAGATAATTGGAGAAATCTGTAAAGAATTGTCTTGAATGTCAGGAAAGAAATGCTTAAAATTCCCACAAGATAGCCAGAACAATTAGCAAGACAAGTATCTCTAAGACGATTCAAGTTCTTTTTGTTTTGCAAGCTATGATGAGTTTCAAGTATGGCGACTTTTAAAAAATCAACACAAATAATAACTAATCATGCAAAACAGCCTGTGCCCTGCATTAAACAAAATCAGGCTAAGTCTAAAATAAGAGTGTGGGAAGTAAATTAAAATGCTACAACTAAGATATCAAATTACCTCAACATTATTGTAATAAGTGTACAAACTGGGCTAGCAGTTCTACTCAGTTTTATTTGTCGGGTAATTGATATAATTGGGCAGAGGTCATGGAAATATTACATCTGATAGCATGCTGGCAAATAAATAAATGTTTTCTGCTTATTCAAAGGCTCATTTTGTTTTTCTTCCCAAGTTGGGGATTTAGTCATTTGGCCTGCCAGCTGGCCACCTTGCCAAGTACTAAATATTTCCTAACCCTTCCAATGTGTGCAGGCTCTGTGCTGGACTTTCAGATGGAAGAGAGGATTAGAATATGACATTGCCCTTTAAACACACACAGTCGAGATGTAACAAAAGGGAAATGGGACAGAAGCCATAACTCCAGCCAGGTGAAAGGCTGTCACAGACAGGCAAGAGGTATGTGGGACACAGATGAGGAGACTCCCAAGGTTTGTAAATTGTGAAGCTGGAGTATGAATTTGTTGGGGAGCTTGTTGGGAAAGGGCATTTCAGAAAAGAAACAACATGTACAAAAGCAGGCCACCCTTGGGGAGCTCTGAGATGCCTGGCAGCGGCATCAGGATGTGTGGGCACCTGGCAGGGCCAGGAGACCAGTGGAGAGGGAAGAGGGAGCCCCAGAGGGCGCCCTGCAGTAGGATGGGTGTTATTCTCTAGGCCACAGGTTCCCCAACCTGAGCTACGCAGAATCACCCGCAGGACTTAAAACACAGACTGCCAGCCCCACCCCCTGAGTCTCCGATTCAGTAGGTTTGGTGTAGGGCCCAAGAATGTGCATTTCTTTTTTCTTTTCTCTTTTTTTTTTCCAGAATGTGCATTTCTGATGAGTTCCCAGGTGATCCTGATGCTGCTGGCCCAGGGATCAATCTTGAGAATGAACCATTGCTCTTGGTGATGGGTGGCTGCTAAAAAAAAACCAGGCAGGGCCAGATGTACATGGAGATTGATCATCCAGTGTCGGAGTGGAGAATGCACTGGAGGAGAGGAGCTGGGAGCTGTGGAGAGCAGCTGGGGGCTCCTGCAACAGCCTAGGCTGGAGACTTTCCTGGAGACTTTTTGTCTCCAGGAAAGCAATGAAGGGGTGGAGGGAGGGGGTGAAGAGGAGGAGGAGGATGAGAGACAAGGTAGCAGGGAATAGCCTGTCTCCAAGTGCAGTCCCAGGTGGGAAAGCACGGGGATGCTCGCTGCACAGATGAGGCTCCACTATGGCAGGATTTCTGCAGACCAGTGCCCCGCTCTTTCCTTGACCTTACAGAGGAAAGCTTTTTTTACTGTAGTCTCCAGCCATTTGCAAGAGCATCATCTGAGTGATTGTTAAAGTTACAGAAATTGAAGCAAAAGAAAAATCTGCATTTCTAACGAGTTCTTTAGGAAGTATTATTTATATCTAGGTTTGAGAACTATTGGTCTAAGGGCTTTCTTTCAGTTTTATTTTATCTGGAGAGACTCCCACTCACTCTGACACCTTTCAGAAGCCACCTTTGCCTGTAGTGGTTACTGCAAGGCATTTCCTGAGCCGGCCTCTTAGAACAAAATGTGGAAGGGGGCAATGAGCTGAGTGGTGGTGGAATTACAGAGAGAATCATTTGTTGTAATTCACCACCCCGTACATCTGTGGTGGGAGGTTATGAAGAGTGATGGATGGTGAAGGATGGCACTCTGTGATCTTCTCTCTGCTGAGGACTCAGGGAATGTAGCCATGGCAGGAAAGCAGGGGTTGCCAGCAAGAAGCTGCCCAAGTGTGTGACCTTGACCAAGGCAGGGAACGGGGCCTGCCAAAGACTAAGGCAGCTGCTACTGGGAGGATTCCCTAAATGCTTTATGGCAGACTGCATTTCTCAAAATGGTTCAACGATATTTTTAGACCCACATGCTCTTCCAGAACTGTATCTCTCCTTTTAAAAGGTAGAATCCATGTCCCCTTCAACTACCTTGACTAATAGAGTTTGTAACAGTTCGTGATGGAACTTAGCAGCCATGCTCTGAGGTGGCCCAGGCCTCGTGGAAAGTCTCTGTGCAGGTGTCCTGGCTGAGAGGCCCAGCCCACAGCCAGCATCAACCTCCTAATATGTGAGTCTCCAGCCCCGGCCACCCTCTGACTGCAACTAGGAGATATTCTGGGAGAGAACTGCCTAGCTGGGCTCAATCAAACCAGAACCATGAGAAATAACGGTAAGAAGAAATGTTTGTGGTTGTTTTATGCCACTACGTTTGGTGTAGTTTTACTCAGCAACAGATGCCTGGAATAGGGCTTAGACAAATGTCAAGTTGTAGCCTCTCCTTTCCTTCCCAATATGCAGTAAACACAGCAGAGCATTATGAGTAAATATGATCTTATTTGATGAGGATAATGTCAGCAGTGTCACAACCTACTTCACATGTCCTCAGCTGGACCTTGGTTATTGCAGGCCTTACTGAGTCAACAGCCTCAAATCCTGCATTTGACCCTACGTCTGACCTCTGCCGAAGCACAGAGGCAGTTTGGGGAAGCAGGTCATGCAGTGACTTGAGGAGGGTCTCTCAGTCTTTCAGGGCAGGACTGCAGCCTCAGAGGCTCCCGAGCTTTAAACAGGAGAGGGAGGCAGCTCTCTTCTATTTCATTAGGAATTATCCATCAATATCCTCCTCCATTTTTTTGTAGCAAAAGGTTAAATATTTATAATAGATAGAGGGCTAATGAAAATTAGCTAGAAAGTCAGCTGAAATACATAATTTGTAAATGGACACACACACACACACGCACACACGCACACACACGCACGCGCGCACACACACGTACAAAGCCAAACAAGAAGGAAAAAAGCCCTCCAAAACCAAGCCAAACCAATCAGCCAACTACACAACCTCCCCCCTTTAAAAAAGCCCAAGAACAGACAATTCACATGGGAGAAACTACTCCTTATTAAAGAAAAGCTTATGGAAAACAAGTTGACCCTTGCTCCAACAAGTGAAATGTAAGTGGCATCAAAATACGAGGAGCACCTCTTACATCAACAAAAACAAATCAAAAGATAAGATGGAAGTGAAGCTGTAGCTGTTGGTAGAATAAACCCCTAGAACCGCAATGTCTAATGTAGAAAGCAGTTAGGCATTGATACCAAATGCCAAATCCACATTTATCTCCCTTGGCCTAATCTTTTGGGAATAGAACCCTAAGGAAACCCTCCACTATAAGGCAATCTTAGTATTTAGCAGGCCCTTGTGACAAAAAACAGTGACAAAAGCAATAAGCAAAACATTCAACAATATGAAATCAGGTTAACTAAACTTCAGCCATTCAGTGGAATACTATACAAGCAATTACATGTTAACCTGAAGACTATGCGGCAATATTAAATGCTTACAGTGTAGTAAGTGAAAAAAGAATATGAAACTAACTACATATCACCATCATAACCATGTAAGAATTGTGCATGCATATGGAAATTGAAGATGGATACATGTTTTTAAAAAGCTAAATTGGCTGGGCACAGTGGCTCATGTCTGTAATTCCAGCACTTTGGGAGGCCAAGACGGGGGGATGACCTGAAGCCAGGGGTTCGAGACAAGCCTGGCCAACATGGTGAGACCTTCTCTCTACTAAAAATGCAAAAATTAGCTGAGTGCAGTGGTGCATGCCTGTAGTCCCAGCTACTCGGGAGGCTGAGGTAGGAGAATCGCTTGAACCCGGGAGGCGGAGGTTGCAGTGAGCTGAGATAATGCCACTGCACTCCAGCCTGGGCGACAGAGTGAGACTCCATCTCAAAAAAAAAAAACTAAATCATCCTTGGGGTAGAGTGTAGATCACTTTTTTCTATTTAAAACTTCTATTTCCCTTAAATTATCATAATTTTATACAAATAATTAAAAAATAAAACTTCAGTTGATTATTTAAAATAAGAATACATATTTATATTTTCTGCTTTTCAGTAAATATTTGTGAAAGTAGAATTAATTAATTCTGGATATTCTGAAAGCATGGGAATTAACTCAGAAAATGATCTTGTACTGAGTAGTATTAAACTTCTGGTACCACACTAGGTGCTGGGAGCAGAAAAGGGTAGAAAGAAGAGTAAGGCAAAAAGGTAAGAACAGGCACAGAGGCAGGCACATTCCAGAAGCTATAGGGGAGGAAGTCACTGGCTCTGTGTGAGGGATTCTGGGACGGCTTCCTGGGGCACGACATTGAGTCAGGTCTGTAGGATGAGATATGTTTCAGGTGGGAGGCAGGTGGGAGGCATTTTCCTGCCATGGGAGCATGTGGCCAAGCCATAAAGGCCTGGAAGAGTGTGCCGCGTCTGGGGAATGGCTGAGTTGGAACATGGTCACTGCGACCTACCACACAAGCTTACACATTGATTGCTATTGTGTACTCTGTACTTCCTAGTTTTATGTCTCCTTGCACAAACACATTTGATTTTCACAATCATCTGGTTCAGCTCAAGGGAAACTCCTTGCAACACTGAATAATACTTCCACATGGCTGTGAGCCAGTAATCATTGTAAATTTCTCTGGATAACTGTGGGTTATCAAAAAAACGACTTTCTGTGTGGTCGCATGTGAGATGGATAGAAGACTGGAAATGTACTTTCTTGGGCTGCCTGTTATAATGCCAAATACAAAAAATTTTAAATGCTTCAAAGCAATAGGTTAAGTATGGAAAAATCTGGATACTTATCTGAAGGTTATCTGATCTTCCCTAGGTATGCTTTTTCACAAGAAATAAGTACCTTCTCAAAGTGCTAAATTCCTTTTCTTTTTATCTGTCCAGATGGATGTAGCAAATGCAACTTCCTATTCAGCAAGGTCCAGCTGCCTCTCCCAGCATGTTCATCTCCACTGGAGGGCACAGGAGTTTGTATATCAAAGGCTATAAAACTTATTTGGAGACCTGGTTCAGGATGGATTTGGCCTAATTTTTATATTATGCAAGCAGATCACCCCGATAAACTTTCATGGGTTTATGCCATAGGTCAAGGTGCTTCCTTCTGCTTCAGATTCATTGTCTTGCTTTGGTTAGTGTTCAAAACAGTACCTCTTATGAATACAGCCTGACGATACCCTCCCCTGTTTCTCTGCTAAACAATTGGAGCTTATCATTTTTGGCAAGACAGACCTAGGGGCTAACTTCTGCCTATGGAATCAACAGGGTCTCTATGTAAGATGAGCTTACTGTGTCTTCTACATTTTTAGTTACACGAATCTTGTTGCAATCACCATGAAAGGACTCTCCCATGGATTTTTGGTCCATTCATGTCTAGTAAAACTGGGTTATCAGGACTTCCTCTCTGTAACACGCTTTGTTGGGGTGAGAATGATTGTAAAGTGTGCTGCCAATGCAAGTCTTTTATGGTTTTTGTTAATGACTTAAAACACTCGGCTGCTGATGGGGAAAAGTGGAAAGCAAATGTCTTCCAAACGCTCAGGCAATGAAAAAATGTTCTGGTGATTTTCACCTAAAGCATGCTCCTCTGTGTACAACAGTAAACAGAAGTTCATTTTTATTTTTTTGTTTCCATGTTTTTTGTTTGTTTTTTTTTTTTTGAGATGGAGTCTTACTCTGTCTCCCAGGCTGGAGTGCAGTGGTGTGATGTCAGCTCACTGCAACCTCTGCCTCCCGGGTTCAAGCGATTCTCCTGCCTCAGCCTCCTGAGTAGCTGAGATTACAGGTGCCTGCCACCACGCTTGGCTAATTTTTTTGCATTCTTAGTAGAGACAGAGTTTTACCATGTTGGCCAGGCTGGTCTCGAACTCCTGACTTCAAATGATCCACCCGCCTCAGCCTCCCAAAGTGCTGGGATTACAGGCGTGAGCCACTGCACCCGGCCCCATGTGTTTTTAATAGGACTAAATTGTTTCTCCTCCTTTTCTTTCTGGCAGATAACAGTTAAGTCTCAAAGGCATTTGCTATCAGTAGGTGTGTTCCACAAACCCAGTTCTTCATTCTTTTTCGTCTTTCTCAACTTTTCCTTCACCTTCATACTTTTCATACTTGACATGAAAGCAAGACAGCATGTGGGTGCAATTTCAACTGAAGGAAGCCTCAGTTTGCATTCCTGGTAATTAAAAGTATCCTGAAGCTGCCACTCCAGTCTTAAAGAGCAAGATGTCAGAGACAATGCTTTATACTAGCTTACTGCATCATCTCTGACATGAATGGACCACTGTTTAAGCCTGATACTGTTTAAGGCTTTGTTTGCAGGTTAAAAACAAAATGACATCTTTACAATTTCAATAGAGAGGGCCTAGTTTTTCAACAAAATAATTCTCAAAAAATGCTTGTAAACATTTCTTTTTCTAAGATGCAGGCTTTTCAAGAATTATTATTGATGGGCATATATCAATTATGGAATCAGGGTAGGAATGCATACAGTGATTTATGAGACAGTTTATTCTCCAAGCAGCTTTTAGTTTTCTTATGGAACCTATCCTTGGAATGTGTTTAACTGAGGTCTCTATCCTTTTGAGAACTGTATGATGGGTGTGGACCAGTCTGCCAGAAAAATGTGTATCTATGTATAATTTGGGTACAGTGCCTGGAAAGTTCAAGGAACACTGACATCCTTGGTGAACATCGCAGGAGAGGGGCATACACTGGCCCTTGGTTAAAAACTCCTATTTTTGTGCCTAGGCTATTAAGAAGTTTAGACGATTTCCCATCCTTAAATGACACTCAAGCTTAACTTGTCTCTCGCCTCCAAATTCTAAATCTAGCTTTCCAAATACCTACTAGGAACAGGTTTCTTAAGATACTTAATTACTTTCCAGTCTCCTCATACAGTCTGAGCAGAAAAGTGTAAGGGGAGCGTCTCTAGCTGCCATTCTCCTTTCACTGTGGTTTAGGGGAGCTCATTGCATACTGATCACCAACCGCCTGTTGAGTTGCTCCATCTGCTGGATGGACCCCGATCTCCGCATGCCATCCGGGGTGGCTGCTGCCGTCGGACGCTGCCAGGTGGTTGTGCGGTTCACGTGGTCCACATAAAAGACCCGCCCGTGGCTGTCAATTCGAGCTTCCCAGTCTAGTGTTTAATAAAAAGGCAAAAAGAAAAATCAAGGACAAACTACTGACCCACGTGAAACACATACAACTTCCAAGTCTTCTGCAGGTAGAACTCACCATTGGTTCATGGCTGCAGGCCAGACCCTGCCCACAGCACCTGCCACCACGACTTCTGGGGCACTGGCATGAACTCGGGAGCTCAGAAAACAATTTAATGAACTTAGACTCTCTGCTGGGCCATATTAAACAGTAATTGTGGTTCCTTGATCAACACCTATGTTAAAATTCTAATACTTTCTTTTTTTTTTTCTTTTTGAGACAGAGTCTTGCTCTGTCACCCAGGCTGGAGTGCAGTGGTGCGATCTTGGCTCACTGCAACCTCCACCTCCTGGGTTCGAGCAATTCTCCTGACTCAGCCTTCCAAGTAGCTGGGATTACAGGTGCCTGCCACCAGGTCCGGCTAATTTTGGTATTTTTTAGTAGAGACAGGGTTTCACCATGTTGGCCATGGTTGGCAGGCTGGTCTCAAACTCCTGACCTCAGGTGATCTTCCCACCTCAGCCTTCCAAAGTGCTGAGATTACAGGCACGGGTCATCACACCCGTGATGGTGTGATGGTGTGACGAATACAAAAATTCTAATAATTTATAAAGAGAAAATCTACTGTTTAATGAATTTATTTCTTTAGAAATGTCCATCACCACTGTCACTCTTGTTGGCTACTCAAACGACAGCTGTGGAAGATTGGGGTATCCTCCAGTGCGAGCTGACACTGTGATGCTGGAGAATGCTTTCTTTGCTAAGTCTAACAGAGGGCGATTAGGTTCAGTGGAGAGAAGAATGGCCCTCAGATTAAAGCCAGTTTTAACTACTGTTCTAAAATCTTGGATGTGCGAATTTAGATGACCTCTGTCTTATACTTAGTAAACTTAATAGATTGCCTTTCCTTTTGAGTGGGTGAATGGAAGGAAATGATTGTTAGGGTTTCAAAACAGCGTTTTGATAAGTTGTTAATTAACAGTGTATATTCAACACGCAGCTGTCAAATATCTCTGGCCACCAAACGAAACCAGTAACTAGGAAGTACCCTTTTGTTGATAAATAACCATCACAAACTGTAGAGGGAGCCCGAGATAAAGAAAAGTTCCCTTGCTTCCCAAATTAAAAACAAAAGAAAACAAAAAAAAAGAAAACAAAAAGGTGGAAGCATGGATGATTCACTACATAATACAGGCAGGGGCTGAGCTGGGGTGAGGTGGGTGGAAAAGAGCTGGAAGCAATGTGTTCACGTCTGAGCGAAACATAGAAGAGCAATGCCTGCTGTACAGAGATGGGCAAAGCTTTTAGAGTCCACATATCACATTGTGGAAACAGCAGCAGTGTGATAAAGTTATGCTGAAAATGCACAAGACTAAAGAAGAAGAAGGAAAAGCAAAAGTGACTGCAAAAGGAGGAAAACCATCCAGCCTTTTCAGTGAGAAAAGCCATAGCTTTCGGGAGTAGGTCAGATACTAACAGTTTCATTGAAAACTTATCATTCAGGTAATGACATAGCAACTCTCATTTTTTTAAGGGAAAAAATATATTTGGCATATTTATGGTTTTATATGTACATAGTATATCTGTTTGTGGCATGATGGCTTATGCTTGACCTGATGGATTGTCAAATAATGCCCAGTAAAAACCAAAGTATCCCCAAACACCAAACTTAACTTATGAGACAAATTGAAGGAAAAATGTAGGCAGATTGTATAAATATGTCCTAGGAGATTTTGATTAAAATAGATCTAATGATTATCTAATGATAATCCAGCTGTCAAGTGTTAAGTGTAAATGGTAATTAGCTCATGGATGAAATTGTATATACATATGATTACTAGGTAATTAATCTTGATCTAGAAACTTAAAAATTTTAATGGATCCCAAACTAATATTAGTAAAAGCAGTAGGACAACTATTTTTCTTGAATCCAACATGACTGTCATCCAACAAAAAATGAGCATTAGTCTTTGAAGAGCATTGTGGAATTTAATTTGACTGAACAAACTGTGTAGCACTCACTCTGAACTAGAGACTGTGCCAGGTCCTGAGGACACAGAGATGAGTGACACATGACCCTGCCCTCCAGGAACCTACAGTAAAGAAAGGGGTCCTTCGCAGACAAAGGTTGGCTTTTATAAATTAAGGGAAAAAGCTAGAAAATGAAGCTGCAATAATGATAATTTATCATCACATGTTTCAATTCCTCATGGAAAAGTGTAGTAAGCCAAACAGCTGGGCTCTTTTGTCAATACATTAAATACCTGGAATGTATTGTGCTAATTATATACTCATATGTATTCAGAAAATAATAGCTAAGTGTAATCAGAAATTATGAACATGTTTTCTGGGTTGCTTTGTAAAGAATTTACTTTCACATATTTTATAACCAAAGGAAATAAATTTGAAATGGAACTTCAGGCATCAGCATGACTTGAAGGGCTCAGCACTGTGATGCCATGGGTTTGTCTAAAGAGCCACCTGAAAACAGTACCTTCACGATTCTGGGGCAAGTTATAGCAGTGCAGGTCAGGTCAATTCATTTGTGACCAAAGGATCTATTGCACACTAAATTATATGTTCTCCACAAAGTCCAAGAACAATATAGAACCTGATAATGTATCATATTTAGTTATTATATTAACAAAAACCTATACAACTGTGTATTTTGAACAATTTTAACAAATGTAATACTATTGCATAGTCTAGACCTTTCTCTTGAACTTCAGAGTCACACATTCAATTTCCTTCTTGACATTACTACCTGGATGACATCTCAAACACAGGATGATCGAAACCAAGTGTTGGATCCTTCCCATCAAAACCTGCTCTGCCTGCAGTCTTTCCTACCCAACTCAGTTGAAGACAACTCCATCTTTGTAGGTTGAAACTCTTAGGTCATTTTTGATACCTATCTTTCTCTCACATCCATATCCAATCTGTCATCAAATCTACCTTTAAAATATATGTCCAGAATCAGACCACTCCTCACCACCTCCACTGCTCCCACCCTGGCCCAAGCTACTATTGTTTGTCACCTGGGTTCCTGCATAAAGACATAATCTTATGTTGAATCTCATGCTTCTATCCTTCCTCTTCCCAATTTATTCCCTACACAGCAACTTGGGCAAACTTTTCAAAACCTGAGGCAGACAATGTCACTTCTCTGCTGAAAACTCTACAATGTCCTCCTTTCGTTCAGAGTAAAAGCCCTTAAGTGATTTACAAAGCCCTTAAATGGTTTACAAGGCCCTGCATGATCTGGGCCTTGCTAGTTCGCTAACCACATCACCTGCTGCCTTCTCCCTTCCTCAGTTTGCTCCAGATGCACTGGTCTCCTGTTCCTTAAACCCAGCAGGGTGTTTCCAACTCCCGACTGGCAGTGGCCATTCCCTGTGCCTGCAAAGCTCTTCCTGCCCAACACTTGCAGGGATAACTCTCCTAACCCTCAGGTGTTGTCTTCTCAATGAAGCCTATTCTCACCACTTGTTTTAAAACTGCAAACCAGCCACCCCCACACGAACTCAGAGATCCCTCACCCTGGTCTATTTTTGCTTTTCCATAGCATCTCCTATGCTAGGCCAGTCCCTGTTTAATTATTTTATTGTTTGCTAATCTGTCTTCCAGACTAGACTGTAAGCTCCATGAGGGCAGGAATCTTTGTTTTGCTTACCCACAATAGTACCTAGCACAGGGCAAACATTCAATAAATATTTGTTGAATGAATGAATATCAGCAATAAGGTAATTCTTGTACTATTTGAGATTATTTAACAATATTCAGTTGGTAGGATTCATTACCAATTTTTCTAAGGTCTTTCACTGTTATATGGATAGAAAACTGAAAGCTGTCTGGAGAAATTTGTTCTCATTATTGAAAGTGGCTTATATAAAGCAATTATTTTACAACGGATTTATGTACAATCATTTATAATATTTGCATGTATAACTAGTCATCTGTACTGCACAGATTCGAAGTAGATTCATGCATTGAAAGGTTATTTGTTGTGGGGAAAGCATCCCTTTCCTGGAGATAACATGTTATACATATTTTTCAAATAAATGTTACCTAGGAAGTATTTGTAGTGATGCTAAAATGTTACTCTTCATTTATAGAATGTCCATAAATCAGTGTATAAAGAAAGAAAGAAATCAGGCATCAAAAGTTCAAGGACATGATGTTTGGCTTTGCCCTTGAAAAACAAATATTGTGTTTCTTTAAATTAGTCCACATATAAAAGATGTTCTTTGATTTCTCACCAATAAATTACAGTTGAATAGGGAGAGGAGTGGTGTTCCTGTAAAGTACAGCACATTACCAAGAACAGATGAACTAAGAAATAAGCACTTCTCCTTTTGAAAACTGTAACTGCTTCATGTAAGCACAGGCAAAAGAATGTAAAGAAACACTGGGTCCTTGCATTCTGGAAAGATTTCGTAGTTGTAAAATCTATCAAATCTTAAATACTATCTTTGCTTGAAAAATAAGCAAAACCAAAACAGAGATGTTCTAGAATTCATGAACATATGTGATGCCAAGTGAATATATAATGTCTGGGGTATCAATTTCTTCCTATAAATTTATTAAATGGAGTATTATGAAGTTAAAGCTAGAATGGTATCTAGAGACTATCTAGGTCAAATCTTTCATTGAGCAGATGGAGACATTTAAACTTTATTTTTTAAATTTTACAAATGAGAAAACTAAGTCCCTGAGAGATTAAATGAATTTCCCAAGTTCAGATGACTAGTTAGATAATTATTAATTACCCACTACAGTTACCAGGAGAAACTGACATTGAATTCTATCTTAAAGATGATATTTTGCCTGGCAACCCCTAAGAACTGCAGAAGAAATTTGAAGCTATTCCCTATGGATGGAAGTTATAGTAAGGAAAGTACAAGTTCATGTGCCCAGATGGGTTGAAGTTGTTTTAACATATGGAGATGCTTGTGACGTAACAGATCCAATGGAGAACAATAGGATTATTCTATCTTGAACTGCAAATTTTAAATATAAAATGTAAAATTTGGGACTTAAAGGTCATGAACAGTTTGCAAAGACTAGTCAAGTCTAACAGAGAAATGCTCTCCATTTCAGAAGTTGAGAGGCACTGAAAACACTGTGTTATCTCTTCAAGATCACATGGTGAAACTATTAGTCAAAAAAACAAACTAAAAACCCCCAAAAAACCACCAGTTTTTAGAGCAGGTGTCATATTGGTCTTTGTTAACACTGTAAGGCACGGAGTCGGGAAAGACTTTAGATGTTTACACACAAATTCATACTGACCTGCTTAGACTTGATAGGAAGAGTTAAGACACAGATTTTAAAAACTAAAGCTTACTTGGTGGAAGAGGCTCATCGATTGTTGGGTAGTGATGATGTTCAGGCCTCAGGGAAGGAAGCTGGCTTACTGGCTGGGAATTATGGAGTATAGGACATTCACCTACGGACAAGATAGTCAATACATTCAGATTCATTCACTGCCGTGGCAACATCATCAAAAAAGCATGACTGTAAAACTAAGCACTACAAGAAACAACCCCAAAGAGTGGGAAATCCATTTGTGTGTGTGTGTCAGTTTGCTACATTCACAGTCATTCGTGAGGGGGGAAATATTTTTTTAAAAAAGAAGAAAATCAAAACACTTCATAACTAATGATCTGCGCCACACAGTCCAATATGTAGGATTTGAGTCTGATTCTGTAATGACCCGAATTTCCTGAATCAGAAAGTGGCACCAGAAAGGAACACAAGAGAAAATTAGCAGAGCCTGATTTTAGCCCAGTGGAGGAAATAGGCCTGTTTGAGGGAAATGCAGCGTTTTATAAGGTTCCACAAAAGTTCCTTGGGCTTATGCAAAATGACACCTCCTCACTTGGATAGGTTTCATCACAGGGCTGCCGAAAGGCTGTTTTTCAGATTTTTGAGGGGAATGAACTCTTAGATGGTACCAAGACAGGTCAAGGAGCTGGCGAGCCAAGAAAGTAAATTCCTGTAGTAGGAAAGCTGGAGGTTGGGGGGTTGGGGAGGGGAGCCAAGGGGCTGAGGGATCTCAGGACTGTCCAGATTATTTTGAGGAGAAATCAGACAAGCCAGGGTGCTCCGGAAAGAGGAAAGGACAAGAGACAAAGGAAGTAGATAAAAAGCAGAAAGACGGCGACAGGAAAGCTCAAAACACAGAAATGGGAAAGAAGGAGGAAGAAAGACAAACATGGAGAAAGTTTAGAAATAAACATTATATCCACAGGATGCATGCCTCAGATTATTAAAAGAAAACCTACAACAGACATAGCTTATACTGTTCTCAGTTCGGACTTATAATGAACTGAACGATGTTCTGAAGTGGTGTCCTCAGGCATGTAGAGCAGCCATGCAGAAGGCAGGCCTGCAGCACCAGCTGCTTGGGTCACATAATCAGAGGCCAGTGCTCTTGATCTTTGCAGAGTGAGAAGGGCCCGGGACAAAGGATGGCCCTTTTTTCAGATGGTTCCTCCTGCCTCACACCATGCTGGTTTTCTTGCAAAAGCCTTTAAGGGCCAGAGGGCAAAGGTCAGGCCTTTTCCTTCTTCTGTCCTCTGCTGATGCAAATAGCAAGTGTTCCATTATCCCTTGGGTCAAAAAGGAGAGAGACTGAAAAATGGTGGTCAAATGGTTGTAGGATCTCAAATGCTGAATATTTCCTAGAATATCCACACATGGAAAGGATGGTTATTTCTTCTCACTCTAGTTCTACGGAACTGATCAAAAATAAAAATAAATTAATTAGGAAGAAAGGTGGGTTTAATTTTGTGATTTAATTCCTAGAGCTCACTGGCAAACAGAAGGAGAGATATATTCAGGAACAAAGGGTCCTTTTAAATGTTAAATATAGAACATTATTTGTTGAGCAAATTCTGCTATGTTACTCAAATCCTCTGGGTCCTTGGAGATGCTAATGGAAAACAAGGAAGGTTCCCCTCATGCCGGCACCCAGTTCATTGTGGACAGACTGCTGTTCCAAAGATGGGCTCTGTGTTTAAGTGGATACCACACTCATGTTTGTTTGTATACATGTTTAGTGTCAGAAATTAAACAAAACCATGGTATAGTTGTTATGTCATCAGCTGCTGCATTTTTAACTTAGTTTCTTTAAAATCAACAATAGACTTACCTCTTGAAATTAATGCAACCAATCAGGTTAATTACTCCTCCAAGCTAGTGGAAATACAACATTGTTGACTGCCTGGGGTTAATGCAGCTGATCCCACCTGCTTGTGAACCCCAAGCAAATGCAATGATGTGACCAACATGTCTCAGCCGACTGAATGGATGGAGGCACTGAAGAAGCAAGCAGTTCTATTCTGCACAAGGACAGGGTTCCACATCATCACCCTTGCCTCAAACACAAAGCAAGTGTTGAAACCCGCCAGAACCTCCCAGAAAGAGATCTATTCCTCAGCTAAAAGCAAGCAACGTCGTTTTAAATTCCCTTCTATTTATAAATAATATAACCTAATTGTAGAGAAAGATAGGTTGCCTTGCATATTATTTGAAGCAAAGTGATTTATACCTAATAATGTGAAAATTTCCCTTGAATTATAAAGTACAGGAAATGCAAATTCAAAGGATTGTTTTAGATGCTTTATACAACATAATATAAACAGTTACCCTCACTGCTTGTCTGCCTGGAAGAACCCTCACTTGGTGGGAAGCAGAGTGCTTTTGTAGTATCATCTCATTAAATTTTCCCAACAACACTTTGAGGGAGATTCTGTAATTATACCCATTTTGCACATGAGGAAACTGAGGCACAGAACAGCTAGGTAACTTGGTGAGGAAGTGGGAGGAGTGAATATAAATCCAGGAGGCCTGACTCCAGGGCCTGAGCTCATAACAATGACATTATGTTACTCTTTTCATTTATCTGCAGAAGGTCTTTCAAGAACTATTTTAAATTAAACTTTTAAAAAGGAGGTATTTATAGAGGGAAATAAAGCAAAAAGTATGAAAAGAATACTAGCCTGTATAGTTGTCAGTTCAGACTTAGAACAGTGTTCCTCTATAAATTGTTGCAGCCTTATCTATGTGGGCACGTGGACAACAAATCCACCTGGGTTAATCTAATGCAGTTTTTTTTTCTCTCTCTCTTTTTTTTTGAGACAGAGTTCTGCTCTTGTTGCCCAGTTGGGAGTGCAATGGCACGATCTCAGCTCACTGCAACCTCTGCCTCCTGGGTTCAAGTGATTCTCCTGCCTCAGCCTCCCAAGTAGCTGAGATTACAGGTGCCCGCCACCGTGCCCAGCTAATATTTTGTATTTTTTTTTTTTTAGTAGAGACAGGGTTTCACCCTGTTGGCCAGGCTGGTCTTGAACTCCTGACCTCAGGCAATCCACCCACCTCGGCCTCCCAAAGTGCTGGGATTACAGGCGTGAGCCCACACACCCAGCCGTCTAATGCAGTTTCTACAGTAAAGGAATTTGCAATCTTAGAAGTCAAGGCGAAGGAGCAATAGGGATTTTTATGGAAGCAGAGGTCACCCACACAATCACGTATCAGGCAGGTCATGTTAAAGCCCTGCTTTCTTGAAGCATCTGCTGTTGTGAAGCCTGGTGGCAAGTGAAGGACAGTCCCACAATGCAGACACGGTTAGCCTGGGGACTCACTGCTGAGGCGGGGAAGGATGGCTGGGAAGAAGTCACATGCCAGCGTGTGCATGGCCTTCAGCAGATCAAGAGACCCCTCGGGAATCTTTTTATTTCCCCTTGTGATCGCCATAGTGAAGCATGTAGGTGCTTCTTAACCTTTTCTGAGTTTACACTCTGCAGAGTTCAGGAACTTAGATATTTCTTTAGAAACTGCCAGTGCCAATTCAGAGATGTCCACTGTGACCCTGAAACACTTCCTGCTCTTCCACCTGCTAGACTGTTGGCCTCTAAAGGGCAAGGATGTGACTTTTTTGTTTGTAAAACATGATCTTATATAAATTTACATTGAGCCAAGTTTCAATTGACCATGTGTAGATTATCTCCCAACATGGGGGCCAAAAAACTGTGCACTAAAACAGGGTTGTATGGCTCTGAGCTAAGAAAAGTGTCAGTACACTTTTTAATACAAAAAAAAAAAGCTTTTTAGTGAGAACAGTTATTTAGCTTTTTACCTCTTGACCCACAAAGCCTAAAGTATTTACTATCTGGCTCTTCACAGGAAAAATCTACAGACCTCTGTAACCCAACATCCCTGCCAGCTCCTATGTGTGCCTTTTATGTGGGAATCCCCCAATCTCCTTTTGTTGTATTATTTTAATTATGCTGTAATTATCGAGTAATGTCCATACATCACCTGATGCCACTCCATCTTCCTGCGCCCAGTGCATTACATCTGGCCTAGAATAAAGGAAGTCCTCGAAACATCCTTGTGAAAGAAAGGCATTTCCCATTCCCTTCTACTCACAGGAGGGATTTTCCATCCCGCTCCTTGTGGGTACCTTTCCATGCTGTCTGTTTTACCTTTCTGCCTGTGTTTCTTTTTCTCTACCAATTTCCTTGCGTTTCTCATTATTGCATGTGCCACCTTCTCTCACTCTTTTTCTGAAATGTAGAAGCGGGCATTATTGAATACTTAAAATTATTTTTTTTAATGCTCACTTTAGCTCCTGTTAAAAAAAAAATTTGTAGGCACCAGGGGTTTGTTTAGGTGCTAAGAATTCAAACATAAAGAAACACAACTCTGGCCCTTGATGAGCTTACAATCTAGAGAAAATATCCCCGCCTTTTGTTGGAGGCTAATTTCAACAGCAGAACAGCAAAATAGCAGAGGCTATGTTTTTCTCTTTTAAAACAACTGAATTATTTCATATTATTATGTGACTTTTCAATTTTTTTTCCCAGTCATACCACTGTCACTTGACTGGAAGACAGTTTCCACTCCTGGATAAGGAAATGCAAATTAATTTCACATATAATTCCACAGGCATGACTAAGAAAGAACATCTTTGGTTAAAACACAGAATACGTTTTAAAACTAATGGTGGCAGCTTTTGGATTTGATTCTTATTGGAAACAAAGTCATTTATACACAATCATGTTATTTTTCCCTTCCATTAGCCAAAATAGCCAACAACAACAACAACAACAACAAAACAAAACCAACAGTAATAACAAGAATTGAGTGGACATAAATAATGACAAATATATGTAGGCTAGACATATCTATATGTACGTACATGGGCTAGTTGAATTCTAAAACAGAGGTAAAATCTGTTCTTCAACTAATATTAACATCTATTGCTAATCTTCCATGTGCTTTGAAAGTCAGCAGATATTTACACATTATCCATTTAATGTAGATAGATTTTTCCCATGTATATCATTTGATACTAGTCTTGGGGCTCTGGCTGCTGTTAAGACTAGGATAACATGTACACTAACCAGTTCTGGTGATTAGTTAAAACAAACATAGAAGCACACATACAAGTGCACGCTCACATCCAACCAGTCGTAATTCCTGGTGTGTATCTGAGACATTGTGGGGTGTCAGCTACTCACAGTCATCTATGCTCATACACAGATACACATGCACACATGTATATACAAGACAGGCATACATTGCCCCAGCAACCCCGTTTGACACCGATCCCCCGCCCTTCTTGTTTTTAAACTGTTGGTGACACCTTTGTCCCCCTGATGGTCCTATTCTCACTCTGATCAGGTTTGAGGTCTAACCTTCTCTCCGATTGCTTGGACCTGCCACGGGGGATTCCAGACCTTCCGGGCTTCTTTCCACGTGCCCGCTAGGGGCGGCCAGCTCGTCTTGCCACGGCCCAGCGCCGTTCGTGGACTCCGGGTCCAGCTCAGGGCTCTGCATGGAGTCGGGTACCGACTCGAACGCGCTGTTCTCCTCCTCCTCGTCGTCTTGCGAGGAGAAGACCGTGCTCTCGGAGATCTTGGCGCTGTCCACGGAGGAGAAGCGCGTGTGGCTGGCGAACCTGTTGCCGTTGTAGCAGGAGGGGCTGTAGCACGAGGCGCTGTAGCACGAGCTGCTGTAGCAGGACGTGCTGTAGCACGAGGAGCTGTAGCACGAGGGGCTGCAGCAGGACGCGTCACAGCCCTCGCAACTGTGGTCCCCGCCTTGCCTGGGGCTGGAGTCGCTCTCGCTCCCGGTGCTGGGGTGCGTGTCGCCATCCTGGGCCGCGCCATTGGCCAGGCTGGGGAAGTGGCCCCCGGAGTGGCCAGGGTGCGCCGTGCCTGGAGTAGCCCCCTCGGGCTCTTCTCTGTCCTCTTCCAGGGCAGACGGGTCAGCGGCCACCGTGTCCACCTCGCTGAGCCCATCCTTCTCCGAGGAGTCCTTGAGGGTGGACTCCTCCTCCGCGCCGTCCTCCTCCTCTGCCGCGCTGCCGCCCTGGGCGGAGGGCATGCTGTGCAGCAGGGTGTGGATGCGGATGTAGTGTGTCCGCGGGGTCTCGGGGTCCCCGCAGGCTGACGCGATCACCGTCTCCAGCTCGGACACAGGCAAGGAGCAGGGCCTGCTTTTTCTCTTCACCGAGGCCCGCAGCTGCAGCCTGCCCTCTCCCTGCTCCAGGGTAGACACATCTCCCTCCTCCTCCTGCTCCTTCTCCTCTTCTTCCCTTCCAGCCCGGCTCTGGGTCGTTGCTTCCTCCTCCAAGGGCTCCTCCTTGGTGCTGGCTGGGGCTTCACCGTCTTCCAGCAGCAGTGCTGATGCCTCCTCACCCAGGTCCAGCTGCTCGGCCAGCTCTTCTGCACTGGGGGCAGGCTGGATGTCCTTTTGCACCTGGGCCAGGAGCTCCCCAGCCCCTTCAGGTCCCACAGAGACCATGCCCTGGTCTCCTGCCTCCGTGATGACTGCTGCTTCCTCAGCTGGTCTGGAAAGCTCTATGCTTTGGTTCCCTGGACCATCGGGGACACTGCCCTCACCCAGCTGCTCTGGCTTCCAGCTCTCAGAGGACTCTGGTGCCTCAGACCGAGGTTCCCCACTGCCGCTTTCCATCAGGTTGTTCATGGGGCTGTCCTGAATTTGGGCTGACTCAGGCTCGGTACTCAGGGAAATCTCCTCATCATCTGCTGGTAAGAAGAAAAATATGTCATTTCTCCCAGAAGAGAGCATTGTGGTGTTAGGATACCCTGTGGGACATGTAAGCCATCACTAAGGGATTTCTACATTAGGATATTGAATGTAGGTTGATGAGGGTTTCTCACTGGCCAGAGCTCTAGTGAAAAATTCTGTAAGAATGAGTTCTTGCTATGTTAACAACAACTTGCAGTCATGGATATATTTCCGAAATACGATTCAAAAAGGGAATTCATCTTTTGGTTAAAATGCCCAAAGCCTAGCACTAACCCAGTTCTGGGCACATAGTAGGTGCTCAACAGTGTTTGCCACATGGAATGACTTCCAGGGATGAGGGTAGTAGTGGTGTTATTTATAGCTCCTTGATGATTATATTTAGTTAATTGCATTTGCTCAGAATGTTTCCTATGCTTAGGTCCTGCAGGGTGGCATAAGGGGTAAGCAGGATTCTCAGGCAACCAGATTCTTCAAAGGCTGGATGAAGAATAGGAACAATCACAGTCATTCAATATCTCAGGCTGGAAGGTTCCCAACATTTAGAGTTTATTCCAATTTAAAAAAAACAAGGTCTTCACCTCAAGCAGCCATTCACGAGGTAGCATCCAGCCAGTGTTTAACTCTACCTTCCTGCAGCTGTTCTACTGGATTCCTGCCAGATGTGAAATTCCCCATTTCAAATGCATTAGTGCAAGTCACTAAAGAAAATCAGTCCCTCTGGTGAGCTGTAAAGCTGTCCTTATGGCTACACCAAAGGAAGAGTCAGTTGTATTCTCAGAATATAGAAATAGACTGAATTTGAAAAGACAAAATAGTCAAGGTGTTTTCTTACAATCTAAGTTGTATATTGGCACAGGAAAGTAGACCTGGAGTTTAATGAGTGGGTAGTGAAAAACTCCAGGCTCTAAGTTCTCAAGAGCTTCATTAGACTTAACAGCAACTTGTAAATGGTCCAGGAGGTCCTAACAGTTCTCAGTATGATCTATATTGAGATGTATGGGGGCTGCAGAAGAAGAGCAAAAATAAAATTATGAGGCATCTTATCATTCGTATTTTGAAATCTGTTTTAGCATTAAATGGAACACTGGATGATTCTGGAGTTTTCTGTCCTATTTATACTTTTCTTGTTTTTCTGTGATATTATAAAAATTCATTGTACAATTATAGTTCTTCAACATGACATTCTTCAGCAACTGGCTAGTCTATATCTAGTTACTAGGTAGAAAGATGTTTCACGTTCATTCATTCATTCATGTATGTGATGATTAAACACCTATGTGGGTGCTGGGGGTAGGATGATAAATAAGACAGAACTCCCTATCCATGTTGGCCTCATTGTTAACCTTCAGTCCACTGTCTACTCTGTACCTTTGGGTCACTAGAATGAAGAGGAGCTTCTCTATCAGGGGGACAGCAACCTGGCTTCCAGAATAGATCACTGGCTTCTGGACCTCAAATGGAGAAGATAACCACAAAACCTAGGATACATCTGGAGAGAACCATAGTTATTGTATTTTAGAAAAAGGAACCACACTTATGACACTAGCCTAGGACAAGACATGAAGTTCATGCTGAAAATACCTGGGTGGATGGAGGAAGTGATCTCAAATCGGAATTGCAGCTGTCCACTCACATGATCTGTTGGAAGCCTGCGGCCAAGTGTGTAGCTGACCACCCTATCCCTAGAAGGAAATAAGCACCATCACAGTTCTGGTCAATACCTCTCTTCCTAATGACCATGCAGTGTGCTTTCTATACCAGTGGGTGAGGCAGGCAAGCCCAGGGAAGTCCTGATGTGCTCAACAGCAATACAAAACTGTAAGGAAGTCCTTATCGAATACAGATGCCCCTTGAACTACCATGGATTATGACCCAATAAACTCATCAAAAGTTGAAAATACTGGCAATTCAAAAATGCATTTAATACATTTAGCCTGCCAAACATCATAGCTTAGCCTAGACTACCTTAAAAGTGCTTGGAACACTTACATTAGCCTACAAGTATGCAAAATCATGTAACACAAAAACAAAACTATTTTATAATAAAGTATTGGATATCTCATGTAATTTATTGAATACAGTCTACTGTAGAGTACAGTATCACTTGTTTACCCTGTGATCACATGGCTGACTGGGAGCTATGGCTTGCTGCTGCTGCCAGCTTCACGAAAGTATCGTGTTGTGTATCGCTAGCCAAGGAAAAGATCAAAATTCAAAATTCAAAATTCGATGTATGGTTTCTGCTGAATTCATTGTAAAGCAAAAAATGGTTAAGTTGAACGGACTGTCTGTATTCTAAAGCAGGGGTAGGGTAGGCAAATTACAGCCTGTGGGCTAAATGTGGCCCACCACCTGTTTTTGTGTGGTTGTGAGCTTTTTACATTTTAAATTGTTGGAAAAAGAAATAAAAGAAGAGTAACATTTTGTAGCATGTGAAAATTATATGAAATTCAAATTTCAGTGTCCATAAATAAAGTTTTATTGGAGCACGGCCATGCTTGTTAGCTTACGTATTATCTGTGGCAACTTTCATGCTATATTGGTAGAGTTGAGTAATTTAGACAGGGACTGTGGGCCTTGCAAAGCCTAAAATATTTACTACCTGGCCCTGTACAAAAAAGTTTGCCAACCTGTGTTCTAAAACAGAGAGAGAGAGAGAATAAAAAAAGACACGGATGTCCTTGGCCTGCTTTTCCTGTGCAGATTGCCATTTTCCAAATATGTCCTCAACGATGGACAGTGCCAGCAGATGCATATCTTGTGGTATATATGTAATGTCTAAGAAAGGATGCTGTCATGGTTACTGGAGAGTCTGTGGGCGCTACAGAATGGCACCTGCTCCAGGATGGAGCAGAGCAAGACTCGTGGGCTGAATTCTTTGGCTTGTGAGTTCCACTTAACACCAATTGCAGGGCTCCACATGTAGGGACCCCAAGTCTCCACCCTGGATTTTCATGCCATCCCCTCCACCCCCTCAAAGCAATTTCTTAATTATAAAAAGAAAACTTTCTAGAGGCAATCAACCTGAAACTTTGCTATTATATTTTCATTAACAATGCAGCTTCAGCAGAGTAAATTGCCCCTTACCTGGGCCTAAATAGGAAGAGTGACCACCTTTGGATATTCAGGAGTTAACAAACCCAGGGTACCCAGTAATAACAAACACATAGCCCCAAACCAGTTGTTACTCAGATGACTCTGTATTTATTCCATTTATTAGTTTGTGACATGAAAATAAAAAGATAAATCACTGGCTGATAGTGTTTTAATGTTTCTTTCTAGAAAACACTGGCATTATGAGACAACCTATATCCCAACAAGCCCCGACTTAAAAATTGTTCTTTGATAAGCCATGATTTAGTGTTTGGAGTTCCTCAGAAGTCCATTAAGTAAAGCATTATGTGCAGAAAAAAATAGGATGAGCTTCAGTATTTTGTCTGTTTAGAAAGAGCCTTTGGTCAATATTATGAAGTAGGTCTATTATGACCATAACAAAGACATCCCGAACCCAAAACTTAATTGAAATCAGGGGAGGCCTAAAGACAATCAGACAGTGGCACAAAAATTACATTTATTATGCTTTGCATTTACTTTCAGGGCTTTTCTTTTTTTTGCTTTTCACCCACTTAACAAATATTTTTTGAGCCCCTGCCATGTGAAAGGTGCTGCAGTTGATACAAAGCATGTCATACATCGCCCCTGCCTTTAAATAGCTTATGTCCAGCTGGGGGCATAAGGTAGGACCACTAAATAATGGTTCAAGACAGCCAGTGACACTTCAATGCGAAGGTGAGATGGTTAGAGTTACAGGCAGACAGCCAACAGAAGCCTGGGATTTTACAGGCCAAGGAATCGAAGGAGGATTGGAAATGAGAGTGCATGTGTGCCCAGGGGGGAAAGGTGCAAATATCTCAGGGCAGGGAGGCAGCCAGTACAGGTGGAGCCAAACGTTTCAGAAACCACGGATGCAGGGGGCTTTATGGGGAGAGCATGTGCTGAGGGCAGAGGGAAGCTGCGGTGCAAAGTGGATTCACTTTTGTTGTGGGTGCACTCTGGGGTTCTGCCATGGCTCAGGCTGCATGGCCACTGCTTCCATGGCCATCACCCCAACACTCTGCTCCTAACCACGGTGGGACACCTCCGGAGGAGGCAGCACTGCAGAAGTGGCCCCCAGGGGCTGTGGAAGCAGAAGGCTTTGGAGGAGGAGCTGCTCTGCGCCGCCACCAGGGGGCAGTCTATCATCCCATCAAAGAGGGTGGGAGGAAAAACGCCTCCATGGCTTGCTGTTGTTGCCTCTTGGAGAGGTGTAAGCTCAATCACACTCGATCTGTGCTCTCCATTTCCCTGGGTGGCAAGAACACTGGGAAAATCATAGCTAACCTTCTTTTGGTCGGGGACACCCTTTTCCACCTCAGGTACTTGCTTTCAGCTGGGGATGTGCCTTTCCACAGTGGGAGGCTTGGAGGGCGGGACAGTGCTAAGAAGATAGGAGCCGGCAGCTTGGACTTAGGAGAGAACTCAGCATGGGAGGGCAGAGGGGCTCTGCGGCTGCAGCGAGCTGGAGAGAGAAGTTCTGTTCCTTACGTACGAACTGGTATCTATCTAATGCATGCTGGGCGGCAGTGCACTGGGTGCTGGGGTAGAAAGAATCCCACACAGCCCCTGTTTTTGTTCTCCAGCCCACCCCCTGGCAGAGGTGCTAACAGCTGTGAGAGCAGCCAGTAGGGCAGAGAAGGAGAGAAATGAAAAGCATGGCCCACAATAAACTACAGAATCAGTCCTAGGAACCCTGAGAGAAGCCTGTTGTGTGGGGATGGCCCTCGGACTTTGGAGAGACACAGGTGTGAGTCTGAATTCCGGCCGGATCTCTGCCACCCACAAGCCTTGGGTTTACATAATTATTGATCCTTTTGAAGCCTTGTTTCCTCGTGCAGGAATGGTGATAATGCTGTCACAGAAGCATTATGAGGACTAAATGAAATAAAAAAGATCACAAGGAATACCATTTTCTTTTGTGTTCCTACTACGTGCCAGTGGCCGTGCTAGGTTCTTTATGTACACTTTTTGTCTGTTTAATCCTCACAACCATGAATGGCAAGTGCAAACACTGCATGTGACACGTGACTGCAGCTCCATAAACTCAGCTCCCTTTGGCTGGAGAGTTAGTGGCAGGTCTCTGTGCACCCTGCTGCCTACACACCATAAGGTTCCAATTAATAATAAATGTCTTTATGATAATTATCCGTGATTCCAAAGTCCTTCTGATAATCCAAAGAACTTTAAATTAAGACACTTGGAAATTCTGCATATTTTTTTCTCATTCTTTTGCTATCTTTGTAAGGGTTACATTGTATATAAGTATATGTTTATCAATAGAAAGCTTTATTTAGTGTTTTCAAATGTAGTCCCTGTTACCTAAAGAAATACATATTATACATAGGGCTGTTATCTGGTCATAGTCCACTTTAATGAGAACCATGAGTGGACATGAATGTAAAAGAGACAAAACAGAAACCCATTCTCATATACAATTGAATTCTGTGAGCATCTTAATTGCTGTCATTCCATGAGAATCATGCTTTCAAATTCTTATCCATGTTATCTAGCATCTGCAGATACTAGTGTCTTCTAAGTAAGAAACTCTACAGTAGTTACCCAGTATTCCATCTTGTTATGGAAATGTCACATATGATTAAATCTTACATACCAGACTGGCATATGAATGAAATAATATTCTTCATAGTAAAACAAACTTTAGTTTCTACCTGTACAGAAAAATGCCCCATTGAGGGCTTCTTTTAATACTGTTTAATATTTTTAATAGGATTTTTTACTCTCTTGGGTAAGTAACCAGTGTTACACATCAAGTGAAAAGGGATGGGTTTGTTTAATATAACAAACACTTATGTTGGCTCAGGCAACATAATTAGTAGGAAAAACAAAGGAAATATAATGATACCATTTTGACTCTCTGTGAGACTATACTATTGCAGCCTACAGGCCACCTTTGGGCACGACCTGTTGGTGGGAACCTAGTGATAGTAAGATCTCAGTCACAGGTTTACCCTATGGCGTGTCTCTCCAGGAGTCTTTGAACGGGCATCGACAGCTTTCCCAAGAAGCGCTTGATGATGGGGCGGCTCTTGGCAAACTTGTCCTTCACCTCAATTTCCAGCACGTCAGTGGGCAAGGACACAAAACTGAATTGCTGCAATGAAAGAATATGTCACATCAATTAACTGAGAGGTTGGAGGGCTGGTCAATTCCCAGTCCATCTGCCTTGATGCTGTCACTGTAAAACATCCTAGCTATAATATACCTATATATAAAGGGTCTCAGAAATGTTGTGAACCTGTTTATTCAGTAAATGAGGGGCAGCGACAAGATGCTTCTGCAGGGCTTAAAAATAGGCTTATTCTTTGAGATTCAAGCAGTAAAATCAGCATGCTTTAAAGAGAAAGAATGCCACCAAAGCCTCATCATACTTGATTGAAGGTATTATCATACTTTAAGAAAGAACAAGCACAAACTCACCTGTAATTAAGAAAATGTACTTTAAATAAACAATGCAATATGGTTTTTCATGATTATGATGGAAGAGATTTCTAGAAGTTTGGTAATACCCTGGATCCTTGAGAGGGGGAAGAGACAAGAATTCTCACACTGTTTTGGTGGGAATGCAAATTGATTTGACCTTTGGGAAAGGAACTGGCAATATTTACTGGCATTTAAACTGCAAATTCCTTCAACCTAGAATTATATTTTTAGAGATTTTCCTTCTGGATTAATTTGCGCAAATGTGCAAAAGATACATTTAACAGGGATGTTTATTGGAGCATTACTAACAATAGTAAAAGACTGGAGAAAAACCCAAAACTGTTTACAAAGAGGAAACTGGTTAAGTGAAGGCTGATAAATCTTTGAAACTGAGAACTCTGCCTTCGTTAAAAAGAAAGGGGTGAATCAACATACACAGACATGAAAAGACACCCGAGAAACTAGGTGAAAAAGCAAAGCACAGAAGAATACGAAGAGTAGGATTTCATTTGTACTTTGAACTGCAGAGAAAATGTCTAGAGGGGGATGCTCCAAACTGAAGTCCAGGAAGTGGGCTGGTAGGGGAGGGAGAAAGCAGGTCTTTTATATTTTACTTCATTTGATTCTAAAGTATTCATTTGTTAGCCGGTTATGGTGGCGGGCATCTGTAATCCCACCTGCTCTGGGAGACTGAGGCAGGAGAATTGCTTGAACCTGGGAGGTGGAGGTTGCAGTGAGCTGAGATTGCACTACTGGACTCCAGCCTGGGTGACAGAGTGAGACTCCATCTCAAAACAATATACACAAAAATTTTAAAAAGTACTTGTTTGTTAAATAGTGTATGGTGTGACTTTTAAAATAAAACAATACCAATTAAAGGAAGACCGTGACCATCAGAAGTTGGCTTGGTCAACATGAATGTCAGGCCTCAGAGCCCAAGCTAAGCCATCATATCCCCTGTGATCTGCACGTATACATCCAGATGGCCTGAAGTAACTGAAAAATCACAAAAGAAGTGAAAATGGCCTGTTCCTGCCTTAACTGATGACATTACCTTGTGAAATTCCTTCTCCTGGCTCAGAAGCTCCCCCACTGAGCACCTTGTGACCCCCACCCCTGCCTGCCAGAGAACAACCTCCTTTGACTATAATTTTCCACTGTCTACCCAAATCCTGTAAAACAGCCCCACCCATATCTCCCTTCGCTGACTCCCTTTTCGGACTCAGCCTGCCTGCGCCCAGGTGATTAAAAAGCTTTATTGCTCAGACAAAGCCTGTTTGGTGGTCTCTTCACATGAACACACGTGAAAATTAAAAGTGTAAAAAGGAGACTCGGGAAGGTAAATGTTGGCATTGCCCAGCCCAAACTACCTGGGAAGAGGAAGTCTTAATTAACATTGAATGTTACAGTCCCCTTAATCAAGGGCTGTGAAACACCTGAAATAAATACATATTTTTCTTTTATTCTGATGAATCCTAACAGCAATCCTTTTTTTTTTTTTTTTTTTTTTGAGACAAAGTCTAGTTCTCTTGCCCAGGCTGGAGTGCAGTGGCACAATCTTGGCTCACTGCAAGCTCTGCCTCCCAGGTTCACGCCATTCTCCTGCCTCAACCTCCCGAGTAGCTGGGACTATAGGCATCTGCCACCACGTCCAGCTAATTTTTTGTATTTTTAGTACAGACAGCGTTTCACTGTGTTAGCCAGGATGGTCTCCATCTCCTGACCTCGTGATCCGCCTGCCTCGGCCTCCCAAAGTGCTGGGATTACAGGCGTGAGCCACCACGCCCGGCCTAGCAATCTTTTAACTTTAGTTGATTTCTATTTACAGAGATTAAATATGTTGGGCATGCTAATGTGAGTATCTTCTTTGTGGCAGTCAGGATGAGCTAGGGCATGCTGCACTAACAGCCAACTTCCAAGTCTCAGGGGCTTCAAGTTGTATTTCTTGCTCACATTCTCACTGTGGGCTGATGGAGCAGCCACCCTCTCAAGCATTGCCAGTTACAGTGACAGAGGCAAAAAGAGCTCCCCCTGTAAATAAGTGTTCACTTCCAAACATAGCTCCTCAGAACTAGACACAGGCCCCAGCCACCCTCAGGGAGCAGGAAGTATAATCCTATAAGGTGCCTGGGAGATGGACCACAGAAATATTTGACAAACAGAACTAACGAGTTCCACAGTGACCATGTGGTACGTCTGATTGCTATTATAAATCAGTTTTAGTTAACTCCTATATAACTCCTAAGAACTAATCATTCCCAGTACTGAGAAAACTGAGTTATGGACATGTCAAGTTTGAGAATCCAACCCAGGAATAGGTACTACTCTAAAAAGGCCTTCCTAAGTGAGAATCCAGCCCTGCTGATTGTCTCAGGTCCTTAAAACTTCTATATCTTTGGTCCAGTTATTCCATTCTGGAGTGTATTATAATATATCTTCTAATCTAAATACCCAACAATAGGTTAGGTATAGGTGATATGCACATATAATAGTTTAACTTTTCTAAATTATAATAATTTATATATAAATATATATAATTACATGTAACACTAAATGCTAATAAGATGGGAAATGCTTGTTTTGCAGTGTTAAGTAACACAAACAGGACAAATACAATTCATGATCACAATAATATGAATTATATGAATAGAAAAAGACTGGAAAAAATTACAACAGATTTTATAACAGTTGTTTTACCAAGTAAGAATATATTTTCCCCCATTTCCTTTTTCTGTATTTTCCACACTTTCTATAATGAACACTTATTATTTTCACAAGGAAAAACGTAATCACCTTTATTAAAATGAGACTATTTCTACCTACAGTAGCCTACATGGGACACTGAAGCTAGCTTATCAAAATATATTATGAAACTTAGTGGGAGCTTCTGGGTTCTTTCCTCCCTCCACAAGAACTTTCTTCTTAAACTCTCTTCACACACCCATCCCTTCATCCCAGACATCAACCTCTCTCCCCACCAGGCCCTTTTCTCCATGCCATGGTTACTGGAGTCCATGTAGACCCCCAGCTAGGTCAGGCTCTGTTAAGAACTAGTGAGTAGTCCTGAAAATGTAAAAGTCTGTCTGTTTGTGGACCAGCTACTTGCACCCATGAGCCTCAAGCCAGTACATGGATTTCACCTGGCTACCCTGACTTGGCCTTTACTTCAAGCCTCTAAAGAACCTTTGGAGTGAGATAAACTTGGCTTTATTCCTAGCTCTGCACATCCAAGTTCTGGACTCTGTTATTCACAACCTCTCCAAACCTCAGCATCTTCACCTGTAGAATGGGAAAAGAAGGCCCACGCCATGTTAGACCAAATTTCTTCCCTCTCCATTCCTATTCTATCCAGACCCCACCTGCCTCATGATTTACTATCACCTTCTCCTTTTGACTCTCTGGTTATTGAACTTTCTTAAGTTTACTAACTCATTTCAGCTGGCCCTTAATGGCCACTAATCCTATACAGCTGTTTGTAGTAATCTGTAGGCCTATTTCAAATGCTTAGTATGCAGACAAAATCTATGATTGTCCTATTACTAAGGCACACTCTTTGTTTCCAGAGAAACGGCCACTTGGTTAAAAGATAAATTTGTGAACTATATCTGCAAAAGGTTTTTTGTTTTTTTTTAAAAAAAAGGATGTATTGTTGCCTAAGCCCTCTGCTGGTTTGGGAATTTTATCTCTTTGCATCTTACTTCACCAGTGAAAGAAAACCAGTGTGGAAATGACAAAGCCAATCCTGGGCATCCTTGGGGGTCTGATGTCTGGCTATTTTCCATCTTTGTCCTTTACCTTTTGATCTGAGCTTTTCAGAGCAACTGTAACACATGCTTGGGCCAACCAATGAATAAATGGCTCCTCATCTTCTCACAAGCTGTGAAACTGTCCTAAACAAAAGTCTACTGGCACTCGGGTCAGAAAAGAAAGTTCCATAGGTCATTTCTTCATCAGAGCATCAGAGTCTGAATTCTCTTTCTTGGCTTCACTTTAGGACTGAACTGTCAGGCCTTTTCAACTGAGCAGCAACAGCAGGAAGACAGCTGTACAAGGCCCACCGCTGGGGCCACTATGAGCAAGAATGATGCATATGGTATTCCTACAGGGTCACGCACCCTTCTGCCTAAAAGTAAACTTTCTTTTGTTTAAGCGCAGATGTTGGGATGCTTACTTTTGCTTTGACCAGTGGGTCTTAGCCTTGGTTCTCAGAAAAATCTGGAAGCTTCCACAATAGTACCCATTACTGGGTCCCATTCTTGACTATATTAGACTCCCTTGAGAGAGCAGGGCACTGGTAGTGTTTAAAGCTTATCAGGTGACTCCACTGTGCAACTGGGTGGAGAACCACTGTTCTCTCAGTAATAATCTATTTTAATATCAAATAATGTTACAGTTAGGAAAGTATTTCTTACACCAAATCTAAATCTTCCTCTGTGGCCTAAATATTTAGTCCAATGATCTGTAAAGCATTCTTCAAACCTGAGTTTAATAGCTTATTTTTTGTTGGCATTCTTATTAATGGAAGCAGATGGAAGTGAATCTCTACCCATTAGATGCCAGTGACACTCCCCTAGATATGGTAGCCAAAAATGTCTCCAGACATTGCCTCATGTCCTTTGGGGAGACAAAATCACCCTTGTTGAAAACCACTGATGTGCTCCTATCATCTTCAATCGTCCAGAGAGATATTAGCACTGGTGCTGCAATATAGGAGGATGTTATTTATTTTGTTTGTGTTGTTTACTCAATAGGCCATTTATAGAACTAAGATGCTTATTATATTCCATCTTGCTTCAGAAAAGATCTGAGGTAGATCGCCTCTAAACAGAACTTTTATAAATTGAACTTAATGAAATTAAAACAGGGTAACTAACTAAAGGAAATATTTAATTGGCAATTATGTAAACTGGTAGCAGTTGCATAATGAGCAATTTAGGCAGAGATTAGGAGAGTGTTGGTAAATAAAGGAGGGGAAAGTTGTATCCATTCATTCATAAACACTTTTTGGGCACTGGCTGTGAGCTGGGTGCTGGGACACAGCTACCACCCTTCTGTGCTGGAGTGCTGGGGCCACAGCCTCCAACTTTAGACCTCAGAGTCTTACACTGCAGGCAGAAAATGACAAAGCAGAAGATGCTATAGTAAGGCTTCCCAAAGGCTCAGCCTGATGGACAGGTAGAGACGATTTCCTAGAGAACATAATGCTTTAACTGAGTCTTAAAAAATAAACAACTGGGCCGGGCGCGGTGGCTCACACCTGTAATCCCAGCACTTTGGGAGGCCGAGGCGGGCGGATCACGAGGTCAGGAGATCGAGACCATCCCGGCTAAAACGGTGAAACCCCGTCTCTACTAAAAATACAAAAAATTAGCCGGGTGTAGTGGCGGGCGCCTGTAGTCCCAGCTACTTGGGAGGCTGAGGCAGGAGAATGGCGTGAACCCGGGAGGCGGAGCTTGCAGTGAGCCGAGATCCCGCCACTGCACTCCAGCCCGGGCGACAGAGCGAGACTCCGTCTCAAAAAAAAAAAAGAAATAAAATAAACAACTGGCCGGGTGCAGTGGCTCATGCCTGTAATCCCAGCACTTTGGAAGGCCGAGGTGGGTAGATCACAAGGTTAAGAGTTCAAGACAAGCCTGGCCAAGATGGTGAAACCCCCATCTCTACTAAAAACTACAAAAATTAGCCAGGCATGGTGGCAGGTGCCTGTAATCCCACCTACTTGGGAGGCTGAGGCAGGAAAATTGCTTGAACATTGGGTGACAGAGTGAGACTCCATCTCAAAAAAAAAAAAAAGCAAGTGTCGGTGGGATGAAGAAGGGGTGGGAGGAACATTCCAGGTAGAGGGGTGCCATGGGCAGGGGCTGAAGTTCACAGAGTACATGAGTCCCTTGGGGAACTGCAAGTGGCTTACTACCTCTGGGTCATACTGGAGAATCTTGTTGTGGATGAAACTGAATAGATATGCAGAATCCAGATCATGAACAGCCTCCTGGCCACAGCTTGGACTTATCCTGAAGGCATCTGGGAGCAACTAAAGGATCTGCACCATGCAAATGACACACTCAGATCTGCAGTGTAGAGAAGCCACTGAGGCAGTGCTGAGGGGTGGCCCATAGATGGGTCAGGCCTGGAGGAGGCAGATCAGGTAAGATAAGTGCAAAGTGGTGGGGAGACTAGCAGGCAAGGAGAAAAGGGTGGCAGAGTGTGGACTGGTTAAATGTCAGTGAGAGCTATGGAATGTGGGAGAGGAAGAGGTCACAAATTCCCGAGCCTGGATTCCCAAGATTGAGGGCATGTGGGAGGAGTGACATAGCTAGGAATGCAGAGAGGGGCTGAATGACTGAGTGTCCCAAAGCAATGAAGGAACAGAATGATGGAAATAGAGGCCTGGGCATGGAAGGATAGAAGACTGTACAGGGCTGGAGAGCTTGTGATATTTCAACAAGTTCTACGGTATAAGTGCAGGAATAGATGGCTCATGGTGAATGTAATTGAAGGTCAAAGAGATTGGAGTGGTCAAGGAAACTATGAGTCATTCATGTAGACCTTGATCATCTGGAGAAATGTTAAAGACATTGTTAAAGAAAAATAAAAATGGGGCTGGATGTGGTGGCTCATGCCTGTAATCCCAGCACTTCGGGAGGCTGAGGCAGGAGGAATGCTCAGAAGTTGGAGACCAGCCTGGCCAACATGGGAAAACCCCCTCTCTACTAAAAATACAAAAATTAGCCAGGCATAGTGGCATGCGCCTGTAATCCCAGCTACTTGGGAGGCTGAGGCAGGAGAATTGCTTGAACCCAGGAGGCAGAGGTTGTGGTGAGCCGAGATCACCCCACTGCACTCCAGCCTGGGGGACAGAGCGAGACTCCATCTCAATAATAATAATAATAATAAAGAAAAATAAAAATGGAGGCCACAGTCTAGATATACCCCAAAGCCAACTGCCCATAACCATGTAATCAAAACTTGTCATCCTAATTTCCCTGAAAGGCTCTTTCTAATTATAAACATAAAATGTAAGCTTTACCATCCTTGTCCACATGACTCAGCAAAATTAAACCAGTCAGCTATAGACAAATCGGCTTAAACAGCTCTGTTTTGCTTGAAAAGAAAAACGATAATGTATAACAGCCAATCATGGGAAAAGTCAAAATACTTCCTCCTTTATGCTTTATAAACTGTGTTGTAACTGCTTAGTGGAGCTTTTTACCACTTGGTTTGAAGTCTCCCAGATTGTAATCTATACTTTTTGTGTGACAATAAACTTTGCAATTTTTACTAACTTGATCTGCTTTTATTGTTGATATTATAAAAGGAAAATTGTGCCGTGGGTAGAAAGAGTTTTACTGGCTGTGGCAGAGTAAATAAGGGGATCCATTATTGCCTCAATGTAGCTAAGATGATGAGGATATGGATGTGAGGGTGATGCTACAATCAAAAAGGAGAAAACTTTGTGGGAAATTTCAGACCTGAGTGAGAAAGTATTTTCACTTACTATTTTCATTTAGGGAGAGGTATGAGAAAAAATGACTCCAGTCTGTGAGAACAGAGGTATAGTGATTCATTTATGCACACTCACAAATTTATGAAATTCAGAAAAGGTTAAGGATGGAAAACTGGTAAGGAAAGTTAATTTGATTTGGGTTGTGTTAAGTTTGAAGGGGTAGAGGATATTCAAGAGTAAGGCAGGAATACCAATTAGAAGTGGAGATTAGATACCTCATGATGTGGAGGAAGGTTAGTCTTAACTGTGTGACATAGGTCATGACATCAGTTAGACTGGCATCTAGCTTTGCCTCTCCTCTCTTGCAGCGAGATATAAAGGGGGGAAATGAAAAACAGGTTTCATTCACAAGAGGCTGCCTGGTACCATTCAGCCAATGCCATTATTTATTACTAATGGAAATTAAATGGACTGGACATGGTGCTTTCTGTGTAAAAGTTCTACCTGGAGGAGAAAGAGCAGGCAAGAAGCAAATGGAGCATGTGAACTATAGCTACTTTTCCTTAGAACCTTGCAATGTATGTGACTTTCAGTTCAGGTGGCACTAGTCATTAGGTTTAAAAATGACATTCAAAAACAGTGCTGCCTAAAGTCAAGGACAATGATAGACAACTCCATTAGTAGAGTAGGAATTGAATCAGGAGCATTCTTCCCCCTTCTCGCTAGCAATGTAACAGCGTTTTACATTAAGAAGTGGTGCCCTTGGAGTCTGGTCATGGGAGAAGATCTGCCCCTCCCAGTAGTGTGTGGTTTGACTCTATCCTAGGGAGGAAGTGCCGGAGACCATGCTGCTGAGACGTAAGCCTTGTAACTGCAGGGAATCTGCATATATGTATATATATATATATATATATATATATATATATATATATATATATATGCATATAATATATGGAAAGTTTATATTTCTTCTTGAAATATTTGCATAAGAGCAAATAAACTGGATTTTGATCAAGCCTTCACCATCTCTCTCCATATGAGAATCCTCAGCCACAAAACAGAATAATATTGATTTTATTTACACATACTGCTATGGCAAATTAGGCCAATATCAATATTTAGTTGTGGTTTGGTAGAATGGGAAGCAAGGTCTCTGTGTATGTATTTAAATATGTAATATGCATATAATTGTATATTATATGTAAAATTTGTATATTATATATTTGTATATTATATATCTGTACGTATTTGTATACATACATATACACATACATATATTACACATATATGTATTCTGTCTATGTCTGTATCCATATCTATATTTATATCCATATGTATATCTCCCATCTTTTACTTCTGGAGATGATTCACTTAAACACCTATAAAGAAAGCATAGGATTGGATGAACAGACTGGAAGCTAAGAACAAAATCTGCTGTGTGATCATAAGCAATGTAACTGACCTTCTTGTGCCTACTTTAGAGTGCCCAGAACACAGAAGGAAGAAAAGAGCTATTATTCTAACTTTGCCTTCTGCACGTGCTTTGTTGATAAACTGTCATCTTCAGTGATGCTCCTCATCTGTATATCTTGGTCAACCTTGGTCAAACTTCAGGAGCCCATATCCAATCAGTCAGTAAGTCTAAATTTTCTTCCTCACTCTAGAGTCCATTCTTTCCTCTTTACTTCCACTGGTCTAGGTATGGCTCTTGTCATTCCTTGTCCTTGTAATTACTTCCTAACTGGTCTCCCTGTCTTCAGCTTCTCTCTTACAATTGCCAGTAATGTCTCTAAAACACAGAAAAGCTTGGTACACAGAAACCACACGTGATGTGAACTGAGCACATTGATAAATGAGAAAATGAATGAATGGCAACTTCCTGTGGTAACTGGATAATGATACTGCAAAAATGGAATACAATCCAGGGTTGTGGGTCAGCTTAAATATACTCCTTTATGCATGCTAGACTGCACACTCAAAGCCCAACTCACACCAGTTATTGTTCTGGCAGAAAATCTACGGATTACGTTATAGTGATGGACTTCTCTGAAGAGGAAGCAAAGTGAAACTTTTCATCTGGTGTGGGGTTGGCACTGAAGGATAATAAATGTGGTAGAGAGAATTCTGAGATGGTCCTCAAGATTCCTGCCCCCTGTGTACACACTCTGTATAATCCCCTTCCACTAGGTGCAGGTGGGGCCTGTGAATGTGTTGGATGCCAAGCCATGATTAGATTACCAAACAACGGACCTTGAATTAATCAGTCGAAGGGGAGATTATTTGGGTGAGCCTGACCTAATTAGATCAGCCCTTAAAAACAAAAACACTGGGCCCTGTCTGAAGTCAGAGGGACAAAATGTGAGAAGGATTCAATGCAAGGGACATTCTCCATCAATGGCTTTGATGATGGAGAGGGTCAGGTGTCATGGACTGCTCTGGCCAATAACTAGCAAGGATCTCAATTCTGCCAACAACCTGAATGATCTTGGAAACAATGTTTTCACCAGACAAGGCCCTAGATGAGAACACAAGTGGTTTCAGCGTCTGAGATCCTGAGCCGAGAACGCAGGTTGTGCCCAGACTTCTGACCTACAGAATTGTGAGATAATAAATGGCTGCTCTTGTAAGTTGCTAAATTTGTGGCAATTTGTTATGTACTGATAGAAACCTAACGCAGTAGTCTAAATTAGGGCAAGTAACAGCATAATAGAGATATACTTTGAACAAATATGCAGTTATTTGTTGACAGTTGATGTTTAAATAAGTGTGCTGTAGGATCTCTGACACTTGTTTCTATGTGATGTTGACAATTCTAAGAAAAAGAGCTCTGAAGAGAAGTACTAGGTTAAAAGGGTGAAGAAATTTTACTGTTAGATGTCTCAAAGGCTTTAATTATACAAAATTCACACATTGTGAATTTGCAAGATAGTATGCAGTGCTTCCATATTTGACTGTGGCACCTCCCTCTGTGTGTTGTGTGTGTAGTATATGGTTGACTGACATTATATTGATCATAGTTGGGGAAACTGTTATTTTGTGTCTAGTTATACATCAAAGTACTGAGGGAAAAATAACTGTCAACCTAGAGTTCTATGTCCACAAAACTCTCATTTGAGAGTGAAGTAAAAATAAAAACATTTTCAAATATACAAAGACTTAGAGAGCTTAGCAACCATAAACTTTCAGGGCCTTTTTTTCAAACTTATAATTTATAGATTATAATAATACATCAAGGCATCAGATTAATAAAAAGAGATAGTAGAGATATAAAAAAACTATGGTTGTTCTCTCTATATATTTTGGAGATACAGCTTCCACGTTTTGCATATATTTTGGGTATATTACTATGAAAACATTCTGAAAATAAATAGAAAGCATATATAATGAATATTTTCCAGAAAATAAAAATTTTAAAATTAATTCAAGAGGAAATAGAAAACCTGAATAAATAACAAATAATTGAATTGATAATCAAACATCATGTAACCAGAACACGTTATAAGTACATTTTACCAAAATTTCTTGGATCAGATAATCCTGGTCTTTTACAAGCCAATCAAAGAAAATTTTTAAAAAGGGACAGCTACCCAAATCATTTTCTAAGGATAAGACATCTTTGATACAAACTGAATAAGCATAAGAAAGGAAATGAAAGACATTTTATTAACATAGATAATTACAGAAATCCCAAATAAAATTAGCTGCAAATCAAAAACAGTATTTGTATGAAAAATACTAAAATATGTCTTCCAGGCCAAGTGCTATCCATATGATCCCTCCTGTGAAATCAAGAGACCCTTTCTCCTTGGTCATTTCTAATGTTATTCAGGAGGGTGTGCAAGACTTTTGACATTCACCTTTTATACTAACTTTATTTCATCTTACTTTTTACTAAGACATTTCCCTGGTTTCCTGTTTCTCAACTATATTTAAATATATTTTATCTTGCCGTATTCTATGTATTTTGTATGTTTTCAGTACTAGAAGGGATGCAAATATTTGAAAGTGTATCTATATATAAACAGATGTAAAAGGATGTTCTGTGACCTCAGATTTGGCACTTTTGTGCTCATAGGAAAACTCAGGTCATTAAGTGCCCCATGATTGGTCAATAATTGGGGCCAGATACCCTCCTCATCCCATCAGACAGCTTGTTAGCAAGAAAATTTTGACTCTGTCTCTCCTCATCCCAGTCCCAACAATGCAGCCATAATCCTTGCAGAGAAAAGTTGAGGGGGATCTCTAAATCCCTTCCCATGACTCTGTTTTCTCTCAAAGGTGCTGGAGTAGAAAAAAGGGACAAAATAATATATGTCCTCTTCTCTGCGGTGGCTTGAATATCCCTACGAAAACTCATGTTGAAATTTAACTGCCATTTTAGCAGTATTAGAGGTGGGGCCTTTGAGAGGTGATTAGGTCATGAAGGCTCTGCCCTCATAAATGGATTAATGCTATTATTGAAGGCATTAATTATCAATGGGTTCATGATAAAAAGGATGACTTTGGCCTGGTTCTCCTTTCTCTTGTCTCTTGCTTCTGCTTCTGTCTTTCTACTATGTTCTCACCAGATGCCAGTGCCATGCTACTGGACTTCCCAGCTTCCAGAACTGTGAGCTGAATAAACTTCTTTTATTTATAAATTACCCAGTCTGTCGTATTCCATTATAGCAACAGAAAATGAACCAAGACAATTTCCAAGACCCTCAAACCACAATTCCAATCTGTAGTGGATAGCGCAGGAGGCTGGGGCAAGAAACAAGAGAGGTAAGCTGAATATAAAATTAGACTTGATTGGATTACTTATAAATACAAGTGACCAGAAGGTTATGGAATATGCCCAAGACATTATTAAGATACCCTACCGAATTGAGACTGCTCAATAAAGCATCTATCTATCTATCTATCTATCTATCTATCTATCTATCATCTATCTATCTATCTACCTAGCTATCCACATGTGTACATCTGCATATATGTACACGTGTGTGTGTGTGTGTGTGTGTGAGTGTCTTGGTAAATATATAAAATATCCACTTCTGTTCAAATGTCCTTGATTGTATTAGCTGGGCTTGAAAGCTTGTTGCAACTCCATTGCTATGGCTTTATGGCTTTGCCATTCCACTGTTCCACATTACCGGCAGGCTGCATAATATCCCCCTTCTGATTACTCTATCAATCACTGGACTTGTGCTGTATTAATTCTGTTTGTATGTTTCTCTCAAAAACACACTAAGTTATACCCATACCCATTATTCCCTCCCTAATATATAATGTTCTCTTAGTCAAGGATGGATGCGTTAATAATTTAAATGTTTGTCATAAGCTTTTACAAGATACATAATACCTTCTCTGCTCCCATTCTGGGCTTAAAATTTTAAAAAAATCCCAGAAAATGTGGGATTAGCTAATTAATCATGGTATCAGTATAGTGATAATTACATAATACATGAAATCAATAGCATAACCACAGTAATTCCGTTGTGACAAAATTGCAATTTAAAGTAATTTACAATATCACAAGAACTCTATTGATATTTCCTGATATTTTTAACTTTGAAAAGACTGCTGTTTTATTTTATTTATTTATTTATTTTTTTATTTATTTTTGAGACAAGGTCTTGCTCTGCCACCCTGGCTGGAGTGCAGTGGTGTGATCATGGCTCACTGCAGCCTTGACCCCCCGGGCTCAAGCCATTTTCCCACCTCAGCTTCCCGAGTACCTGGAACTACAGGCACACAACACCAGGCTCAGCTAATTTTAAATTTTGTGTGTGTGGAGATGGGGTTCTGCTATGTTGCCTAGGCTGGTCTTGAACTCCTGGGCTCAAGCGATCCTACCACCTTGGCTTCCCAAAGTGTTGGGATTAGAGGCGTGAGCCACTGCACCTGGCCTGTTCGTATTTTTTTAGTAACTTTTTTTCCAGGCTAATAACCCATTGCCCTGAAAAATGCTGAGAAAGCTACACGGAGCAAAGCCTGTCAGGACTTGAGATTTGTCACTGGAGCATAGTAATTTTCTTCCAGCAAGACAAGCCTGATGGAGACAAAGATGGGGACCTGCTAAGAGGGCCCCCAAAAGGATGGAATCACAGTCAGAGATGAGCCTGGCTGAAGTGGAATTTCTGCTGTGGCCGTTTTATGTAGATATGCCAAAGACAACTGCTACCATCTCTGAAATTTCTTTTGTTCTCTCCCACCTGCCTGCTCCATCATTCCTGATTCTTGTATTTCCTCATTTCTAGATACTCCTTTGGCTCTGTCTGTACCTGGTTTCTGTTTTTCTGAAGCCTTCGTGCTTAGAAATCTGCTTAGATCTGCTCTCCTCAGACTCTAGCCCCACCTTTGATTTTTGGTATCAGTCTTACAGGATGTCACTTTTAGTGTTAGTCTTCAACTTTTTCAATCAATGAACGAGGCACCAGTTCCAGCTCCAGTCTGTAGTGTTTGCCAATTTTCTTGGTGTAAATACTCCCTCGATGGCTGATTTCACTAAATGTGGAGTTGGGAAGAGTTGCACATGAGCTGTCAGCTCACATGAGCTGGCTCCAGCTCACCACCCACCACCATGGATGGATGTGCCAAGCTAACCCCTTGCCCAGCTCACTCTATTCCTCCATAAGACATTGGCAATGGTTTTCAAGGAGTTTCACTGCTGCACTCAAAAACTCCATCTTATGTCCTCAGAAGTTGAAAAATGATGCTAACAGACAAGTACAAGGAACACTTTGGCAAGTGAATATCAAACAGTGTGTCTCTGAGTCTCAGGTTCTGTGAATGAGCCTCAGGCATCACTGTAGAACAAGAGGCAGTACCTCCAGTCTCCCACCCCACGTAAACAGAAGAGTGTCCCCTATGTTTTCATGTTGGTGATTCATTCATGAGTTCCTTTCATAAAATGGTTCAGCAGCTGATTTTACTAACAAAAGAACTGGTTTTTGTACTTAGATGATGGTTGTCTATGTCAGGGAACTTAAAAAATCATTTGTGAAACTGCTGTCCTGGGGAAATAATGCCGTCTTTAGGGCTGCTCACACACTCACCACCAGTACCAGCTCTGCGTTTCAGAGAATGATTTTCTTCCATAAATGTGATTTTTTTGTGCTAATGACACTATGTTTACTTTGTCCAGGTCAAAAGCACACTTTAATGTCTGATTAAATTATCTTGTAATTTCTAATCAGTCAGGACTGAAGTGAATGATCTATCTTAAACCAATCAGAGATTGTTTACAACGCCTTGGGGCTGTCTGATGACAGTAATCACTTAGCAATTGTGCTTAAATCCTGGAGACCACGACTCTCGGCCAGGCACTGCGATTTATCTCCAGGTGACGACTCTCGGCCAGGCACTGCGATTTATCTCCAGGTGACAGGGCTTTTAGCTTAACCTGGCTGATTGTTCTGCTCCATCAAAAAGGTTTTGGCAATTTCCCTTTCTAATAAGTCTCATTCTCATTTACTCATGGTGTTGTTGAAATGATTAAATGTGGTAACTCTGGTAAACAATCTACCAGTATATATAATTCTGGTAAAGCACTCGGCATCAAGAAGTATCCTCTAAAGGCCGGGTGCTGTGGCTCATGCTTGTAATCCCAGCACTTTGGGAGGCTGAGGCAGGTAGATCATCTGACATCAGGCGTTCAAGACCAGCCTGGCTAATGAACATAGTGAAACCCCATCTCTACTAAAAATACAAAAAAATTAACCAGGCGTAGTGATGTGTGTCTGTAATCTCAGCTACTCGGGAGGCTGAGGTAGGAGAACTGCTGGAACCCAAGAGACGGAGGTTGCAGTGAGCTGAGATCGTACCACTGCACTCCAGCCTGGGTGACAGAGCGAGACTCCTCAAAAAAAAAAAAAAACAACAACAACCAAAAAACAATTAAAAAAAGAGAAGTATACTCTAAAAGTTCAGGCCCAACCCTGACCCCTGGTGTTTATGCCCATATTTGACTCTTTAAGTTGTCTGGCAGTGGTTTGGGTAATTGTAGGGTAATGGTTTGGTTATGTTTAAATTGTTTGGTAATGTTTTGGTTAGGTTGGTGCAAAGGTAATTGCAATTTTGGCCATTACTTTTAATGGCAAAACCGCAATTACGTTTCCTCCAATCTGATATTTAACAACATCTCACAACCAGCACCAGCATTAGAAAACACCCTGAGCTCGCTGTACTGTTTGTTTGATGTTCTTCTCACACACCAGAGCCCTAGTTTAAACATACTGTAGGGAGATAAGCAAAGGGATATTAAAGAGACCAGAAGACAAAAGCAAGGGATCATGGCTAAGTATATTTACCTCCACACTTCTCTGTGTTCATGCCTCAGGCTGGTCCAGGCTTCCTCGTTTCCCACCTGGCTTCTGTAATGTCTCCTAACTGATGTCCTTGCTCCCTGCCTCCTATCAGCAGAGTTGGAGAGTCTATGTTCCACACCTCACCAGCAGCCATCATTGTTGATCTTCTTCAGTTTGGCCATACCATTGCACACTGGTGAGTGTGCAGTGGTATCACACCATACTTTTAATTTTCATTCCTGGATGTCAAAATAAGTTAAACACCTTCTCATAGGTTTAGTGGCATTTGGACATCCCCGCTTTGTGTGGTGGCTGTTGAAGTCTTTGTTCCATTTTTCTGTTGGTTTCTGTCCTTTTCTTTTTGATTTTAGGAGGTAGTATTTATAGTCTAGATATTAGCTGTCACCTAGACATAGCTCAACATCTTTACCCACTCTGTGGCTTGCTCTTAATGTAAAGTTTTGATGAACGGTGGTTCTTAATTTTATTGCCATTCAATTAATTATTCTTTTATTTTATGATTAATGCTTTCTATTTTCTATTTAAGATTTTTTTGGCTTCCACAAGGACATGAAAGTATTCTTACTTGTTTTCTTATGAATTAGAAGCTTTATTGTTATAATTTCATATCTAAATGTACAATTGATTTGGAATAGACTGTGTATGTTGTGAGACTGCATTCAAGGTTTCTTTCTTTTCTGTATGGACAGCAAATTGACCCAACATCAAATATTGAACAGGCTATCCTTTCCATAACATACAGCAGCAGCACTATTGTCGTAAAACGATGATGCTATGTGGTGCATCTATTTCTGGATTCTCATCTATTTAATTAGCTATTTGTCTGTTCTGTGCCAATGCCACACTATTTAATTCTTAGAGCTTCATATTTTATCTGGACATCCGGCAGTATAAAAGTCCTGCTTTTTTTTTCTTTTCTTTTTCAAGACTCTCTTACCTCTACTTGGCATTTTGTATTTCAATACAAATGTTAGAATTAGCTTGTCAAGTTACATTAACATATCTCCCAGGATTTTGATTAGGATATCGCTGAAACCACAGATCAATTTGGGGAAGAATTGACACCTAAAGAATATTGACTTTTCTAAGCCTTGAACAATATCTCCTTTCATCTAGGCTGTTTTAAATTTCTCTCAGCAAAGTGGTAGTGCACGGTGTAACCATATTCCTCCTCTGCAGTTAGATTTATTCCTTGGTTTTTGATGCTACTGTAAATAATATCTTTTAACAATTTTTATTTTCTATTTGCATATAGAAATATGATTTATTTTACGTATCTACCTTTTATTTATTCAGTTACTTTGCTAAATTCACTAATTTGGGTAGTTTGGGTAATGTTTTGTACTGTTTACTGACACAACAATGTTATCTGAAAATACAGACAGTTTTGTGTCCTCCTTTCCAAAGCTGACATACTTTATTTGTTTATTTTTTTACCTTGTTGCACTGGCTAGAATCTCTAGCACAATATTAAACAGAAGTGGCTAAAGTGTGCATCCTTGTCTTGTTCTTGGTTCTAAGGAAATATATTTTAATATTTTACCAGTAAGTATAGTGTTTGCTGTGGATTTTATTGTTATTATTATTAATATATTAAGTCCTCTATTGGATTGAAAATGTCAAAAGTAAAGTAGAGGTTCCTCTTCAAAGACTTTCCTCACCTTCTAATTAGGAATAAATAGTAACTTCCCTTAGAAGCAAAATTTATTCAAAGACCTGTGCTAACATTCCTAAATATCTGCTAGCCGTAATAAAGAAATCAATGTACTTTATGTTCTTAGCTCCCACAATTTAGCCTAAATATTTGCCCTGGCATGCTTATATTGGTCCAAGTAAGCATTAGGTCATAGCCTGTTCCTCTTCCTTATTTGAAGGTGTTTTTACCTTTCTCAGCATTCCACAAGTTACTTCCTCCTTGCTTTGTTCTCCTCTGCCTTTGCCCCTTTTAAAAAGTTCTAAGTTGCTAGCCAATCGGGACAAATACAGAATGTGAGGTCCTGTGCCAGCCATTGGAAACTGGACACAGCAATAGAGTGGACGTGTCAGGTTATAAATGACCTTGTCTCCTTTGTTCGGCGTACTCTCGTGGCAAAACTGCTGGTGAGTGTACCCTTTCTGCAGAAAGTAAAAACAGCCTTGCTGGGGAAATTAAATTTATATTCAAATGCTATTTCTTTACGGCATTGGGAAACAAGCATTTCTAACAAAAAAGTTCCCTTCTATTCCTAGTTTTGTAGGAGTTGTTGAAAATCATAAATGAATATTAAATTTTATCAAAGTCTTTTTATGGATCTATGGAGATAAACATGATTTTTCTTCTTTATATTGTCAATGTGGTGGCTTACATTAATTTATTTTTATGTTAAATTATTTTACTAGTACACTTACAAAGAATAGCACAGAAGACAACATTTAAAACCTATATTAGCTTATAGGATAACTTATAAAGTACAGTGAAGAGATGGAATCTACTGGATGATAAAAATGCTACAAAATACATTTGTTGCTTGTTTTTAAAAATCCAAATGTTGGTAATGTCCAGAAAAATGTAAAATAATTGTTTCTAATTGCTACACAGTTAATTGCTAAAACTTGTTCACTGCAACAAGAGACGGGCATGGAATGAATTCTTCACAGTGGGATCTTTGCCCTGAATGCCGCCACAGTCACTGCAATAGTGGTACAGAGCAGCTAAAATGCCAATACAAATCTCACTATCTTTTTGGCTGGATGAACCAGGCAAAGAAGCCTGGGGCAACCAGCACCACCAGAGAGTAAAGGAGGAATTCCGGAAAGAAGAGAGCCAAAGGAGAGCCCCAAACGATGTATAGAAGCTCAGCCCAAGTTTATGGCTGATCCCAGAATCATACACGCACAGGGCAAATGAAATCAGTTTGCAGTTAGGGCTTAAAGAACTGAACTGAGATCTGAGGTGCCTCCCACCATATGGATGACAGTAGGAGCTGCGCCAAATCAATTGTCTGCTGTAACAAAACATCAATACCCCCTGGAGCAAAATCCAGAGTCTCTTCAGTATAACATTAACAATGCTCGAGACATCATCCAGAATGACTTAATTTATTAAAAAACACAAAACATGACCCATTTTCAATATTCTCCAGATGTTGAAATTATCAGGAAAATACTTTAAAGCAGCTATTATAACTATATCCAGTGTGGTAAAGGAAAATATTAACTTATGATGAATATAGATAGGTAAGAAATATCATCAGCAAAATAAAGCACATTAAAAAAAACCAAATGGCAATCTTAAAATAAAAAATTCTGATATCTGAAAATATTCATTGCATAGAAGCAATAGTAGAATGGAGTTTATAGAGAAAACATACAGTAAAATTGAAGATAGATCAATAGAAATCATGCAATTACAAGGAGAGAGAAAACAGCCTCAGGGACCTGTGGGACTCTGAAGATCTAGCATATGGATCATTTGGAGCTCAAGAAAAAGGGGAGAGAATTAAACAGAAGAATATTTGAAAAACATAAATAATGGCCAAACTTCCTTGATTTGGTGAAAACAAACTTATAGCTTCAAGAAGTTCAGTGAACCAACAATAGATTAAATTAGAGGAAAACTGTTATGAGTTGAATTGTGTCCCTCAACAGGTATGCTGAAGTCTAAGACCCTGGTGCTTTTGAATGCAAACTTATTTGGAAATAGGGTCTTTACAGATGTAATCAAGTTAAGATGAAGCCATTAGGGTGGGCCCTAATCCCGTATGACTGATGTCCCTCTAAGAAGAAGAAAATTTGGAACCAGAGACACACAGGGAGAACACCACGTGAAGATGGAGGCAGAGATGGAGTCTGCAAGCCAAGAATGCCAAGAATTGCCTACATCACTGGAGCTAGGAGAGAGGCATGGAACAGCTTTAGAGCCTTCAGAAGGAAACAACTCTGCCCACACCTTCATTTTGGACTTCTGGCCACCAGAACTATGAAACAATATATTTTTGTAGTTTTAAGCCACTCAATTTGTGGGACTTTGTTATGACAGCTCTAGGAAACTAATACAAAAACCATGCCTGGGAATGCCGAAATCCAACTTGAAAACCAAAGACAAAGAGAAAACCCTGAATCTGACAGAGAAAACTGACACCTGACAGATAGGAAAGCAACAATGATTTAAATCATTATAGATTTATTATTGGAAACTATGGAGACCATAACACAGTGGAACTGCATTTTAAACCTTTTTTTTGAGATGGGGTCTTGCTATGTTGCCCTGGCTGGCCTTGAACTCTGGGCTCAAGTGATACTCCCACCGCAGCCTCCCGAGTAGCTGGGATTGTAGGTGTGTGCCACCTCACTGGGCGGAACCATATTTTTTCAAGTGCTGAGGGGAAACATACCAGTTAACCCAGAATTCTATATCCAGTGAAAATATCCACAGAGAAAATATCTGCAGGACATTAAATAAAGACATTCAAATAAACAATAAGAGGATTAGACTCACCAGGCCCACTCTAGAAAGGCCAGGGGAAGGAGCTCATGATGAAGGGAAATGATATCAGAGGAAAACCCAGGTCTTCAGAAATAAATGAAGAGGCCAGGTGTGGTGGCTCATGCCTGTAATCTCAGCACTTTGGGAAATCAAGGCGGGTGGATCACCTGAGGTCAGGAGTTTGAGACAAGCCTGGCCAACATGGTGAAACCCATCTCTACTAAAAACACAAAAATTAGCTGGGCGTGGTGGTGGGTGCCTGTAATCCCAGCTACTCGGGAGGTTGAGGCAGGATAATCACTTGAACCCAGGAGGTGGAGGTTGCAGTGAGCCGAGATTGCGCCATTGCACTCCAGCCTGGGCGACCAGAGTGAAACTCCGCCTCAAAAAATAAATAAATGAGAGGAGCCAAGATGGCCGAATAGGAACAGCTCCGGTCTACAGCTCCCAGCGTGAGCGACGCAGAAGACGGGTGATTTCTGCATTTCCATCTGAGGTACTGGGTGCATCTCACTAGGGAGTGCCAGGCAGTGGGTGCAGGCCAGTGGGTGCGCACACCGTGCTCGAGCCGAAGCAGGGCGAGCATTGCCTCACCTGGGAAGCGCAAGGGGCCAGGGAGTTCCCTTTCCGAGTCAAAGAAAGGGGTGACGGACGCACCTGGAAAATCGGGTCACTCCCACCCGAATATTACGCTTTTCAGACCGGCTTAAAAAACGGCGCACCACGAGACTATATCCCACACCTGTCTCGGAGGGTCCTACGCCCACGGAATCTCGCTGATTGCTAGCACAGCAGTCTGAGATCAAACTGCAAGGCGGCAGCGAGGCTGGGGGAGGGGTGCCCGCCATTGCCCAGGCTTGCTTAGGTAAACAAAGCAGCCTGGAAGCTCGAACTGGGTGGAGCCCACCACAGCTCAAGGAGGCCTGCCTGCCACTGTAGGCCCCACCTCTGGGGGCAGGTCACAGACAAACAAAAAGACAGCAGTAACCTCTGCAGACTTAAATGTCCCTGTCTGACAGCTTTGAAGAGAGCAGTGGTTCTCCCAGCACGCAGCTGGAGATCTGAGAACCGGCAGACTGCCTCCTCAAGTGGGTCCCTGACCCCTGACCCCCGAGCAGCCTAACTGGGAGGCACCCCCCAGCAGGGGCACACTGACACCTCACACAGCAGGGTACTCCAACAGACCTGCAGCTGAGGGTGCTGTCTGTTAGAAGGAAAACTAACAAACAGAAAGGACATCCACACCGAAAACCCATCTGTACATCACCATCATCAAAGACCAAAAGTAGATAAAACCACAAAGATCGGGAAAAAACAGAACAGAAAAACTGGAAACTCTAAAACGCAGAGCATCTCTCCTCCTCCAAAGGAACGCAGTTCTTCACCAGCAACGGAACAAAGCTGGATGGAGAATGACTTTGACGAGCTGAGAGAAGAAGGCTTCAGACGATCAAATTACTCTGAGCTATGGGAGGACATTCAAACCAAAGGCAAAGAAGTTGAAAACTTTGAAAAAAATTTAGAAGAATGTATAACTAGAATAACCAATACAGAGAAGTGCTTAAAGGAGCTGATGGAGCTGAAAACCAAGGCTCGAGAACTACGTGAAGAATGCAGAAGCCTCAGGAGCCGATGCGATCAACTGGAAGAAAGGGTATCAGCGATGGAAGATGAAATGAATGAAATGAAGTGAGAAGGGAAGTTTAGAGAAAAAAGAATAAAAAGAAATGAGCAAAGCCTCCAAGAAATATGGGACTATGTGAAAAGACCAAATCTACGTCTGATTGGTGTACCTGAAAGTGATGGGGAGAATGGAACCAAGTTGGAAAACGCTCTGCAGGATATTATCCAGGAGAACTTCCCCAATCTAGCAAGGCAGGCCAATGTTCAGATTCAGGAAATACAGAGAACGCCACAAAGATACTCTTCGAGAAGAGCAACTCTAAGACATATAATTGTCAGATTCACCAAAGTTGAAATGAAGGAAAAAATGTTAAGGGCAGCCAGAGAGAAAGGTCGGGTTACCCTCAAAGGGAAGCCCATCAGACTAACAGCGGATCTCTCGGCAGAAACCCTACAAGCCAGAAGAGAGTGGGGGCCAATATTCAACATTCTTAAAGAAAAGAATTTTCAACCCAGAATTTCATATCCAGCCAAACTAAGCTTCATAAGTGAAGGAGAAATAAAATAATTTACAGACAAGCAAATGCTGAGAGATTTTGTCACCACCAGGCCTGCCCTAAAAGAGCTCCTGAAGGAAGTGCTAAACATGGAAAGGAACAACCGGTACCAGCCGCTGCAAAATCATGACAAAATGTAAAGACCATCGAGACTAGGAAGAAACTGCATCAACTAACGAGCAAAATAACCAGCTAACATCATAATGACAGGATCAAATTCACACATAACAATATTAACTTTAAATGTAAATGGGCTAAATGCTCCAATTAAAAGACACAGACTGGCAAATTGGCCTCATTTTATGAGGCCAGCATCATTCTGATACCAAAGCCGGGCAGAGACACAACCAAAAAAGAGAATTTTAGACCAATATCCTTGATGAACATTGATGCAAAAATCCTCAATAAAATACTGGTAAACCGAATCCAGCAGCAGATCAAAAAGCTTATCCACCATGATCAAGTGGGCTTCATCCCTGGGATGCAAGGCTGGTTCAATATACGCAAATCAATAAATGTAATCCAGCATATAAACAGAGCCAAAGACAAAAACCACATGATTATCTCAATAGATGCAGAAAAAGCCTTTGACAAAATTCAACAACCCTTCATGCTAAAAACTCTCAATAAATTAGGTATTGATGGGACATATTTCAAAATAATAAGAGCTGTCTATGACAAACCCACAGCCAATATCATACTGAATGGGCAAAAACTGGAAGCATTCCCTTTGAAAACTGGCACAAGACAGGGATGCCCTCTCTCACCACTCCTATTCAACATAGTATTGGAAGTTCTGGCCAGGGCAATTAGGCAGGAGAAGGAAATAAAGGGTATTCAATTAGGAAAAGAGGAAGTCAAATTGTCCCTGTTTGCAGACGACATGATTGTATATCTAGAAAACCCCATTGTCTCAGCCCAAAATCTCCTTAAGCTGATAAGCAACTTCAGCAAAGTCTCAGGATACAAAATCAATGTACAAAAATCACAAGCATTCTTATACACCAACAACAGATAAACAGAGAGCCAAATCATGAGTGAACTCCCATTCACAATTGCTTCAAAGAGAATAAAATACCTAGGAATCCAACTTACAAGGGATGTGAAGGACCTCTTCAAGGAGAACTAGAAACCACTGCTCAATGAAATAAAAGAGGATACAAACAAATGGAAGAACATTCCATGCTCATGGGTAGGAAGAATCAATATCGTGAAAATGGCCATACTGCCCAGGGTAATTTACAGATTCAATGCCATCCCCATCAAGCTACCAATGACTTTCTTCACAGAATTGGAAAAAACTACTTTAAAGTTCATATGGAACCAAAAAAGAGCCCGCATTGCCAAGTCAATCCTAAGCCAAAAGAACAAAGCTGGAGGAATCACACTACCTGACTTCAAACTATACTACAAGGCTACAGTAACCAAAACAGCATGGTACTGGTACCAAAACAGAGATATAGATCAATGGAACAGAACAGAGCCCTCAGAAATAACACCGCATACCTACAACTATCTGATCTTTGACAAACCTGAGAAAAACAAGCAATGGGGAAAGGATTCCCTATTTAATAAATGGTGCTGGGAAAACTGGCTAGCCATATGTAGGAAGCTGAAACTGGATCCCTTCCTTACACCTTATACAAAAATCAATTCAAGATGGATTAAAGATTTAAACGTTAGACCTAAAACCATAAAAACCCTAGAAGAAAACCTAGGCATTACCATTCAGGACATAGGCATGGGCAAGGACTTCATGTCCAAAACACCAAAAGCAATGGCAACAAAAGACAAAATTGACAAATGGGATCTAATTAAACTCAAGAGCTTCTGCACAGCAAAAGAAACTACCATCAGAGTGAACAGGCAACCTACAACATGGGAGAAAATTTTCGCAACCTACTCATCTGACAAAGGGCTAATATCCAGAATCTACAATGAACTCAAACAAATTTACAAGAAAAAAACAAACAACCCCATCAAAAAGTGGGCGAAGGACATGAACAGACACTTCTCAAAAGAAGACATTTATGCAGCCAAAAAACACATGAAAAAATGCTCATCATCACTGGCCATCAGAGAAATGCAAATCAAAACCACTATGAGATACCATCTCACACCAGTTAGAATGGCAATCATTAAAAAGTCAGGAAACAACAGGTGCTGGAGAGGATGCGGAGAAATAGGAACACTTTTACACTGTTGGTGGGACTGTAAACTGGTTCAACCATTGTGGAAGTCAGTGTGGCGATTCCTCAGGGATCTAGATTTAGAAATACCATTTGACCCAGCCATCCCATTACTGGGTATATACCCAAATGAGTATAAATCATGCTGCTATAAAGACACATGCACACGTATGTTTATTGCGGCATTATTCACAATAGCAAAGACTTGGAACCAACCCAAATGTCCAACAATGATAGACTGGATTAAGAAAATGTGGCACTTATACACCATGGAATACTATGCAGCCATAAAAAATGATGAGTTCATGTCCTTTGTAGGGACATGGATGAAATTGGAAATCATCATTCTCAGTAAACTATCGCAAGAACTAAAAACCAAACACCGCATATTCTCACTCATAGGTGGGAATTGAACATTGAGATCACATGGACACAGGAAGGGGAATATCATACTCTGGGGACTGTGGTGGGGTGGGGGGAGGGGGGAGGGATAGCATTGGGAGATATACCTAATGCTAGATGACGAGTTAGTGGGTGCAGCGCACCAGCATGGCACATGTATACATATGTAACTAACCTGCACAAGGTGCACATGTACCCTAAAACTTAAAGTATAATAATTAAAATAAATAAATAAATAAATAAATAAATAAATAAAAGAAATGAAAAGCATTAGAAATAGGAAATGTATGGGGAGGCATTAAGGACTATATTTTTTTCCTAGTTTCTTTAAAATACACATCCACTTAAAGCAAAAATTTTTAACATCGTCATGTAGGGTTTATAATGTATATACAATGTGATATATATAATAACTATAACAAGAAAGATCACGAGTGTGGATAAATGCAGGTAATATTGTTGAAGAGTTACTGCATTTTATGTAAAGTGGTACAAAATTAACTCAATGTAGATCATGAAAATATAGGAAGGTATTTTATGGTCCCTAAAGCAACTACAAAGGAAGTAACGCAAAGCCGTGTACCTAAAAATTCAGTAGATAAATTGAAATGAAATTCTAAAATATATTCAAATAATCCAAAAACAAGTCAAGAAGGGGAAATAAGAAAACAATCCAGAGGACAAACAGAAAACAAATAATAAAATAGTAGGCCTAAATACAATTACATGAATAAATATGTTAAATGGTAATGGGCCATTCATTCCTATTAAAAGGCAGAGATTATTGTAATAAATGAAATTAAGTCCGAAGAATATGCTGTCCATAGGCAATGCACTTTATAAGTAAAAACACAAACATTTTGAAAGTAAATGGAACAAACACTAAACATAAGGGAGGCTGGAGTGGCTATATTAGTGTGATAAAACAGCCTTCAAGACAAGGAGCACTACCAAAAATAAAGAAAAATATTTTAGAATTATAAACATGATGCATAGACATAACTATGCAAGTACCTAATACCAGAGCTTCAAAATACATGAAACAAAAGTTGACAGAATTAGAGAAACAGACAATTCCATGAACATAGTAAAGGATTTAAACATGCTTCTTGTGGCAACTGATAGAACAGCTAGACATAGAAAGCAATAAAGACACAGAGAATCTCTACAACTCAGTCAACCACCTTGACTCAACTGATATTTATAGGACTTGATATGCCACAATAGGAGAATATACATTCTTTTCAAGTTGATATGGTAAGCCTACCAAAATGCATCATATGCTGGACTGTAAAACATGGCTTGATAAATTTAAATAGATTGCAATCATATAGAGTATGTTCTCTAACCACAATAAAATAAAATTAAAAGTCAGTAACAAGAAGATATTTAGGAAAATCCCCAGGTTTGGAAATTAAACAACTTATTTCAAAATAATCCATGGGTCAAAGAAGGAATATGAAGAAATATTTTTGACGGAATGATAATAAAAGTATAAATTATATACAAATTTATAAAATGCAGTTAAAACAGAGATTAGAAGAAAACTTATTGCTTAAATAATTGTATTAGAGAATAAATGTAAGTCTAAAAGCAAGACCTAGACTTTTACCCTAAGGAGCTAAAAAAAAAAAAATAGAAGGCAATAAAGGAGATAAATAAATGAAAATAAGGGCATATATAAAAATAAATAGAAAACAGTTAAACATAGAGAAAATGATGTCAAGAGCTAGTTCTTTCACAAAATAAACAAATTTAATAAACCCATATTTAGATTGGTTAACAAACAAAGAGAAAAAAAGCAATTCACCAATATATAAATGAAAGAGGTATTGTCCTTAATAAGCCTACAAACATTAAAAGACAATAAAACAATACTTTGAACAACTTTATGCCAAACAACACAAAAAGATGGCAATATTTCTTGAAAGACAAATGCTTTCTCTTAGAAGAAATAGGTAATCTAAATGACTCTTTTTATTTAAAAGACTAAATTCATAATTTAAAGTCTTCTCACAGAGAAACTCCAGCCTAAGATGTTTTCACTGGTAAATTATATCAAACATTTAAGGAAGAAATAATAATTATACACAGACATTTCCAGAAAATATGAGGAGGAAAACTTCCTGTTGTGGACTGAAACCTGTTATAGACTGAATGTGTGTGTGTGTGTGTCTCCTTCCACCACCAACCCCCAAGTTCATATGTGAAACTCTAACACCCAAAGTGATGGTATTAAGAGGCCGGGCCTTTGGAGGTCATTACGTTTAGAGGAGTCATGAGGATAGGGTCCTCACGATGGGATTAGTGTCCTTATAAGAGTGTGCTCTCTTTCCTTTTCTCTCTTTCTAACGTGTGGATGGAGCAAGAAGGCAGCCATCTGCATCCCCAAAGAGGCCCTCACCAGAACCCAACCGTGCCAGCATCCTGGGCTCGGACTTCCCAGCTTCGGAACTTTGAGAAATACATATCTGTTGTTTAAGCCACCCAGTCATTTTCTCCCAGGAAGAAAATGCAAAGTCTTGCAAGGAGAAGGCTTTTTTGGCCTGTTGCTTTCTTCCTGCCTGGAATTTGGACTTGAGGCTTTAACAGAGGAGGATGAGGCCATCTGCTAAGGATGGTGCAGTGGCAGGCCCGGAGAGCTGGGATCCCTGGGGGCTCACTCAGCAGCGGCACCGCCTGGATCACCTCCCTCTGGATGTCTTGTTTGTGAGAAATATCAGAGCCAGCCAGACTTTCCCTTGCATGGAGCCAAATACATCCTTAACTGACATAATGGTAAGCAATGCCTGATCAAAGAAGGCTTTGAATGCTCTGCAGAGGAGCTATGACATTGACACTTGGACCCTGGGAACTGTAGTACAATTTAGGGGTTGAATGGACAGTTTTGCAGCAACACAAACCTTGGTTCAAATCTCCTTTAGCCAGTTACACACTGTTTAACTTGGGACATCAGTTATCCTCAGCCTGAGCCTTACCAGGGGGACATGAGATGAGGCATATTTTAGATCAATAACTCCAACTGCAGCACGTGGGATGGAAGGGAGGTGGCCCAGAGCAGAGGGCTGGGGAGAGTTTGCCAGTATTCTGCCAGAACAAAATCAGTGTTAACCAAAGCTTCAGAAATCATTTCAGAACTTAAAGTGAATTCTAGTTGACGTTTTTAGCCAAAAAACATTCTGATAGTGCTGGATTTTCCAAACATTCCCTGACACTTAAAACACCTTTATGACTAAATGTCTTAGAACAGGTTCCTCTAAAGTCCTTCAGAAGAGAGAAGCCTTTCCCCCCATACAAAATAAATTCTTTTGACATCTTTTATTATCTCTAGGAATGCAGGGAAGAGTTCAGAAATAATTGATGAACACAGGCAGGACTGAAGAAACAAATTAAGATTCATTATTCCATTCTAGCGGTGCTATCAGTGTTTTAGAATCTGTTGATAACCAACGCTAGGAGGAAGTTTAAGTACAAGTCTATTTCCCTCACGTCCACTTCAAAGCTCTAACGAAGCTCTTCTGGGAAGCCTGGGAGAGCGCTAATTAAGCCCAGGAAGGGGGTGGTATGATTTAATAGATAATAAAAAATCTTTGCTCTCATATGTCTAATTATGTTTTCTTGTCAAGGATGCTTGAAAGCTCTAAATCAGAGATGATCTACTCTGAAAAATAAAGGAAGAAATCCTCTCCAAAGCAAGTTCCTTTGGTGGGAGCACGTTTCCATCAATAATAGGCTGATGAGGGTAATCTAAGGCTCAGGTGGAGGATAACTGATCTCTCAAATTTATAAACTATTAACTGGCCACACTGGGATTAGAATCCAGGTTTCTATGACTGTAAAACTGTACTTTTAACCTACATTATACCCCATCCACTCTCATGACCTAGGCCTCCCCTCCCCTCAGTCACATGGTTTGGAGGTTATAGCTTCAAGCTCAGGTCTGGCAGGGAGGCAGCCAAATGGGTGGTGATGACTTTCTTTTTTCTTTCTTTTTTAGAGACAGGGTCTCGCTCTGTCACCCAGGTTGGAGTGCAGTGGCATGATCCCAGCTCACTACAACCTCTGCCTGTCAGGCTCAAGAAGTCCTCCCACATCAGCCTCTCCAGTAGCTGGGACCACAGGCACACACCGCCAGGCTCAGCTAATTTTTTTTTTTTTTTTGGTGGAGATGGGGTTTTGCCATATTGCCCAGGCTGGTCTTGAACTTCTGGAGTCAAGCGATTCACCTGCCCTAGCCTCCCTAAGAGCTACCTTGCCTGGCCAAATAAGTGGTGCCGACTTTCTACATGTCCTTTAGGAGAGAACTTGGAGGACCCTCCTAACCCCTGGCAAAGGCAACACTTTCAGGAGTGGAGAAGGGCCTTTGTAGACAACATAGACTATTCAATACTGTAGCAAGCTGCCCAGCCCTTTGCAAATCATGAAGATAGGATAAACCATTAGGCTTCATTATCTATTTAAATCAAACAATATTTAACCCAACCAGGGATATTTTAGGGCTTACTGATTCACCTATCCCAGGAACCTCCCAGTTTTAGAATCTCTGAAACTGGTCTAGAAGGCTATATTTAAGATTTGACACCCTTGCTCAAGGATCACATGCATGGGAAGAGCTGTGGAGAAACTGGAAGGCTCTGATCACAACTCTTGTCTTCCTTCTCCCACATGAAGGGCAGAGGGAAAGGCCGTCCTGCTCGCGGCATGGGTTCTGAATCAGAAGAGGCTACTGCATGCAGTGCAATGAAAAGTGTGTTAGTACTGTCCGGATGGACTTGATCAAGATCCCTGAGTTGCAACCCCTGGAGAACATGGCTCCCTTCTAAGACCATGACAGCCATAGATTGAGCAGCAGAGTCCAGGGCTCCATGAATGGAGGGAAGGAGGAGGGCTGGTTCACAGTCAGCCCTTTCACTTTTACTTGGGCTTTTTTTCAGGGCCCACAGCACTCACCTCGGCCTGCCAGATGGGGTTCACGGTGTTGCCTATGATCTTGGATCTCCTCTCCTGTCCATGGTGAGGGAGGGCGGGGAAGATGCTGTGTTTCCCAGGCTGAATGGAAATCTTCAGATAAGGGTCTGGGTTGAAAAACATCCCTTTCTTCAACCCCATGGCTTGGAAATCTATAAAATAAAGGATACTTTAATTTAAATATGTTTTAGGGAGGTTAACGACTGGCATTTGGTAACCACACCTTTCATGAGAGGACCATTGGCCCTTATGAACTAGATCTCTAGTGTTACTCAGGCAGGTAAACAGGCTGGGGTGAAGGAGTGAGGGTCACCCCAGGAAACGTGGGTAGCACAGGGAGAGAAAGTCCAACTTTGGAAATTTGATGGGTCCGGGTGTAAAATTCCTCTGCAAGGTGGAGACATTAAAAAAATAGGGGTTGTAGTCTCACGATATATGTGGGCCTCACTGAGTAAGGTGAGAGAATTGGCAGAAATAAAGAGAAAGGAGAGGATTAAAAGAGCACAGAGCGTGGACAATGGAGGAAAGAACAAACAAGACCTGGCCTCCACGGGGCTGAGTGCAGTCAATGAGGAGAGTTCTGAGAAACCCTGCTGCCAGGGAGGGCAGGGCTTTGAAAATCGAGCTGTTCTGTTTAATTGAAGATATCTGACCATGTACAATTTCATGCTGCACAAGGAGAGAGAGACAGAAAGAGTGTGTGTGCACAAGGTCATTTAAGGCAACAGTTTATAGTTGGATAATGTGAAATCACATTATATTTATTAGAAATATATTGATGATGTCAAGGAATATAATTTTTTTTGAGATGGAGTCACCCAGGCTGAAGTGCAGTGGTGGGATCTTGGCTCACTGCAAACTCTGCCTCCTGGGTTCAAGCATTTCTTCCTGCCTCAGCCTCTCGAGTAGCTGGGATTACAAGTGCCTATCACCATGCCTGGAGAATTTTTGTATTTTTAGTAGAGACAGATTTTCGCTGTGTTGGCTAGGCTGGTTTTGAACTCCTGACCTCAGGTGATCCGCCCGCCTCGGCCTCCCAAAGTGTTGGGATTACAGGTGTGAGCCACTGTGCCCAGCCAAGGAATATAATTTTTAAAGCTTTTCTATTATTGAAGTATTTTTCAAACAAAATTATTTACATTTATACACAAGTGAAACAAATGGAGGTAAAGATACACAGGATCAGGGATTCCCAGTCATGGTTTAAGTTGTGAGGGGTTTCAATAATTTGTTACTGACGAAAAAGCACAGTTGTTTTCATATGCACTTATTTAAAAGTTATTTTGAGTTGATCCAAGGTTATCCCCTTAATAAAATTATTCCTACTCTCTGGCATGATAATGTATTACTGCTCTGTGAAAGGGCTGTATATTCAAAATGACCACCAAATGCCAAAGGAGTTGAGAAACCAAAGAAGGAGGCAGACAAATCCAGTTTGTCGGTAAAAGGAGTTTTATTAGGGAACTCACAGATAAGCATGGTCTTGGGCTGTAGGAGACTGGTAGATCTCTGCACTGTTACTCCCTAGACCCAGGGCTTATGTACCATAGGGAAGGGGTATATAAGCCCTTGCTCTGTGCAAGACAATGAAAGGCAGCCCTCCAGAACAGGCAGGAATGCTGCATGCATCACAGCCTATTGTTTCTGTCATAACATCAAGGTTGACATGTTCTTACACTAGAGACAGTGGATAAAGTAGGAAGAGGAGGCATGCGCAAGACTGGGGGGTGATCAGAAGTCAACACAGCAGATTCACATCCACAATGGAGTCACTTTTGCCCCCACAATTGCCAATGAAAGAAAAAAGGCAGGAAGTACAAGCATCACAGAAATTTGCAAAACCCAGGCCACATCTGCAGGAATGTGTGTAGACAGAAGTTAACATAGCAGCCTGAGACTACTCAACTGCTTATAAGGTTGGCTCTTGGCTAATGTCTAGAAACCTGGATTTCAGGAGGGCTCCTACCTTCCCAGAACGGGTACGAGTGGCTCACTGTGCCTAAAGTGTTTGTGTAAATGATGTGGCTTATGGTGAACACTGCTTTCCTTCTGGGAGGCCGGAAGTTTGATGTGGGCTAAGCAGAAGATGCACACATGACCAGCACCACCCCCACTGTCCCCCAACCAGCCATCTAGTAGAAACCCAGTCTCAAGTCTCTAAGAAGCTTCCCTGGTAGACAGCATTTCCACGTGCTGTCACAGTTCACGCTGGGGGAATGAAGCATGTCTGTGTAACTCCACCGGGAGAGGCCCATTGGAAGCTTGCTCCTGGCTTCCTCCAGACTTTGCCCTAAGCACCTTTTCCCTTAGCTAATTTTGCTAAGTGTCCTTTCACTGTAATAAGTCATACCACGAGTATATCTAGATGCTGAGTCTTGTGAGTCCTCCTAGCAAATTGTTGAACCTAGGGGTGATCTTGGAGATCCTGACTTATTAGAGTGTGAAAGACATATATATATAAAACATTCATCATAAAATAGTGACTACCATTGCCTCCACCACCACCTACTATTTATTTGTTATCTACTAAATTCTGGGAACCATTCTAAGCACTTAAAATACATTTTCTGATTTAATCCTGAACACAAACTCCGCAAGGTAGAGATTATATCCTTAATACAAGAAAGAGAAAATGAAGGCTTACAGATTGTCAGGGCTGGTTGACATCAGAGATGAGATTTGAACCCGCCTCTTTGATTTCAAAGTCTGTGCTTTTGTTTTTTTGTTTGATTTTTTTGACATGGAGTTTCACTCTTGTTGCCCAGGCTGGAGTGCAATGGTGTAATCTTGGCTCACTGCAACCTCCGCCTCCCGGGTTCAAGCAATTCTCCTGCCTCAACCTACCGAGTAGCTGGGATTACAGGTACTCACCACCACCCCTGGCTAATTTTTTGTATTTTTAGTAGGGATAGGGTTTCATTAGGTTGGCCAGCTGGTCTTAAACTCTTGACGTAGGGTGATCTACCTCGGCCTCCCAAAGTGCTGGGATTACAGGTGTGAGCCACTGTGCCCGGCCCAAAGTCTGTGCTTTTAACCAATCTGTTATATTGTCTTTTTATAAAAATGTCAACTTTGGCATAGGTTAAATTCTCAAATATAAATGAGTCTTTTTCGATACACTTTGTTCTGTTCTATCAAACAACTTGTCCACATCTGCACCAACATGTCTTCATCAAATGTTTGATAGCTGCTAAATTAAGTCACTCTTATTGTTCTTATTTTTTTAAAAAGATAACACCTTTCTTTATCACTCAGCCATTTATTGTTCCAGATGAGCCTTATTAAATTTTAACAACTCCTTTCAAAACACTTGGATTTTGATTAGAACTGCATTGAATTTATATCTTAGCTTTGGGAGAATTAGTAGCTTTAGAAAACGGAGACTTCTACTCAAGAGCACATGTTTCTTCATTTGTACAGGTCTTCTTTCCTGTCCTTCAGCAAATGTTTACACTTTTCTTTATAAAGACTTACATATTTAATTTCAGTCTAAATACTCACTGAGATATACGTTTCATGGAATAAAAGTACTTGAAAACTGTTGCAATAAGAGGTATAATTTAAAAGGCACTGGACTGGTAGTCATTTGAGAACACTCATTGTTGAAATTTGTAACTTTGAGTAAACCAATTTAACTCTTTCAGGTCTTAATGTTTTCCCCTATGAGACTGTTGGGAGAAATGTCCATAAGAGCACATAGAGTTCTAGAATTTTCCAAAAGTAAATGCTACGTTAAAGGAGAATAGTTAATTTCTTCTCATTTTTGCCTGTATTTTTTGGTTCTGGTGATAGACATATGTACATTTATTATAATACTTAAAAATATAGAATGAAAAAATAGAATTTTAAAGTTATTTCAAATAACTAATTGAAATAATTATTTATTTCAAGTTAAGTACCCCCTCCCCACCAGTGGCAACCTTTGCCAAACCTTATTCCTCCTAGTATTTTTCTTTGCGTAGTTGAGAACATACTGCATATTCATTACTGCATCCAAGATTTTTCTTTTGACTTGCATCATATGTGTAAGAGACAAGAATATATCACCCCATTATATGTGAGAGCCTGGGAAACAATATCCCAAAATCTGTGACTTTGGCATAAGGATTATTTTGAGCTGAAGACAACTGAGAAGAAGTAGATAAAAGAAAAGCTCTTTGCCCTCTCGCTATTTTCCCAAAAGCAGGGCATAAATTTACAAAGGTGTCCCTCTTCCGCTCTCTACCAGGGGGATCAAAGGTTGATCACCAGAGATGACTTCAGACCAGTACCAACCAGGAGACAGCACCAGACGAATCTGCATAATAAACTGTACTAAACAGCATCTATCTACCATACCATAGCCTTCCCAGAACTTGCTGCCCCTGAAGACTCAAAGTCCTTTTCCTTTGCCCTGTCACTTCACTACAAATTGTACTGTTCTTTGTTGAAGACATTATGTAAGCTGAAATTCTAAGCCACTTCTTTGAGATTTACTCATTTTCCCTGGGTATCTCCTATGTATACATGAGATATACATGTTAATAACTTCTGTTTGTTTTTCTCTTGTTAATCTATCTTCTGTTACAGGGGGTCCTCAGCCAAGAACTTATGAAAACCAGAGGAAAAATTATTTCCCACGCCAACAACATCATAAGGATGTTCCCATGCCTTTTAGAACATTTTGAATACCCAATTCTTAAGAGTATATAGCATTTAATAATTTGGCTCTACGGTAATTTATTTAACCAAGCCCTAATTTTGAATGTTTAAGTTGTCTCCAATATATTTGTAAATAAATCTTTGTTTGCATTTCTGATTTTTTCAGTTAGAATGCTAAAAGTGCACTTCATTGAAAATTAAAGTGATAATATTTATCTAGAAAATGTATTACCTCCAGGCAGTGGTAAAAACAGGAAGTATAAATAGACTTGACAAGTAAAGCATTTGCATGAGCAATCTTGCTTTGATATGTTCATTGTACTGTTGGAGCTTTCTAAGAAGGCAATTCCATTATCTACTTTCTGCTTATTTCCCCTTTTAAACCCTAAAAAGAAAATCAGTCTTTTTATATTGCAATGTCCCCAATTCTCGAGTTTTCTTGGATTTTATCTCTGTATGCTGGAGTACATGCTTACATATTATTTTAAAGTGAGGTGTAAGTGTGGTAGTGTTTGAGCCCTTATAAACCTGAGGGTGTTCCTCTTGCCTTCCCACATATATGAAAATCTGGTGGACATGGAAATCTTGGGTAAAACAATTCTCCCCTTAGAACTTGTGAAATAGGAGAGTTCCCTGACCCCCCTCACAGGACATGCAACAGGGGTGTGGCTCGTATGCTCAAACCTCTTATGGGAGAGGGAGCATGCAGACGGGCAGGTGCAGGAACCGGAGTGAGTGCTTTTGGGCTCCGGCCCCGCGGTAGCATCTAGGGGAGGGTGTCTGTGACTCCTGGAGCCCCAGTGGGTGAGTTACAGTGCTCCTTTAGCTCTGCCATCTGCGGCTGGCTTAAGTGTTAACCAATTCATTGCCTTCTTGGTATCTGGATCCTTGTCTGGCGTCCAGGAAGAATCAGATCACACACCGACCTGAAGGATGGTGAATGCAGGGGTTTCAGTGATTGGCGGAGGTAGCTCTCAGCAGGATGAGTGGTGAGCTGGAAAGAGGATGGAGTGGGAAGATGATCTTCCCCTGGAGTTTGGCTGTCCCTCGGCCAATCTCCTCTTCGACCTTCCCCAACTGAACTCCTCTCAACATTCGGATGCTCCTTCTCTTCTCTCCTTCTCTGCCGTGCCACTCTTCTGTTGCTCTGCTCTTCTGCTCATCTGCTTGTGGAGCCTGGGATATGGGGCTTATATGGGTACAAGATAGAGGGGCATGGTGGGCCAAAATGCAACATTTGGGTGCGAAAACAGGAACGCCTGTTCCCATTTAGGGCCATGGGTTTCCAGGATTGAGGGTGGGGCCTTTGCTGGGTAACTGCCCTCTTCTACCCAGTATTTCCCTGTCTCCTGTCCGTATCACTTGGTAGGCTTTGCTTCATTATTTTGGCATCTCAGAAGACAAGTCTGAGATTAGCATGAGGATTGTTCTTTTGTACGTATCATGCATTTTCAGCCCAGATGTCTACTGTGGCTATATTTGGGGGAAAAAAAAAAAAAAAAAAACCTTTTTAAATGAGATTTGTCTAGGTGTTGGTCTCTTCATATACATTTCTTTCTCTGAGCACCTGATGGTCTTCTTTAATTTAAATACTCAAAATTATCTTCAGCTCAAGGAAGTTTTCTTCTATTACTGTTTCTGTTCAGTTTGTTCTGATTTCTTCATCAAAAACACTGATTATGTGTTGGCTCTGTATGTGCCATTCATCTTTTTTTCCCTCGTCCTTTTTGGACTTTGCCCTTCATTGATGCCTTCCGGGAGAGACTCTCAAGTCAATCTGTCATATCACTGATTCCCTTTCTGTAGTGGTGAGTGTGACCTGTACTGCTTTTGAAGGCTTTTAATTCTGTGATTGTACTTTTTAGAGTTTATTTTAAATCTCTTCTTGACTGCGGTAGACAGAATAATGACCTCACAAAGATGTTCACATCCTAATCCTTGGAGCCTATGAATATGTTACCTTACATGGTAAAAGGGACTCTGCAGAGTGATTAAGTTAAGGATCTTGCAGTAGAGAGATTTATCCTGGACTGTCCAGGTGAGTGCAACGTAATCACAGAGTCCTTGTCAGATGGAGGCAGGAAGAGCAAAATGAGGAGAAGGCAATGTGATGAGAGAAGCAGAGATTGGAGCAATGTAGCCATGAGCCAAAGAATGCTGGCAGCCTCTAGAAGCTGAAAGTGGCAAGGGATGGATTTGCACCAGAGCCCCCAGAAGGAACCAGCCTGGCTGACAGCTTGATTTTAGTCCCTTAACATTCATTCTGGACTTCTGACCTCCAGAACAGTAAGAGTACATTTGTGTTGTTTAAGCCACTAAGTTGGTGGCAATTTGTTATAGCAGCAAGAGAAAGCAAATACACTTGACTTTCTAAGTTTCTATTTTTGCAAGCTTTAAAAAACTCCCTTATCATCTTTTCTCATCTTTGATCTCTTATTTAATATGCTCTGCACTTCCCTCTATTTTGTTGAGGGTACAAGCAGATGAGTGATAAATATTTTACTTCTCTTTAGTAGGTATCTGTCAATAGAATAGTTTCTTTTTCTCTTGAGTATTATAGTCTTCGACTTTTTAATAGGGTAGAGTATTTTCTCCACACATTGTTCAAGTCAAAATTTCTGTTGTTTACCTACGAGCATGTCATGTAGTCCCGGCGTTTGTCCATCTTTAGTGAGTTTGGTTGTCCAACTGGTTGTTGCTGGAATCCTTAGCTCTGCTCTTATACTCAGAGCTGACCAGCATGGAGCAAATTTTTGATATTTTGTGGGCTTTGCTGATCTTTCTGTCTTGTCTTTTTTTGAGGCATGGAATTTATTTTTATTTTATTTTAGTCTTTTGAAGCAGGGTCTTGCTCTGTTGCCCAGCCTGGAGTACAGTTGCACAGTTAGAGCTCACTGTAGCCTCTAACCCCTGGGCTCAAGTGATCCTCCTGCCCCAGCTTCCTGAGTAGCTGGGACTATAGGTACATGCCACCATGGCTGGCTAACTTTTTTTACTTTTTGTAGCAATGGGATCTTGTTATATTACCCAGGTGGTCTCAAACTCCTGGGCTCAAGCAATCCTTCTGCCTTGGCCTCCCAAAGTGCTGGGATTATAGGTATGAGCCACCATGCCTGGCTGCATGGAATTTATTTTGATAGTTTCAACAGTATTTGCTTTTTGTCCTAGGCAGACATAGTGAATGCAACATACATATACATAGCCAACTACTGAGCATTATATGTCCATGACCATTCCAAGCTTGCTCCGCTAGCTACTAACTTTATATTCCTAGTCACTTTCCTTTGCTGGGAATGGTTGTCTTGGAATAAATGTAAGAAAAATGATGTGTTTGGGGACTGCAGGAGATGAACCAACCCTGATCACCTTATAAAGTAGCTTTGTGAACCAAGTTGGGGTGGTGGTGGGGCTTCCTCCTCTGGTAGGTCTGTGAGCCCATGTCTTCATGGCAGAGGCAAAGCAGAGATAAAGGAATAGAGACTGTCCCCTCCCCAGTCCTGCCCTGCTCACCATGCATGGCATTCCTCTTGGGCTTCAGGACTTGGACTTCACTGGACCTTTGGTTAGTGACAATTCCTCTTGGTTTCTGGCACATAGTTGTGCAGTATTCCTGGTTTCTACTGTTTTTGAAGGTTGGTATTAATCATTGTTATTTCTTAAGCATTTCAATAGGAGTTGCTAGCTTTTGCCTTAGAAGTACAAAATTAGTGAGTTGAAACCACCACTGCAAAATTATAACTGAGACAGTGAAAGAAATCTGACCTAACCAACTCCATCTTGCGTCTAACCTATAAGCTGTCTTTGTTCATTCCTGGGAACAGGCGCAACTAACTTTGGGAGGAACTTAGTTTATGGTTTACCTTTGAAACAAAGACAACAGCAGCTCTTTCCTGAAACAAACCCCCTTCTTGCCTGGAGACTAGACTGCATTTGTAGGACTAACAAATTAGTCAAAAGATTATAAATTATGATTTAGGAGTCATATAGCTGGAGGCTGCAAGATTCTGACTACCCCCAAATTGCTCCTGGAGATAATGTCAGTATTGTAAAACCTAAGATTAGTGCTTGAGATATTTTGCAGATGCTGTACTTGATGGATCAGCTGGCACCACCCAGGTGGCTAAACTGGCTCATCTGATCTTGTGACCCCCACCCAGGAACTGACTCAGCATAGGAGGACAGCTTCAACTCCTTATGATTTCATCTTCAACCCAACCAATCAGCACTCCTGACTAACTGGCCCCTACTCACCAAACTATCCTTAAAAATTCTGATGGCCGAATTCTCGGGGAGACTGATTTGAGTGATACTAAAACTCTGGTCTCCTGCACAGACAGTTCTGTGTGAATTACTCTTTCTCTACTGCAATTCCCCTCTCTTGATAAATCGGCTCTGTCTAGGCAGTGGGCAAGGTGAACACATTGGGTGGTTACAAGTTTTTTCTTCTTTTTTTTTTTCTTCAGCCTAGATATACACATGCTAACACTGTCAATGGATCAAAACATATTTGCTTTACTGGGCTCACTTAGACTTGAAAAGCCCAGTTAACAGTGTAGCTCCCAAGGAGGCACATGTACTTCATGCCTGTGACCTCTGGCATTCATGGCCTGCAACATCTGTTGATTTGACAAGCTAAGGTAGTAGTTTTCCAACTGTGCTCAACAGAGTCCTCAGGCTTTATGCCGCTGTGTCCCCTTAAAGACTGTTTAGGGTGGGATTGAGTGTGTGAAGCCCTGAGCTTTGTATATCATGTTAGCCAGAGCAGCTCAGTTTTTCTTTTAAACTTTTATTTATTTTATTTTATTTCATTTTTTTTGAGATGGAGTCTCACTCTGTTGCTTAGGTTGGAGTACAGTGGTGCAATCTCGGCTCACTGCAACCTCCACCTCCCATGTTCAAGCCATTCTCCTGCCTCAGCCTCCCAAGTAGCTGGGACTACAGGAGCCCGCCACCATGCCTGGCTAATTTTTGTATTTTTAGCAGAGATGAGGTTTTGCCAAGTTGGCCAGGCTGGTCTCAAACTTCTGACCTCAGGTGATCTGCTCACCTTGGCCTCCCAAAGTGCTGGGATTACAGGTGTGAGCCACCACTCCCAGCCCTAAACTTTTAATTTTTATATAATTCTGGGTTTACAGAAGAGTTCCAAAGATAATACAAAGATTTCCCACATAACCTTTGCCCAGTTTGTCCCATTATTAACATATGATGTTGTCAGGCATCTGAGCCCAAGCTAAGCCATCATATGCCCTGTGACCTGCACATATACATCCAGATGACCTGAAGCAACTGAAGAACCACAAAAGATGACATTCCACCACTGTGATCTGTTCCTGCCCCACTCTAACTGATCAATTGACCTTATGACAATACACCCTCCCCACCCTTGCAATAATGTATTTTGTGATACTCCCCCACCCTTAAGAAGGTACTTTGTAATATTCTCCCCACCCTTGAAATGTACTTGGTGAGATCCACCCGCTGCCCACAAAAAATTGCTCCTAACTCCACCTCCTATCCCAAACCTATAAGAACTAATGATAATCCCACCACCCTTTGCTGACTCTCTTTTCGTACTCAGCCCACCTGCACTCAGGTGAAATAAACAGCCATGTTACTCACACAAAGCCTGTTGGTGGACTCTCTTCACACAGACATGCATGACAGATGGAACCATGGTACATTCATGAAAACTAAAACGTTAACTTACTCTTAAATATTAAACTAAAATATTATTAGTTAACAGACTTAATTGGATTCCACTGATTTTTTTTCCATGAATGAGCATTTTTGAGCGGCTCAGTTATCTGTTTTGCCAGTTGTGCCCCATGTGAGGTTTTGTTTAGACAAAGAGTTGAATAGCTGCTTCTCTTCCCAGGTTTTCCTTACTTCCCCTTGTATATGCTCAACTACTGCTACATGGACCTGGGGGAAAGGTAGAACTGCAGCCTCCCTTTCCATCATCTCAACATGCTTTCACATCTATTACTTCCTAAACTCTCTATTATCCTTATGTGGTCAAGGGAAATTGAACAGATTTAAAAAACATTTTTGCTTTACAGATTGAGAAATTGAGGCACAGAGAGGTTGACTGACTTGTAGGTAAGAGTGAAATGGAAGTGAGTGTCTTCACTCTTGGTTGACATTCTTAGTCTCTCCACAAAGTCTCAGGTGAGCAAAACATACCTGAGAGAGAGAAGCTGATCAGCCTCCGACTTCCTTGTCCTTGGACGGTCTCATCAGCACCAATGCTTTTAAAAATCTGTAAAAAGAAGGAAAATGGGAGACAAACAAAACAAGCACTGAAATGGATATTCACACTTCAACACAAGCATGGTTATTCACAGTGATTTTACCAGCTACAGGCAACGAAGACAGTGATTTCACTGGGCAACTATTGATTAAAACAACTTTCTAGCAACCTAATGTTTTTCCCAGTAGTAGAGGATCTGCTAGTGGGGGTGATGGGTACTTTTCAGGAAAATGGAAATCAACAAACACAATTACTGTAATAGAAAAGACCCTTTGTAACTACTTATGCAAACCATGTCTTTTCACATTCAAATTTGCAAAAAGTATTTATTAAAGCAGGGCCTAAGGCACTAGAATGATAGGTCAATAGATGTTTACTATTGTAATTATAATGTATTTCCATTTAGCAAAGTAGAGTGTTGAACTGCTGCATCTCCACTTATTATTATTTAGGGATTTCCAGGAAACTGCTGGAGAGGAGCCTGAACAAGGCATTAAGGAGCTCTTCTGAGGTCTCTCTTAATTAATCAATTGCCTTCCTCGGAAATTTCAGAACACAATTGTTACATGGATTATCTAGAATCTAGTAGGTATTTGAAAACAATGTTGCTAAAATGTTTTGTTTTTCATCATTGCTCAATATTTAGTAATAGGTTAATCAAAATAGCTAGGGTTTTTGCTTCCATTCTCTTCTAGGAAGGTTTTATTCAGAAATGATTTTGAGTATTTGAAGGCAGAATGACTCTTCCTATTTGCCTTTGCATGTGTTGTATGTTTGCAGAAAATAATTTTAAAACTCTGGGTATTAAGCAAATCCACAGTGTCCATTTTTTAGAAGGTAATCTGTACTAGGAAGAGAAAAATGAAAATATCCATAATCTCTTGCTCAGAGTCTCACTATTTGTAGATTGTGTGGGTTCAGTCTTTTTCTTTCTTCTCTTAGTATTCTTGATGCTGTATAGGTTGTGATTGGATATTCACATCAACCTGCCTGATATGAGACTGGGAGTAATGACTGGGCATCACAGGGCTCACAGCTTCAGGCAAGGGGAGTACAAAGGGATTATTATTCATCTTTTCACACTGAAGCAGGTGCCCCTGGTGAGCCTGTGAGCTTGGCTGCTGCTTGTAGACAAATCTTGGTATGACTGCCCTGAAGCCCAAATGTGATGTGCATCTCAGGGATCCTGGGCTGTTCAGCAGAGGGAGCCAACCAGTGGAGTGACATACGGAATGGGGCTCGGCACCAGGCCAGATAAGAGATTGTCAAATTCTTTGACACATGTCTGTCCCTTAGAGTCTCATTTGATAAGAATCAGAGTAAAACATGGCCAGGATTGGTGAGTCAAAACTCTCATAGGTCCTGAGGTGTTATGAAAACTTGAAACTTACATTTGTCTTAAAGCTGCCTTTGCAAAATTATGGCTGAGACAGTGAAAGGGATCTAACTTAACTGACTCCATCTTGCTTCTAACCTCCAAGCTGTCCTTGTTCATTCCTGGGCATAGGCTGAACTAACTTTAGGAGAAACTTAGTTTGTAGTTTACAGTTTAAACAAAGACAGTAAAAGCCCTTTCCCAAAGCAGATCTCCTTCTTGCCTGGAGACTAGATTGTCTTTGTAGGACTAACGTTAGCTGCAAGATTAGAAATTATGGTTTAGGAGTCATGCAGCTGGAGGCTACAAGATTCTGGCCCTCCCTAAATTGCTCCTGAGATCAGTGTTTGAGATATTTCATAGACCCTGCACTTGATGGATCAGCTGGCACCACAAGATCAACAAACTGGCTAGTCTGATTTTGTGGCCCCCACCCAGGAACTGACCCACTGCAAGAAGACAGCTCCGACTCCCTATGATTTCATCTCTGACCAATCAGCATTCCTGGCTCACTAGCTTCCACCCCCTCCAACCCACTACTCCACCCTGCCCCACCAAGTTATCGTTAAAAACTCTGTCCCCTGAATGCTCCGGGAGATGGATTTGAGTAATAATAAACTCCGGTCTCCCGCACAGCACAGCCGGCTCTGCATGAATTACTCTTTCTCTATTGCAATTCCCCTGTCTTGATGAATCGGCTCTGTCTAGACAGTGGGCAAGGTGAACCCTTTGGGCAGTTACAGTCTCATTGGAATTCCTTCCTCAGGAAACTGACTCTCAGGTGAGGGACTGAAACTCACCAGATGCCCAGATCTAGACCATTGGATGCCATACCCCTTATTCATCTTCCTTAGTTCCTTAGACTCCTCCTTTGTTCCTGTTTTACATTCCTTCCCTGATATATAAACCCCAATTTTAGTTGCTCAAGGAGATGGATTTGAAACTTAACTCTTATTCTCCCAGTTAACATCACCCAAATAAAAAGCCTTCTTTCCTGGCAATACTCATTGTCTCAGTGATTGGCTTTCTATGCATGGAGCAATGGGACCTAGAATAAATCCCTGGCATTTTGACAACAATTAGCCTTCTTCACATCAGAGGGCCTTCTCCCTCCTCCTTTATGTCTGTTATTCCCATCAATGGCTGACACCAAGAAATGGAGATCAGCCATCAGTTCAGAGACCACATCCTCAGGCTAGACCATGCTTTTCTTAACTCTGAAGGTGGCCAGTCCTCATGGCATAATCAGGGCTTCCAAATTCCTTAGTGTTGTGGACTTTTCTTCTCTTGCAAGCCTGTGCCTGGACATGGCTGTGGGAGACCTCCACATGCTGACCACCCCTCCTCACAGTGCTATACTGCACCACCAGGACAATTAACAATCAATGGCTAAAGCCTCTGGCTCCTAATTCTAATTTAAAAATGTCCACCCCAAATTTGTCTCTTTCTAAGAATAAAAGTTCTTTGGGGGAACAATAGAAACTATAATTTTAATAATTATAGTTTATAGAATCGTAAGTCTAGAGTATGTGCATTCCAATGTATATTTTTTAAAAGTATAGGATTAAATGGCGTATTTCATGCTAAGCTGAAATGAGCTCAAACATGCAATGATAACAAAGGATGGTACATTTATTCCTTCCTTTTTAAAGCATACATATTTTGGTTCTTCATATTTAAATACTCCTCTGCTGGCATTCATAGTATTTACAAAGAAGCCTCTTCATCTTTATTGCATCAAAAACAGGTCTGTAGATGAAAAAAAAAAAAGAAGAAGAAAAAAGAGTATGTTTTCCAAAAGCTACTAAGCTCAGTGAGGAGACACATCATTTAAGTCTCCATAAAATCCCACCTAAATTCTTGGCTTTTCACTAACATCATTTACAAAGTCATCTAAGCACCACACTGATGATACAAAAATGGAGGGAATGGTAGCCATAATAAACATTTTCCAGGAAGTAAAAATGTTTGCCCAGTCTTAGGAAGGTTTGACAACCTGACTTCTCACTCGAGATGCGTTGCAGAAGCATGTTTGACGTTGAGAAATATGCTATACTCACAGACAGACTCTTTACAGTTTATTGACTGTGAAAATGATGTGAAGACTCAGCCCAAATAGTTTCACCCTGGAGCAACCTGAGGCTGCAGGCCTGCCAGGGACATGGCTGGTCTTCTCAGGGCTGACAAGCTCCCTTTGCTCTGTGGCTTGTCTGATGCCTGACTACCATTCTAACTGCTTGGTGCTGGGTCCTGTTGCCCCCCCTCTCTCTGTTGAAGCTCTGGCAGTTTCACTGTGTGTGTCTTGCACCCAAATGTTTCCACAACAGAGCATACTTGGCAAATGGTTTAACAGATTCCAAACTGAATCTGTTGTGGGGTGTAGAAGATTCTGCAGGGTATTGAGAAGCTCTTGGAGTTAAATTAAGAGCTTTGAGGTTAATTCAGATGTCTTTCTCTCCTACTCTCATTCTCATTTTCTCTCTACAATTGCCTTTTGAAAAGTTGTAAATATGAATTCACACCACTGTTGCACACCCCTAAAACTGCAATTCAGCAAAAGAGTGTGAAGATCAGCTCTTTTCACCCTGGCAGGGGATCTTCTGTTTCAGCAGTCCGGAGACTATAGCTCAGTTGACAGGGCTCCCTCGGCCTTTAGTCTCCAGCATGTTATTCAAATTTTACCCTTTCTTTGCACAGTATCACTGCATGAAAGATGAGGTGGTTTGCTAAAAATACACAGCAGCATCTAATCACACAGTCATATATGTGTGCTGACCTATATCCCAGGTCTTCCAGCCTCCCAAGACATCAGGGCTTCTCATACAGGCCCCTTCTGTTCCCAGAGGTAAGCAGCTATGCCCAAGGGCAAGGGTGCCTGCCTGGGAACATCATTTTACCCAAAATTTTGGGTTAAATTGTCTTTATTTTAAAAACAAATATGAAGAAACCTAAAGCTGAATGCCAAATGAGCATGTATTTGGAAGGTAAAGCAGGAGATTTCGAAGAACTTTCTAAGCTGCCTCTTGGAATGGCCCAGACCTGGGTTTACTTCCTTTGGGTAAAAGCTGGAGCTGCTCCCTTTAGTGCATATGGCATTTCCAATAGGAGTGTGGCCACATTATGCTCAATTCTGATGTGATAACTCCATTTACATACCCACGATTATTCTCAAATAATTACAGAATTATTTCCCCTAAACATGCTGACAAGGTTTGTTTTAGTTATAGAACAATTAAATTGACAATGAGGCAGAGATTAAAATTCATTATGTCACTGAGTCTTATTCATCTGGCCCAGAAAACTTTGATTTGCCTATAAATGAAAAGTATAAGGCTCCATAATAATAATGGAACCTAAAAATGAGGTGAAAATATCATTACATTATCATAATATGTAAGCTGTGGTGTATTGGCAGCTGAAAGTAGGGAATTACGAGTTCCACTTTGCATCAGAGATCTAGGGATTCCTCTAAAGTTCAGTATCTTTTACCTCCAAGACAAAGTCTATTAAATAATCAGATAGGCCTCAAAGCCACCTTAAAAGAGCAAGAAACAAAACTAAAAAGCAAACCAACCAAAGGCCCAAGTTCCTTTTCCACCTCCAAATCTCTGAGATGTTCAAACAAGTAAATGGTAGATAAGTAAACACACCTTACCCACGTTTACAGAGCACTGCTGAGTGCATTTCCCTCATTAGACCCTCATTATATGACTGTCATTCTAACTGCTTGCTGTTGGAGGCAGCACATTTCAAGTTCTCCAACAGAAAGACCTGTAAACTGAAAGGGCAAAGCCAACTTTAGGGGCCTAAACAAAAGAAACATAAGCCAACTGAATCCCAAGGAAATCTCCCCAACCTCAGGGACACTTGAGATAAAGACTAAGAAGTCCCAACAAAGGGGCTGGGGAAAGCAACACAGGTGAGTGGCACAGAGCCAGTTCTTCCATACGCACTATTTTAACTGTTTAAGAATTAGGTATCATTCACTCCCACTCCTGCTTACAAATGTGAAAGCTGAGCTAAGAACAATTCAATGACTTTGTTCCCGGACCAAACTGAGGGTCAGGCTGCTATTTCTCGTGGCCCAATAATGAGATACAGATGAACTGGGGAGGAAGAGAGTTTTCATTTCTATAACCAGCTACAGGGAGAAGATATAGAGATTATCACCAGACCAACTCAAAATTACAAAGTTTTCCAGAACTTACATACCTTCTAAGCTATATGTCTACGTGTAAGTGTGCATTCACCTAAAGATGTAAGTGATTAACTTCTTTTAATCTATGACTAAGGTCTGAGTCCTGAAGACCTTCTTCTGGAGCCTCAGTAAGTTTATTTAATTTAAATGGGTCTAGGTGCTAGGATGATTACCCTTATCTTGTCTCCTGCCAAATTCTAAAGGTTTGGGGAGTTCCTTTAGACCCCAATAAACTTGTTTGTGGAGGCCTGGGGAGTTTTTTCAGACCCCCAATAAAACTTGTTTAATTCTAAAAGGGTCCTGTTAAGAATTCCCTCCTTATCTTGTCATGCTTCAAGGCCCAGGAAAAGCCTAGGCAAAACTCTTGGTGGGCTCTTTGTTACATTCCAGCCATTGTATAAGGGCACTGGCTCAATCAGCTTTTAATGTTTAACCTAGCTCCTCAGTCAGTGCTGGGACAGTTGTAACGGAGGCCTGTGTTAGTGAGACCTGGCCTGCCACAACTTCACAAAATTCACTTGAGATGAATCAATATTTGGTCTGAAAGACTTAAAACAAGAGTTTCAGAACTCACTACCCCAACTCCATAGAGTCTGTTAACCCCCTGGGGTCATTTCCTCAGATCTAGCCTGGCTGCTTGCATCTCTTTTGCTCATATTTTGTTCATATTCTGCCTCCACAACTCTGCTGTTTTTTTTTTGTTTTTTTTTTTAAGAGTTGCTTGCTGTGCCACCCAGGCTGGATGCAGTAGCACCATCATAGCTCACTGCAGCTTTGACTTCCTAGACTCAAGTGGTCCTCCCACCTCAGACTCCTGGGTAGCTGGGACTACAGATGTGCACCACCATGCCTGGCAAATTAAAAAAATTTTTTTGTAGGAACGGGGTCTCACTATGTTGCCCAGGCTGGTCTGGAATTTCTGGGCTCCAGTGATCCTCTTGCTTTGGTCTCCCATGTGCTGAGATTCCAGGCATGAGCCACCATGCGTGGCCTCCCTTTGCTTTCTGATGCCACCATCACCAAGCCAGCTTCCAGTCTGCACAGCTCCTGCTTTCTTTACCACCTTGAAGACAAGGCACAGGGTCCTCAATTTCAGGGCTCTTATGCTAATCACTACGAGGAAAAAGAGAGGGGTTGGAAAAATGAGGCATTTATCCTATAGCTTTCATGGTGCGAATTGGAAATAATGAGTTAATTAGGAATGATTTTCTTTACTCTGATTGCTTTTGACCACACAGGCCTGCAAGATTTTAGCACCAGGAATACATCTCCTTCAGGCAAAGATCTGCTGCTTTTAGCTTACTAAAAATAATGAGGGGGCCAGGTGGGTGGCTCACACCTGTAATCTCAGCGCTTTGGGAGGCCAAAGTGGAAGGATCACTTGAGGCCAGGAGTTCAAAATCAGCCTGAGCAACATTGTGAGACTCTTTCTCTACAAAAATTTAGTCAGGCATGGTGGTGCACACCTGTAGTCCCAGTTACTTGGGAGGCTGAGGTAGGAGGATCCCTTGAGCCCAGGAGTTCAAGGCTGCAATGAGCCATGATCACACCACTGCACTCCAGCCTGGGTGACAGAATGAGATCCTGTCTCTTTAAAACAACGACAACAACAACAACAACAACAACAACAGCAACAACAATGTGATGAGAATGTGTAAGAAGCACTGTGCAAATGAAAATGCTAGCTGAGATTAATCCAATAGTAGATTTTCCCTGACGGTTCTTAGGGTGTAAAGTGATTCTTCTCTAACATAGCTTCTTGTGTAGTGCAGACTGTTCTAAAAGTGAGGACATACATTGTACTGAGTCCTAAAAAATAATTGAGTGGCATCTGCTCTAGTGCAGAGGTTCTCCAACTTTAGCATGCATCAGAATCGCCTACAGGGCTTGATAAAACACACATTGCTGGGCCCACCCCCAGAAGGACTGATTTTGTAAGTCTGGGGACGGCTCCAGCAGTCTGAATTGCTAACAAGTTCCCAGGTGACGCTGACGCTGGCGGTGGAGGGACCACACTTTGAGAAACACCACTCTCAAGGGTCTACATCTCTTAAATGGTAATGGAAAGATAGACATCTTAAAGTTGTCTCTAACTAAACCTCACCTACCCTCAAAACTGTCTTTCCCTGACTTGCGTGAGAATTAGATTCTGGCGACCCCTTGGCCACACAGGCTTTTGTTTTCAGGGCTTGGGCCTGCATCTTCCACTAGAAACAATGACCTGCTTCTTTGCATCCCCATCACTGGCACCTTGGTCCAGGCCCCACTCCTTTCTTGTCTGGATGACCATTACCCAGCCAGCTGTCCCCTCGGCCTGTGAAGGGGTCATCATCCCACCCTCTGTAGGCCAATCATTCTTACCTGGTTCAAACTCATCAAGAGGCACCCACTGGCACAGGTAAGGCTGGGCAGTGGGCTGCATGGCAAACTGTTGGGGTTTTCTTTGGCTCACAGAGTGTTTCAGCTGGGCATGGTGGCACACACCTGTAATCCCAGCTACTCGAGGGGCTGAGGCATGAGAATTGCTTGAGCCCAGGAGGCAGAGGTTTCAGTGAGCTGAGATTATGCCACTGCACTCCAGCCTGGGCTAGTCTCAAAAACAAAACAAAACAAAAAAACCCAGAATATCCAGCAGTAACACCCTGGGGCTGAGAAACAGTATCCTCCTCAGAAGCATCACACATCCCCAGGTGTCCTGTGACTGCTTCTTTCATTCCAAGCACCCACTGCTTCACGTTTGATAATCATTATGCAGTACACCACTCATAAGTCTTGTAATTAAAATTAGGAAGTTTTTCTAGCTTGGCAATATGAAAATCAATGGTTGGTCTGAAAGTCCATGGCATTTTAGATCTGATGACATGTGATAATGACCTGGCTCCCTGGAAGCTTTTGAATTTGCAGTTCTTGTCCTGAACATTTGACCTACAAATGTGATGTTGGCCATTATTGTATTGCATAATAACCAAGTCATGTTTTATTCCTTCTTTACAAAGAGATAAATAATTCAGGAATGCATGTTGAATTCCCTGGATGTGGAGTGGATGGATGGTTGGGAGCATTTACGGAGGTGGTCACAGGCAGGTGTACAATATGGTGTGAAGAGGCAGCCAGGCTGGAGCCAGCATGTCCCTTTCTCTGCCAGCTCCTCCTCTGTCTGTGTTAGGGTGAGGCAATCAATTGCTCTAATGCTCAGTTTTCTTTTGCATCAAATGGAGATCATAATAAAACGTATCTCACTGAGTTCCCCTGAGAACGGAATGGCATAATGTGTATAAAAGTGTCACATAATACATGTTCTAAATCAGGCTAATGTTGTTATTTATATTGTATTTGTTTTTTAACCTCTGACTTCTATCTTAAGAATTATGTTAGCAGATTATCTAATATCTGATTCCTTACTTTATAGATGAAAAACGTGAAGCATAAGCTAGTCAATCAAGGGGCCCACGAGGTCACATAACTGGTCACACCAGACAAATCGGGGCCAGAGCCCAGAATCCTGAACCCTCCATTCACTGTGGAGGAGAAATCTGTTGCCCTTTGTTAGATCATTTGGTCCAGCTTAGAAGAGTTATAAATATACCATAAGCTGAAAACCAACAAAAAGCATTGGTCTGTGTCTAACACCTATGAGTTATCAGTATGGTAATTTATATCCTTTAAAAAGGCTTCCTATGTAAATGTCTTGCTGCTGTTAGCATTTTCTGCATGTCTACAAGTCTGTAAAAGACCTGAAGATGGATGGTCCTGTTTCTCTAGTTGGTTATGGAATTAGATAAACATACAGGCAGAAGCAAGAAGGAAAGTTTCCTTTGTAAAAAGTATTTAAAACTTACTTTCTCCTTCAAACTTGAGGAACCTGAGTCCTTTAATCAGAAAGACACCAACACTGTAGTAGTTTTGGTGAATAAAGACCACAGAGAAAGACCTGGATCCTCTAAGACTTAGAAAAAGGTAGAACAGGAAGAGTGAAGATGAATCCGTTTCCATAACCTCGATCCATTCAAAGCCAGCCCAAGGGAAGGGGCTGGCTGGGGGCTGTGTGAGGAGGGGAGGGAGAACAATGGGATTGGTGGTGGGGAGAGATGGAAAGGGAGTGGGAGAATGAGGGCTGATGGTTTCATGACAAGAAAGAGCTGCTGTGAGGAAAAGATGGGACCAAAACACAGTTCTGGAAGCTGCCTCAGTACCTTCTAAATGGCTGGATCATGTTTCTGCCCATCCAGACTCTATTTGAAATACACACCTCAGGAAAACAAATGCGTTGCCTGGCATGCCACACTCATCTGGATTGACTTAATATGTGGGTAGTCTTGGCCTTATGTTTCTATCCTGTTTTCTAAGGAATTCATGTCAAGCTGCTATTTTAATTATTTTGTAAACAAAACCTGTCCTTATGTGAAATAAAAAATAAAAGCACAGTGCGGTGAGCTTCTGTTAGCTTCTACACCCTTCAGCTGGCCCAAATGAGGGAACTGATGGACACATTCCTCCCTCATCTGAGCTGATTTGAGAGTCCATGGACCTGAGATGAGGGCTTACAACTTGAGATGATAGGTGACACAGCTGAAGCTGGTGGGGAAGTGGGTGGGGCAGAATTTCTGGAAGGGTTTAATTAGAAGACAGCAGAAACATGCAGGGGGGGCAGGAACATCTCCCTGATTGCTTTGGCATCACGCTGGATCTAGGGGCAAGTGTTGGCAGCTCATGTAGGGTAAGTTGTTTGAGCTGGGGCAGCACTGCTTCTTCAGGGCTCATGCACATCCCTGGGAGTGGGTTTCTGTATCATGTGGGTAGTTAGAAACTCTGGGCTGAGTCGGGATGGCTTGGCTCTTCTCTTTCCTCCTCCACCTTCAACCTCCAAATACCAGGATGACTAGGGGGACCCTTCTGAGCCTTTGCAGCAGGCAGAATTCTAAGATGGGCCCCAAGATTTCCTGCCTCTGTGGTGTATGTGCTCAGGGACTGTGAATTACTCTGGAATCAGGATAGCTGACTTTAACAAAGGGACATTATAAGGGGCTGACTGAATCACACAAATTCTTTCAATCTGGGCCTAGAGGTCAAAGAGAGAGAGGAAGTCAAAGATTCAAGGTGAGAAGGGTTTGACACACCATTGCAGGCTGGAAGATGGAGGGGACCACGTGGTAAGGAATGTGGGCGGCATGAAGGACCCAGGTTGGCCCCTGGCTGAGTCAGCAAGGAAACAGGAAACAGGCACTTCTGTCCTAACCACAAGGAACTGAATTCTGCCAACAACAAGAATGAGCTTGAAAGTAGGCTTTTCCACAGAACTTCCAGATGAGAACTCAGCCTGGCTGACATTGATTTCAGGTATTTTACCTTGCAATAGACTGAGCAGAGAATCCAGCCATGCTGTCCAGGACTTCTGACCTATAGACCCACGAGCTAACTTTGTGATAATTTGTAACACAACAAAATAGGAAATGAATACAACCTTCTTCAAGCAATTTCCTTCATGATCCAAAGCTCATTTTCAACATATTCTTTTGCCTTGGGAGAAATATCTGCCTGATTGTAGAACCAACAACAGTTGTATTTCTCCTGGGAAACTATGGCTGGTCTTCATCTTCTGGAAACCATGAACTGTGTAATTGGCCTTGCTCTTCTGTTAGCAAGGGCAACATGAACTCATGGAGATCAGCCCCTTACCCCAGCTCTCTGAGGGACGGCTCTGCCATGGTGTAGGAGCTGCCCCAGGCTTTACCAAGACCATGTGAGTCAGACTGGGGGTGGGGAGGTGGGTGGGACTTGGGCATCTGTCCTCTTTAAGGCTCCCAGGTGAGTCCAGTGTATACTCAAGGATGTGAATCACAAAATTAGAGGGCAGAAGACAGAGGCAGAGAGACTAATTTGGAGGCAGCTGCAACAGTGTCTGAGTGACACTGACACAAACCCTGTCTGTCAGTACGCAGGAGGGGAGGGGAGAGGGGAGGGGAGGGGAGAGGGGAGGGGAGGGGAGAGGGGAGGGGAGGGGAGAGGGAAGGGGAGGGGAGAGGGGAGGGGTGGGGAGAGGGGAGGGGAGGGGAGAGGGGAGACTGCCAAGTGATAAAATGGATAGAACTTGGTGACCGATTGGAAGAGGGTGTTGAGGGAAAGAGAGATGCCCCTTTGGCTGAACCCGTTTCTTTGAATTCAGGATCTTTTTCTTACAAATTATGAAACTCCTTGTAATTATTGTCCTTCCAGAACTGCGTTTTGTCCTTTATCACCAAGTCTAGTTAAGGATGCAGGAGTGACAAGAGTTAGCTCTTTTCATCTAAGCATGTGAGGTTGGAGGGAGAAACTGCTTTGATTCTACTTTTTAAAATAGCGATTAAACCAAACGACTGCAAAGCCTTTGGGTAAATGAAATCATAGGAAGTGTGTCGGTTGCTGTTCCATCTGGGTCAGACAGTCTGCTTAGTGAAGACAAGGGCTGCATTTTGCATAGAGCTCTTTCCAGCCACCCACTCCCTCTCACGGAATAGATGAGCAATTTTGAGGGATAATCCAAAGAAGAATGGACATGGCTCATTCATGTGAGTGTAATGGCAAAAACATGATAATATTTACTCCTCACTGAATGAAAAGATGCCTAGAAAATGATTTTTTTTAAAGGCAAACGTTTTCCCCCTCACTGACTTGCTTTAAAATTTCTAAGTTGTATTCCCATCTAAAAATATGTTTAAGTTTTAGGCAAAGACGTATTTTTTTCTTGCTAATGTAACATCTTTTTTCCTATGGACATGCCACATGGATACTTAGGAAAAGCTCTCTAAGGTCCAAGGGTGAGCTTGCTGCCAGCCCCAGGCACACCGCCATCTTGGGGCTCTGTCTTCCTGCAGCAGCTGCCACATTCCCTCCAGAGGTGTTCCTGGGGCTTCCTGCTACCCATGGGTTGCTGGATCATGGGATGAGTGAATTAATCTTTCATTAAATACTGGCCAGCATCCAAGAACTTCACACCTACCTTCTTCTGCATTTCCAGGGGGTACGTGGAGAACCCCAAGACAACACTCACTTGTGCTCTAGAAGTAACCGGTAGTAATTCTCAACAAATTACAGTTGACTCTTGAACAACATGGGTTTGAACTGTGTGAGTCTACTTACACATGAATTTTTTCAGTACACATATTTGAAAACATGTTGGAGTTTGCAACAATTTGAAAAAACTTGCAGACAAAGCACCAACTCAGAGACAGCAAGACCAACTCCTCCTCTTCCTCCTCCTCCTCCTCAGTCTACTCAATGTAATGACAAGGATGAAAACCTTTATGATGATCCACTTCCACTTAATGACTAGCAAATATATTTTCTCTTCCTTATGACTTTCTTAATATTTTTTCTCTAGCTTACTTTATTGTAAGAATATGGTATATAATACAAATAACATATAAAATATGTTAATCAACTGTTACTGGCAAGGCTTCTAGTTAACAACAGGGTGTTAGTGGTTAAGTTTTGGGGGAGTCAAAAGTTATACACAAATGTTTGACTGCATGGGGGATTGGAAGCCCTAAACTCCTGTGTTGTTCAAGGGCCAACTGCATTTTCTTAGAAATATTTGCTAATATCCAGAATCTACAAGGAACTTGAACAAATTTATAAGAAAATAACCCTATCAAAAAGTGGGCAAAGGATATGAACAGATGCTTCTCAAAAGAAGGTATTTATGTGGCCAATAAACATATGTAAAAAAGCTCATCATCACTGGTCATTAGAGAAATGCAAATCAAAACCACAATGAGATGCCATTTCACGCCAGTTAGAATGGCAATTATTAAAAAGTCAGGAAACAACAGATGCTGGCGAGGCTGTGGAGAAACAGGAATATTTTTACACTATTGGTGGGAGTGTAAATTAGTTCAACCATTGTGGAAGACAGTGTGGCAATTCCTCAAGGATCTAGAACCAGAAATACCATTTGACTCAGCAATCCCATTACTGGGTATATACCCAAAGGATCATAAATCATGCTACTATAAAGACACATGCACACATATGTTTATTGTAGCACGATTTACAATAGCAAAGACTTGGAACCAACCCGAATACCCATCAATGATAGACTGGATAAAGAAAATGTGGCACACATACACCATGGAATACTATGCTGCCATAAAAAAATAATGAGTTCATGTCCTTTGCAGGTACGTGGATGAAGCCAGAAGCCATTGTTCTCAGTAAACTAACACAGGAACAGAAAACCAAACACCACATGTTCTCACTCATAAGTGGGAGTTGAAAAATGAGAACACATGGACACAGGGAAGGGAACATCACACACTGGGGCCTGTTGGGTGGTGGGGGACAAGGGGAGGGAGAGCATTAGGACAAACCCCTAATGCATGTGGGGCTTAAAACCTAGATGACGGGTTGATGGGTGCAGCAATCCACCATGGCACATGTATACCTATGTAACAAACCTGCATGTTTAGCACATGTATCCCAGAACTTAAAGTAAGATAATAAATCCACATTTCAGTCATCATTTTGAACTATGTGCAATCCATCCACTCAGTTCACTCATTTATCCAACCCCTCCCCCCACATCTATCCTTCCATCTGGTGGGATAGATCCACTGTCTATTCATCTTACAGATACTATTCTAGGGTCAGTAAATTCCTTTAAAAGAGACATCTTGAATGAGGGATTAAGCTCCTGCTTATAGGCAGTAACTCGTTATTTTTTGCACTTTCCAGTTTTGTATATGTTGTCCAAATATGCATTTTCTCTATGATGTTGAAATCTATGTATTTTGTAACCAGAGAGCTGGAGTAGTCCCAGAGAGAAACATTATAGAAAAGCTCACAAAACAGTACTAATTAACTTTTACTGGGTAGTTACCCCATGTGGGGCAAGTGCTGAGAGCATCACAGGCATTGCTTCACCGCATCCTCAGACACACTTTCCACAGTCCTCTGAAGGGGCTTCTATTTTTTTTTTTTTTCTTTTTTGAGACGGAGTCTCGCTCTGTCGCCCAGGCTGGAGTGCAGTGGCGCGATCTCGGCTCACTGCAAGCTCCGCCTCCTGGGTTCACGCCATTCTCCTGCCTCAGCCTCCCGAGCAGCTGGGACTACAGGCCCCCACCACCATGCCCAGCTAATTTTTTGTATTTTCTAGTAGAGACGGGGTTTCACCATGTTAGCCAGGATGGTTTCGCTCTCCTGACCTCGTGATCCATCTGCCTTGGCCTCCCAAAGTGCTGGGACTACAGGCGTGAGGGGCTTCTATTTTTATCTTCTATCCATATCATTATAAATCCAGAATTTGAGGCTCAGCTGGGTGTGGTGACTCACACCTGTAATCAGAGCACTCTGGGAGGCCAAGGCAGGAGGACTGCTTGAGGCCAGGAGTTTGAGACCAGCCTGGGCAACACAGTGAAACCCCATTTCTAAAAAAATTTTTAAAAAATTATCAGCCAGGTGTGGTGGCTCACACCTATAATCCCAGCACTTTGTGAGGCCAAGGCAGGCAGATCACCTGAGGTCGAGAGTTTGCGACCAGCCTAGCCAACATGGTGAAACTCTGTCTCTACTGAAAATACAAAAATTAGCTGGGTGTGGTGGCACATGCCTGTAATCCCAGCTACTTGGGAGGTTGAGACAGGAGAGAGAATTGGTTACTTGAGAGGTCGAGACAGGAGACAGGAGAATCACCCGGGAGGTGGAGGTTGCAGTGAGCGGATATCGCACCACTGCACTCCAGCCTAGGTGACAGAGCAAGACTCCATCTCAAAAAAAAAAAAAAAAAATTAGCCATGCATGGTAGCATGTGCCTGTAGTCCTAGCTACTCAGGAGGCAAAGGTGGGAGAATTGCTTGAGCCCAGGAGTTCAAGGCTGCAGTGAGCTGTGATCAAGCCATTGCCCTCCAGCTTTGGTAACAGAGCAAGACTCTTGCCTCCAAGAAGTAAATAAATAAATAAAAGTAAGAACTTTAATTCACCACAGCACCAAGATTCTAAAATGCCATCCACAGGTAGAAGATATATAACAAAGAACTATATCCAGAATATATAAAGAACTACAAATTAGCATGAAAAAAGTAAACAGCCCAATGGGAAAAGAGGACAAAAGATTTTGCAAACTCTTCACAAAAGCAGGAATCCAATGGCCAATAAACCTGGGGTCCCTAACATGAAAAAATGTTCACTTCATTAATCATCAGGAAGATACAAATAAAGCTACACTGCAATACTACTACATACCCTTTCACAACTAAAAATAAAAAGACAATATCAAGTGTTAGCAAGGATGTGGAACAACTGGAGCTCTCATACACTGCTGGTGGAAGTGTAAATTTGTAAAACCACTTTGTAAAACTTTAGCAGAATCTACTAAAAATTATCATATGCATAAACCATGACCTAATAATTTCACCCTAATTATATACCCATCAAAAGTTACATATATTGGCCAGGCCTGGTGGCTCATGCCTGTAATCCCAGCACTTCAGGAGGCCGAGGCAGGTGGATCACCTGAGGTCAGGAGTTTGAGATCAACCTGGCCAACATGGTGAAACCCTGTCTCTACTAAAAATACAAAAAAATTACCCGAGTGTGGTGGTAGGTGCCTGTAATCCCAGCTACTTGGAGGCTGAGGCAGGAGAATCGCTTGAACCCAGGAGATGGAGGTTGCAGTGAGCCAAGATCTCACCATTGCACCTTAGCCTAGGTAACAAGAGCAAAACTTCATCTAGGGGGAAAAAATCACATACATTCACCAAAAAAATGTATAAAAATATTCATAGCAGCAACACTAAACCCAAATGTCCATCAACAGTAGAATAAACTGGTACAGTCACACAAAAGAATGAAAAACTACAGCACGATATGGATTAATCCTACAAAAGTAATGTTGAGCAAAAGAAACTCAAAGAGGCTGGGCACAGTGGCTCATTCCTGTAATCCCAGCACTTTGGGAGGACAAGACAGGAGAATCGCTTGAGCCCAGGAGTTTGAGACCAGCGTGGGCAACAAAGCAAGACTCCATCTCTACAAAAATTTAAAAATTTTTAAAAATATTAGCCAGGTGTGGTGGCATGTGCCTGTAGTCCTAGCTACTCAGGAGGCTGAGGCAGGGGGATTGCTTGAGCACAGGAGGTCAAAGTTGCAGTGAACCTGATAACACCACTGAATTCTAGCCTGGGCTACAGAGTGAGACCTTGTCTCAACAAAAGAGAAATTGAGGCCCAAGGCCACCAAGTTATTAAGTGGCTGAGCCAGGGAATAACCCATGTTTGTTGGATACAAATGTTTTATGGGCCGTCTGCTGTGTGCCAGGTACTGCTCTGGTGGGTGATAAGGAACAGCTCTGAAGAGGACAGGCAGGTACATCTCTGCCCCTGGAGGCTGCCCTTTAGGAGGGAGGCAAACACAATTACAACACGAGCACCATGAATGAAAATAGTGATTGGAGAAAATAAAGAGCTGTGTGGAGAATAGTTTAGATAGGGTGGTGATGTAAGGCCTCTCCCAGGAGGGGACATTTGAGAAAACGATCTAAATGGGGGGAGGGAGTGAATTATTTATTTGGAGGAACTGTCCCAAGCAGAGAAACCTGAAGTGCAAGGGCCCTGAGGGAAGAACCATCTTGCTGTATTCAAGGATTAGAAAGAGGACTCTCGAGGCTGGAATTAGGTGGAAAGAATGAGGCAGTGTCAGGCAAGGGCAGAGCAGCAGGAATGATGGTGAAAAAGCCACTGGAGAGTTCTGAGTGGAATCGTTATGTAATGGGATGGAAGTGATTGAGCGGAGAGGACAGTGGACTATGCAGGAGAAGGAGGAGCTACTTTCAGGATCAAGGCTGCATAAAGACAAGATGGGATGGGATCCCATGTGCAAATGGAGAGGCTGGCCTGAGACAGTTGTCACTGGAAGGAGGCACAGCATGGGAGTGTGTGTGCAGGCAGGCTGGCTGTGTTCTGATTGCCTTCATTTCTCAGTGAGAGAGGGAAGGGCACTCTAGGTGTGAGGAAAATGGAAGTGTAAAGCAGCCTTCTCTCCACATCAGAGAGGTGCAGTGCTTCTGGGATTGAGCGTTAAAGGGAGCTTGAGATCTGTGGTCATAAGATTAAAGGAACACTCTTATGCTGCCTGCATGCAAGTAAAGAGTGGACAGAGAATTAAGTTTAACGAGGGTGGGGTTTTGCCAGGTGAGGGTGATGGGTTTTGTTTTACTTCAGTTGTGCTCTTAACTTCCTATGCCTATTAGTCCAACACAGTGCTTGTGTGAGCAAGGGCACACCGCCCCCCCATAAGCAATAACCACCCCATGTTCTATGTCTGGAAGGTAGGTTGTCCCTATTTTCTTTCCTGTTCAAAGCGCAAAGGGTTTTTTATTTTGTTTTTTGAGACAGTCTTGTCTGTTTCACCATCATTCCTGCTGCTCTGCCCTTGCCTGACATTGCCTCCTTCTTTTGTTTTTATTTTTGTTTTTTGAGACAGTCTCACTCTGTTGCCCAGGCTGGAGTGCAGTAGCGCAATCTCAGTTCATGGCAACCTCTGCCTCCTGGGTTCAAGCTATTCTCATGCCTCAGCCTCCTGAGTAGCTGGGATTACAGGTGCACACCACCACACTCAGCTAATTTTTTGTATTTTTAGTAGAAATGGGGTTTCACTATGTTGGCCAGGCTGGTCTCAAACTCCCGACCTCAAGTGATCCACCCGCCTTGGCCTCCCAAAGTGCTAGAATTACAGGTGTGAGCCACCATGCCTGGCCGAAAGTGCCAAGGGTTTTAACCATGCGTATTTGGGATGTCTGACAGGACAATGCAGAATCTTTCTAAGGCAGGTTATCTGAGAGAGCTCCGCTCATAAACCACATGATTGTTCTAGATAGCTCTTTGTTACAGGCTGCTCTCTGAAAAGTTAGATTCTCCTGCTCTTGAATAATCCTATTCCTGACAAGTCCTCTCCTCTCTCCTCATCCAGTAGTCACTGTGTACACAGGAGAGCAAAATCACCTCATATTTGCTAAGTCCTTAATAAAAGGCAAACTAAAGAGACTTAGAAATTTCTAGAAATGAAGGGTCTACAAAGAAGATGATTAGATTAGAATAACTAGATTACAAAAATATAATGTTGACAATTTTAAGCAAGCAAGCTTTTTTTCAAATCTGAAAGTGTAACACACATATATACATATTATATACTTGGCTAATAAAATTAAGTAGTTTCCAATTAAACTCAACTCTTTAAAACACAACTATTTATTAGTGACTATGTGTAAATGTATAAATTTGGATGTATAACTACATTGTACCCATAAACTGAGCATTAATGCTAAGGGTCTACTAACCTCCTTGGAAATGCAGTCATCTTTGTGTTCTGCCAGAGCAGCCATTTCTCATAAAAGAGAGTTGCAGTGAAGAATGCAGGCAGGGAAATTATCCATAGCTCTGGGGGAGGCATAAGAAAGTCCCCAGGATCAGACTTCCCTTTGATCCAAGGGCTGCTTGATAATTCCGACTTCCCATTGGCAGAGAGCACACAGATAAGGGCCTTTACACCCTGGCAACATGCCTGGGGACTTCATTAACTTAAGGGCTTCTGCCATCTTTGCTGTAAGTAACATAGGAAAAACTCACAAAGAGAAAAAAAATGTTATTTCTGTGCATTCATATGCAAGGATTTGATTCTAATTTTTTGGACTCTTTCAGGAAACAGCCCACCGGAGAAAACCCCTGATCTAAAAGCACCAGTCCTGTCTTAATCTACAGCACCTTAAATCCAGGGACACTTTCACCTAGTTTAGATGGTTGAAAGAAGTGGGATCTAATGCTCTACTAGAACCTGAGATTAATTATTGTGAGGGGGCAGGGTGAGGTCACAGTGAACCACAAACTCTTGAGTAAGCGCATTTTGAGGGCTTTGCTCCTTGGGTTAGTCTTAATGTGTGTTTTGAAGCAAAAGAAATGAGTTGATCATAGTTAATCCATTTGTTCATCGACCTGAACTTCCCTGTCCTCATAGAGCAAGAAGGGTAAAAAGCACTGATGGTAGAACATTCTGCCTTCAGAACAGGCTTGAAAAGGTAGTTGGTATGGAGGAGGAGATGGGCCTGGGCTGCCTTCCTCCCTACTCTGGGTCTCATGGTGTTGGGTGAGGCCAGGGATGGGAAGAGCACAGTCCCAGGCATCTCTGACTTGTCCGAATGCCTCTGTGCTACATTCATTCACCTGCTTACAAGTCAGACTAACTTTACTCATGTTGGCTCTGTGAGATCCTTGGGAAGTAAGAATTTATTTTTCTCAAGACTTTTACCTGAAGAAAAGTCTTTTTTTTTCACTAAAGTGTGACCACTAAATTGAATGCTGGAGTTGAAAGTTACAAATCTGAAATCAAGATCTATATATTTGAAATGTCTTTTTTTTTTGAGACAGAGTCCTTGCTCTGTCACCCAGGCTGGAGTGCAATGGCACGATCTCGGCTCACTGCAACCTCTGCCCCCTGGGTTCAAGCAATTGTCCTGCCTCAGCCTCCCAAGTAGCTGGGATTACAGACGCCTGCCACCACGCCCAGCTAATTTTTTATATTTTTGGTGGAGATGGGGTTTCACCATGTCAGCCAGGCTGATCTCGAACTCCTGACCTCAAGTGATCCACTTGCCTAGGCCTCCCAAAGTGCTGGGATTATAGGTGTAAGCCACTGTGCCGAGCTATATTTGAAATTTTTTATCCTTCAGTGAAATGTTAATACAAAGAGTTTTTATTGAGAGGCCATTTAGGATTTAAAAACCAGGATGTAATCAGCTAGACTTTTGCCAACTCACGGGCACCTACTGAGTAAAGGGCATGGTGTCCAATGGCCTGGAGAATCCACATAGCCCAGACGCTGGCTGGCTACCCCCATCCCAGGGAGACTTGCTATACTTATTTTAATTGCTGGCTCTGCAGTCAGAGATGATCAAAAAGCCCTTCCTTTCTGCAGGTTCCTGAGGCTCGTTGGGTGGTGAGATTATTACGGTGACATTTTTCTTCTGTTTATATGGATTCCCAAGGAACATGTACTATTTTACTTTTTAAATGTTAGAGCTGGTGGCATCTTACACGCTTATTTTGGTCCTAATTTTAATTCTAAAAACCTCTAGTGTTTCATGGTTAAGTATTGTAATAGGTGAGTATATGTTTGGTTTATTGGGTTATGTGGAGATGATCAAGCTCATATAAATAAAAATAAAATAGTGTGTGTATATATATGTGTGTATATATATACATATTTCATATATATATATATGATTATATATATGCACCTCAACCAGTAATTATACTGCCTTTTTCATTCAAATGTTATCTTTACCATGGCAAGTCTTGATTTTTAAAGAGCTTTTTTTCCTTTTTTTTTTTTTTTTTGAGAAGGGTCTCATCTGTCACCCAGGCTGGAGTACAATGGTTTGATCATGGCTCACTGCAGCCTTGACCTCCAGGGCTCAAGCAATCCTCTCACCATAGTCCCTCCAGTAGCTGGGATTACAGGCACATGCTATCATGCCTGGCTAATTTTTGTAGTTTTTGTAGAGACAGGGTTTTGCCATGTTGCCCAGGCTGGCCTTGAACTCCTGGTCTCAAGTGATCTGCCCACTTCAGCCTCCCAAACTGCTGGGATTATTGGTGAGCCACCATGCCTGGCCTGGAGCTTTTTTAAAAACAAGTGTTACAGAATACCTCTTTATTATTTTTTATTTAGCTAATTGGTGCAATAAGCCATACAATATATATTTAAGTAATAAAATAATAATACATCCTTGCAATCATTTCAGCATATCTCTTTATAAGTAATTAGTTTCCTTATTCACTACCGGTTTCTGCCATCCACAATTTTCGCAATCCTGAAATCGTATATTTGACATGTGGGCAATTTCTCTATTTTTACGTGCTTGAGAATGTCTGTATTTGGCATAGTCACATATCACTGACAACTGGTACAGTAGAGAACTATTTTTTTTTTCCCTTTAAATAGACATCTTACCAAGCACATCTTTGTGCTGTGAAGAGAACATTCAAATTTTCTTGGCTTTTGCTATTTTCCAGGCGTCCGACAGTTTCTCCTGTTTGTTTATAGCATTCTTCAGTTCAAAAATTCTTCCTCCAGGAACCCCTTGGCTCCTTTTGGAGTAAATTCAATGCAAGAAACTGAAGGAAATTTTAGGAAATTTCACAATGTTCTTAACATGATTCAAAAGAACATTTTATTTTTAAAACTTTATTAGAGCAATGAATGGTAAGAAGGACTATGTAGTTGCAGAAGCTTGCTGTGTATTGGATTATTATTGTTTTTTCTTATTTATGTGTCTACAAATTTTCTACTATGAACCTACATATATATTTTATTATATCAATTCCAGCTATCTGAAATATGAAGAATTTCAATTTTAATTAGGTATGTATTTTTTTAGATAAAAAATATTTTCATCTTTTTTTCACTGGTTATTATATTTCTCTATTTTTTTTTTTTTTTTTTTTTTTTTTTGAGACGGAGTCTAGCTCTGTCGCCCAGGCTGGAGTGCAGTGGCGGGATCTCGGCTCACTGCAAGCTCCGCCTCCCGGGTTCAAGCCATTCTCCTGCCTCAGCTTCCCAAGTAGCTGGGACTACAGGCGCCCGCCACTGCGCCCGGCTAATTTTTTGTATTTTTAGTAGAGACGGGGTTTCACCGTTTTAGCCGGGATGGTCTCGATCTCCTGACCTCGTGATCCGCCCGCCTCGGCCTCCCAAAGTGCATCTGTTGTTCATAAATTAGATTTCTGGGTTTTAAAAAGTTCTATTTTCATCTTCTGTTTCCACTGGGTTGGGGATGATTTTGTTTTAGTTTGTCTTCTAATTCAGTAATTCCTTTTCCCGTGGTCTCTAAGTCACATACCTGTGACTGTTGGTCAAAAGGTTGGACCCATTATCTCCTTACTGTCCTTCTTACCATTCTTTGCTCTCTCAGGAAGTTTCAAAGATACAATGTTCTCTTGAATCATGTAGAGAACAGGTGTAATTTTCTAGAATTTCTTTACATTGAATTTATTTCAAAAGGAGCCAACCTCTATGAATTTTCGTAGTGTTTCTTTTTATTTGAACCCCAGAATACTTTTTATATGAAATGAGTGATAACTTATTTCAATGCAAAGAATGAAACAACAAATAATTTTCCTGACCAAATAACCAGTGGAGTTTCCTCAAAGAAATACCTATATCAAGCAACCCGTGGATCCTCCTACAGAGGAATGGATAATCAGAATAGAGCATATACATACTAGGGAATACTATTCAGCCTTAAAAAGGGAGGAAATTCTGGCACACGCGGCAACATGGTTGAACCTTGAAGATACTATGTTCACTGAAATAAGCCAGGCACAAAAGGGCAAACACTGTATGATTCCTCCTATATGAGGTGCCTAGTGTGGTCAAATTCCTAGAGACAGGAAGTAGGATGGTGGCTGCCAAGGGCTCCGAGGATGGGGAGAATGAGGAGCTGGTGTTTAGTGGGGACAGAATTTCAGTTTGGGAAGATGAAAAGTCCTGGAGATAGACGGTGATGATGGTTGGACAACGTGAATGCACACAGTGTCACTGAGCTCTACATGCTGAAAAATGGTTATGATGGTAAATTTTGTTATGTATATTTTACCACAATTAAAAATTAAAAAAAAACAAACATGTAAATCTACTATACCAGCCATTAGAAGGGACAGTTTACTCAAATTTGTATTTGTAGGCACAGGCAAAGAAAAAAATAAGTTTAAAAAAAACAGTGAGATTCTTTTTTCAGAGCGAGACAGGGAAAAGAAAGAAAAGAAAGGAGCCGGGCATGGTGGCTCATGCCTGTAATCCCAGCACTTTGGGAAGCCAAGGCAGGAGGATCACTTGAGATCAGGAGTTTGAGACGAGCCTGGCCAACAGAGAAACCCCATCTCGACTAAAATACAAAATTCAGGTAGGAGAATCACTTGAATCTAAGAGGCAGAGGTTGCAGTGAGCCCAGATCAAGCCACTGCACTCCAGCCTGAGCAACAGAGGGAGACTCTGTCTCAAAAAGAAAAAAAAAAAAAAAAAAAAGGAAGAAGGCAGAACGACACCAACGTGCATGGGCAGCACCACAGAGCTCACTGTGATGCCTGCAGTGACTCCCAGCACCGTTAGTCTGCTTTGCCTCCATCTCTTCCTGCTCCAGGTTTGGGGCATCTTAATGACATTATAATCATCAGAAATTCCTCTCCATTTCTGGCCTAAGCACTTTCTTCATCTCTGGATTTAATTAAATCATGGGTTTCAGTATTGATTGGTTTTGTCTTTTCTGTTTATCATTCCCATAGGAATGGCTGTGGGGTTGATGGGTAGACTAAACAGGCATCTATATCACTTGATGAGCGTCTGACCCCTGCTCTGGAAAAGGAGGGATTTGGCAACCGTTTTAGCACTCATATATTAGCACATGCCAACATTCTTTCCCTTTGCATCAAGGACTAAATTGTGACACTACAAGTTTGAGCATCTAGATAAAGCCAGACCAGTCATGAGAAGAGAGAAAAGGGAATATTTAAAAAAAATTTAAAAATATTTTACAAGGCTTTTTCCTTGTAAAAAAATTTATTTAAAAAAATTATAGATGTTAAAATAGTTAACAGAGAAAACACAAAAAGCCACAATCCCACTATTTTGATAATTCCTGTGATTTTTTTAAAAAAGAAATCTATTGTTAGAAAACATAAACAAGTCTAAAAAAAGGAAAACAGTGGGGAGCGGGGAGGGATAGCATTAGGAGATATACCTAATGAAAACGACGAGTTAATGGGTGCAGCACACCAACATGGCACATGTATACATGTGTATACATATGTAACAAACCTGCACGTTGTGCACATGTACCCTAGAACTTAAAGTATAATAATAATAAAAAAAGGAAAATAACCCTTTGTTAGTAAATATAAACAGGTAAAAAAGAAAAGGCACAGAATGATAAGTGAAATCCTGCACACCCCACCCCCACATAATCCTCAAAGGTAGTCACTGTTACTCATTTCTTGTTATCCTTTCCTGGAAATAATTTTTCTAACTATTAATTAAAAACTACATCAATGGGGTAATATTAAAGGCACTGCTCTGAGCCTTGCTTTTGCACTTCATAAAACATATTGAGGCCGGGCTTGGTGGCTCACACCTGTAATCCCAGCACTTTGGGAGGCTGAGACGGGCAGATCTCCTGAGGTCAGGAGTTCAAGACCAGACTGGCCAACATGGTGAAATCCCATCTCTACTAAAAATACAAAAAAATTAGCGGGGCGTGGTGGTGGGCACCTGTAATCTCAGCTACTAGGGAGGTTGAGGCAGGAGAATCACTTGAACCAGGGAGGAGGAGGTTGCAGTGAGCCGAGACCGTGCCATTGCACTCTAGCCTGGGCAACAAGAACGAAACTCTGTCTCAAAACAAAACAAAATCCACCATCAACAAAAAATGTATTGAGAACCTTTCCCCATAATCACAATCTGCTCCCCTGCTGCTTTTGCCGTTAGAGTGTATCATCCAGTCTCCCTAACGGAGACACTGGCTTTCCTGTTGTTGCTGTTCCCACAATGCAGCAATGAATAATTTTGTCTATATATCCCAAATAGCTTTTGCAAATATGCCCAAGATAAATTTTGATAAATTTGATAAATTTTGCTAAACTGCCTTGAAAAAAATGGGCCCAATAGTGTACACATGCTTCTTTCACTCTCTTATCATCCCTGGGTACCATAAAACTTTTGAATTTTTGCTTTCTGATTGGAGCATTTAAAAAAATAGCCTTTCATTTATTTTACAGCAGGTTTAGGTCCACAGCAAAACTGAGCAGAAAGCACAGCATTCCCATATATCCCCTGTCCCCACACACGCACAGCCTCCCCAACTACCAACGTTCCACATAAGAGTGGCATATTTGTCACACTTGATGAGCCTACCCTGGCACATCATTATTACCCAAAGTGCATACTTCCCATCAGTGGTTACTGTTAGTGTTGTATATTCTGTGGGTTTTGACAAATGTATAATAACATGTAGCCACCATCATAGTATCATATTAAAGAATTTCATTGGCCAGGCGTGGTGGCTCACGCCTGTAATCCCAGCACTTTGGGAGGCCGAGGCGGGTGGATCACAAGGTCAGGAGATCGAGACCATCCTGGCTAACATGGTGAAACCCTGTCTCTACTAAAAATACAAAAAATTAGCCAGACGTGGTGGCGGGCACCTGTAGTCCCAGCTACTCGGGAGGCTGAGGCAGTAGAATCGCGAGAACCCAGGAAGTGGAGCTTGCAGTGGGCCGAGATTGCGCCACTGCACTCCAGCCTGGGTGACAGAGCAAGACTCCATTTCAAAAAAAAAAAAAAAAAGAATATCATTGCCCTAAAAATCCTCTGTGATCCTCCTATTCATCCTTCCCCGCTAAATCTTCACAACCACTGATCTTTTTTACTGTCTCCATATGTTTGGAAGGTCATATAGATGAATTGTGAAATTATGTAGGCTTTCAGATTGGCTTCTTTCACTTAGTAGTATGCATCTAAGATTTCCTCATGTCTTTTTATAGCTTGGCAGCTCATTTTTTTTTAGTACTGAATAATATTCCATTGTTTGGATGTAGCACAATTTATCTGCTTGCCTGCTAAAGGACATCTTGCATCCAAGATGCCTCCAAGTTTTGACAATTATGGATAGAGCTGCTGTAAACATGTGAAGATGTTTGTATGGACATAAGTTTTCAACTCCGTTGGGTGAATACCAAGGAGTGAGATTGCTGAATCATATGGTAAGGGTATGTTTAGTTTTGTAAGTAACAACCAAATTGTCTTCCAAAGTAGCTGTACCATTTTGCATTTCCACCAGCAATGAATGAGAGTTCCTGTTGCTCCATATCCTTGACAGAATTTTTTGTTGTTAGTGTTTGGATTTTGGCTATTTTAATAGGTATCTTTGGTACCTCATTGTTTTAATTTGCAGTTCTCTAATGACATATATTGTTGGGCATCTTTTCATATGCTAATTTTCCATTTGTGTATTTTTGGTGAGATATCTATCCAGGTGTTTTGCCCATTTTTAAAAGTTGGCTTGATTGCTTTCTCATTGTTGACTTTCGTGAGTTCTTGGTACATTGTGAATACTAGCCCTTGATCAAATATGTATTTTGCAGATATATTCTTCCAGTCTGTAATTTGTCTTCTCATTCTCTTGATGGAACATCTTTTGTGTGTTTATTGGCCGTTGCATTTTTCCCCCCTAAAAACTGACTTTAGGTTCTGGCCCATTTGTCAGATGGTTTGTCTTTTCTTTAATGATGTAAATTAGTTGATTTTGCTCTTAAAAGCTTAAGCTGTATCAGATTTATCTATCCCTCCATCATTTGAAAGACTTCACCTGTGAACTCATCCATTTCGTTTTGTTTTAGGGAAAGTGAACATTTCGTTTTGTCTATTCTGTGCTAAGCTCCTTGCCTCTAATCCCTGAGAAGTCAACATTTGGACCCTGCTGCAGAGAAAGAAGAGAAAAGCCTTTGTTTAAGAAGTCCTCATTTAATTTTCACGTCCTCTTTTTTCTAGGTCACTGGATATATTCATGTCAAGATTCATCATATGAATATATTTATCTTGATGTGTTCATTCACAATTTCTAGGTCAGGTAGTAAATGCCTAGGTAGTAAATAAATAATTCCAGCTTTCATAGTGCTGCCAAAGATTAAGGTGTTCTCTCCCAAAAAGGCAAAGGTAGACTTTTAACAGTACCAAGACTGTCAAATTGTCTCTTTATTTTTTTATTTTTTTTGAGACGGAGTTTCGCTCACTCTTGTAGCCCAGGCTGGAGTGCAATGGCGTGATCTTGGCTCACCGTAACCTCCGCCTCCCGAGTTCAAGCGATTCTCTTGCCTCAGCCTCCCGAGTAGCTGGGATTACAGGCATGTGCCACCACACCCGGCAAATTTTGTATTTTTAGTAGAGATGGAGTTTCTCCTTGTTGGTCAGGCTGGTCTCGAACTCTTGACCTCAGGTGATCTGCCTGCCTCGGCCTCCCAAAGTGCTAGGATTACAAGCATGAGCCACTGCGCCCGGCCCTAAATTGTCTCTTTATGTCAGCAAAGAGTGACATTTATATTTCCTGTGACAGAAGTCCATTATCTTTCTGGAGCCATGAACCCTGTTTATCTGATGAGTGCCTTGGATCCATTCCTAGCAACATGTGCAAATGTGCCCATGAAACACCAGGGCTTCATAGATGTCCTGACCCCAATTTCAGAATGTGGCTCTTACAAACATAGAAAGGATTTCCACTTTCCATTAGGATTTCCATTTCCACTTTCCATAAATTTTTTCTAATGTCATTTCTACAGAAAATGCAACTTGAAGAGAAGGTTTAGAACCAACTATTGGGGATCACAGAATGCTATTTGGCGTTTTGCTTCTTAGAGTCCAGACAGGAAGGATGTAAACCACCCACCCCTACACTATGGCAGCTGAACCATAGCTGGTGGGAAAGGTGTTTCAGAAAACAGCATCTCCAGACTTGAGACCCCAGAATGCCTCGTTAGTGTGAGCTCTGGACCTCTTCCCCTCAAACTGAACAGATTCCTTAATGTTGGGCTAGGATAGAATCTAAACTTCCAAAATGCCTCTTTGAGAGGTTAGAGATTGTGAGTAGGGCCTGGGTAAATTATCTAGAGAGAGGATGCCGAATCCCTTCCCTTTCTTTCTGTTCTAGAAGGGCAAGTCCACCTGATGCCTTGCCCAAAAAGCAAATGTACAAATGTCCCCACTGCTGATCAAACCTGAAATTAGTCTGATCAAAACCTGAAGGGACTTTTGCAGGAGACACATTTATGAATAAGCTGCCACTATATTCTGGGTTAAATTTGCTTACAAGAAATAAAAGGCTTGATCAGAAATCATGGCTGTGGTGTGTGCACATTTCAGCTTACTCCTTCTGGAAAACCCTGCATCATGTTCTGGGCCTGCCCATAATTGGTCCTTACAAAGTACCCTATATTGTCCACCTCCAGAGGCATGGAATAGTGCTCTGTCATTGCCTGTTTTCTTGTCTGTCTCCCCGCTACACACTTGCCCGTATCTTAGGCAGGTGGCTTGATGAGCATGGGGATTTGTCTTGTTTGGTTTTACATGCCTAATGGTTAGCCCCAAGGAGCTTACTGACAAATATTTACTGAGTACATAAATGACACTGAAGGCACAGACTACATAAAGATGCCCAGAATAACTGTTCTGAGCAGACCTCCATGGTTGAGGGGCAGAGTGTTGCATGGACTGGAGAGGTGGAAGCAGAAGGGCTGAGGAAGTGGAAGCAGGTTCTGGGAAAAGAAGATTAGAGGCAAGAGGCTTTGAGCATCAGAAAACAATTTGCCAGATTAGCAGCGAGAAAAAATGTGATGTGGATTCTCAGCTAGAATAAATTATACATTATGTTGATATCTAACCATCAACTTATATCACCCTTGGAAACTCCTTTTCTATTCCACCCTTGACTTTTGAGAATGGAGACAAAGTTTAAAAGTTAACAATAGTCAGAAGATCTTGTAAAATAACCCCTTAAAAAGGTCATTCTAAAACTCTCTAGTAAATGTCTGGGCAGCATTGATCCTTTGCATGTAAATAAATCATGTATGTAATTCTAGCTCAAGCACTCAAGATTACTTTTATTGTGTTTTATCTGTATCATTTAATCTATAGCTCCTACAAATCAAAATGCTTTCTTAAATTCTCCTCTAAGAAAAGGCTAGCAGACATTTATGAAGGGAATAAATAAAAATAGAATATTGTACTGTATAACTTCTTCAGACGTCTTGCTTCCCTAGCATAACTAGAATTACTTCAGTTAAAAACAGATTTTCAGAATATTAGGGACTAAGTCTCAAAATTTTGTCTCATCATAGTATTGTTAATGAGGTTTCCTTTTAGTGCTGGTTAGCTAAGTATTGGTGATATGCTGCAAAAATAAATTCTGGATGTAATAGTAAGGCAACAGGAAAACAATTCACAAAGGCTATTATAAAATCCAAGTCAAAAAATAAATGCCATGTCACTTTCCCAAAATACAATGGGGCCAAGTTTCCAAAATCAGAACTGGAAATGAGGCAAGTTTAAGAACATGGCTATAGTGCCATGAACCTGGTGATATCATGAAAGCCAGAATTCCAACTAAATCCTTAGAAAGCCCCATTTTCTTACGAGTTGAGGAAAATGACTCTGAAATTTCCCCAAGTCCCTCTTTGTGCAGAGACAGTTCTTTACATAACATAATGAATAGAAAACTACAATTAAGAGAAAATAGCATCTTGGGCAGTCCTGTGGTTCTGAGGTCTGTGTAAGGCTGCCTGCTCTCCCGGGATCTCAGGGGGTGGGTCCATCTCACTGGGGCAATGCAGTCCATCCCAATTAAACAGAGAACAAACTCTCCTTCTCCATTAGTTTTTGGATACTCCTTTTTGACACATTTCAAGGGTAAAATTGAGACTTCATCTGGACACACTGGATGAAGGGGATCCTTTGGCAACTTTGGGGACCTTCACCCCAATATTGAAGATACATGGTGATTGATGTTTATTGGAACCTGGTCTTGCCATTTAATCTCTGCCAAGCACAAGGGCTCAAGACCATTTATTATAAAGTTGAGGTGTCTTCCAAATTAATTGGCTTATGTCTAACAATTCTAGGTAGCTGGTCCCATCAGTCGGCAACCTGTGGATTCCTTTTGCTACTAATGCTACTAACTTGGTTGAAGTATTTTCCAGGACATTTTATAACCTATAGCAGCTGGTCCATAGTTGCTTTATTATGACTTGAAATTTTTTTTGAAATATCTACTTTTAAAATCCCCAAGAAAAATGCTACTATAGCCAAAGGTAATGACCTAGAATTTGGGGAAGGGAGGGTATTTATCAATTATTTGTCCACTGCAGGAGACTCAGACTGATGTGGAGGAGGAAAATCTTGGCCCTATTTTAGAGTGCTAATTTAGCCTATATTGGTGTGGAAATGTCCTATTGAGTTGCCTTTTTTTTTAAGAGAATAGTGTCAACTCTTACCTCTGCTCAGGGGGTCTGACAAGTATATGAATCTGTAAACATGAACTAGTGAAAAGATAGTTTAAATTTGTTCTTTGTTCTTTTTTTTTTTTGTGAGACAGTCTTGCTCTGTCGACCAGGCTGGAGTGCAGTGGTGTGATCTCGGCTCACTGCAACCTCTACCTCCCAGGTTCAAGTGATTCTTGTGCCTCAGCCTCCCAAGTAGCTAGGATTGCAGACATGCACCACCATGCTGGCTAATATTATTTTATTTTTTATTTTTTTATAGAGATGGGGTTTTGCCATGTTGGCCAGACTTGTCTTGAACTCCTGGCCACATGTGATACACTCACCTTGGCCTCCCAAAGTGCTAGGATTACAGGCGTGAGCCACTGCACCCAGCCGTTCTTTGTTCTTTGGCAAATAACTTTACTTTGAATGTTATGCTGTTCAGTTATTATCAAAAGCTTGGTTGCAGAGGCACTAGATTAACATGAAGGAAGAAGAAGAGGACCTTCCTATGTTTACTTCCAACTTCTCATTGAAAGAGCCAGAAGATACAGAATATGAAGTAAATAAATAAACAATAGCAATCTGAGGTAAGAATAAGAATAATCCAGTGTAACATAATCCTGATGGGTTTTCCACACATTTTAATGCTGATAAAGACAACATAAGAAATACATCTTTGACTACACATGACCCAGCCTCTAAATCTAGAGAAGTCTCTACTCCAGAGTAGATGGCCCCACACGGGTGGGAATGTCATGTCCTCAGCCTGCCCTGCATGCTGGTGGCCTTTCCCGATTGCTTGGACTCTACCAGAGTCATTCCCCAGCTACCTATTTTCTATCTGGAGGCCGCAGTCCCAGGCCTCAGAGTGGGTGGGGAGGAGGCCCACTGCACTGCCAGGTGAACGCTCTGTAGGGAGGGTCTCATAAACCAGGTGTGGGAGCAGTATGCTCGGGACTTGAAAGACTCTCACTTACCTGGCTCACACCAACAGCTTCAGACTGCATCAGAGTCTCCGGCACTGCAGGAGAACCGGCAGGCAAAGGGAGGGCCCCCACTCCCTCCAGCAGCCCCTACAGATGATGCCGGCTGGGTGCCTGAGAGTGGGAAGAGGAGGATGTGAAAACTCACTGTCAGGTCTAGACCCAGCAGGGCAGCCTGGTTATTTTCAGTGGACTGTGTGTTGGGCTAAGGACAGTTTACCCACCCTGTCTTTGGCAAACTGTCGTGATGGGCTGATTTCTGTTTTTTGATGTATAATCAGAGAAAGAAAAATATATCATGGGGCTTATTTAAGAAGACTGTAATGGTAATGCACAAGGGGGAGTTAGCAAGGGCCAGAATATGGAGAGGAAGAGCTTGCTTTGACAGTGATTTTCTACAGAAAATAAAAGAAAGACATAAAACGTGATAGGTGCTACTAATAAGACACAAAAAGTATGAAAAACAGGAAGATATATAGGGACAATAAGTCCTATATTCTTTAAACCTAAGACAACTAGGTCTCCTTCCCTGCCAGGCCTGAGCCATTTCTCACCCCGTGCCTTTGTACAGGCCATCCCTTCTGCTGGCCTTGCCTGTCTGTCTTCAAGGCATGGCCAAGGCCCACTCATGGCGCCTGCCTCAGGCCACGCCCCCTCCTCCGCAGCCAGCACAGCTGCTGCAGGTGCCTGGTCACGGCTTTCTCTATACATCAGCACAGCAGGCTTCACGCTCCAGTACTGGAGACTTTATATAGTATTATAATTTATAATGGAGTAACCGTGAGTTCTCAGTGACAGGGCTTATATTTCATTTATCTCTATAAGCACATCCATCATAGTTTCTGATATACAATAAATGAGAGCCCCAGAAAGACAAGAGTAGAAGACAACCTCTTTTTAAACAAGGACCTCAACAGTTGCCCATGGGACAAAGACAAAGATGAGAGGGAACAAGACAATGAGAAAAAGAATTGATGCATCGTGAGACCATACAATGCTCAGAAAATTAAAGCGCTGATTACACCAAAGGAGCATGTGACAGCTTGTTCCTCCTTTTCAAAGAATGGTAGGTTTAGCGTATTGTCACAGACCAACTCAGTGACTTTGGGGACATGATATAATGGCAATACACAGCAACTCTTCATAAGAGATGAATGCAGCAGCAGCAATCCTCAACCTAGAAGTTGACACTCCAAGTTTATCAACAAATTGATAGAGGGAAACCTCACAGCATTTCCCCTTAGAAACTGTGTGCTCAAGTCCCCAGACGAGACTGCAAAGGCTTATTTAACCCGGAAAGTTGCTAGATTATACCCAAACTGAGCTGGGTTGCAAAAAGTATAAGCGAAATGTGGTTCTGCTCCATCACCATATAGCCAAATGATCACTTAACCAGAAGGGTAGTTCCTGCCTCTCTCCACAGATGTGCTGGGCATCAACTAGAATAATGCGTGATAAACAGCTTTGAAAAGTGTGCCACGCCATCAAACAAAGGGGGCTCCTCCCAGTGGCTCCTATGAAACCTAATTGCCCGTGAAAATACAGTCCTGTGGGATTGTGTGTACTGCCTTCTGCCCTGGGACTCCAGGGACTCATTTTCACCATGACAATAGGAGCCCAGGATTTCTCTCTTTGTCCCTGGTGGCAGAGGGGCTATGCGATCGAGCTCTCACATGCTTGGGGACTAGAAGTTGTCTGCAGGATGTACATTCAAGTGTCAACCCAAGTGTCTACTGATTTGTGTGACAAAATCATTAAGGAGATAAAAATCAGGGTGACAGCAATATGTCAAAATATTTCAAGATGCCAGAGTTTGAAGTATGAGCAGCAGCAGCTCATGTGGAATGACAAAGATGAGGTCAGGGCAGTAGCAATCAGGCACCTGCTGAACCTTATGTCAACAGTGTGATGGAAGCATCTCATTTCCTCTTCTGAGGTACAAGCCTTTGTTTCTGGTGATGGCAGCCCTTGGGGAGCATATGCTTGTTGAAAATTTATCCTGCCCTAAGGGGCTGTACATCATACTTTAGAGGCCATTTTCTGGGCAGTTGGCCTCTTGCTTAATTTTAAGCCTACATTGCACAACACTGTGATGATGTGTCACATTTTGCACTGGTCTGAGCAGCAGGTGAACATCTGGAGTCTCCAGCAGGCTGAGTTCAGAGACGACAAATGCTCTAGGGAGCTTTATTTAAATAAGAAAAAGTGCTTCAGGTAAGAATTTGAATTCCAGGGCTGGCCAACACACCCACAGTATCATTCCAGAGCAGAAGAAGGTGAGGAACTCCTCTCCCCTACGAGCCTTGAGCCAACAGGCCAGTCCCATCAGTGGGCACAGCCCATTCCTGCTAAGGGATCCTTGTGTCTGCCTCATTCAGTGAACTGCTGTGTGTTGGCAAGAGGCCAGGCCTGCAGTGGAAGGGTTTTCCCTAATTGGCTTCACTCCACTTCCTGCCTCCTTCCTTCTCTGCCTGTTGTGTGCTCAGTGCCTTCCTGCTCTGTCTCCCTAGCTTCTGGTTCACTTTTTCTTTTCTGCCTCGATTTAGCTGTCTCTAAGCTACCTTGATTTAGTTGTCACTCCACCCTCAATGATTGGCTAACAGGTGTCAGGACATGTCTGGTTTTAAGGGGTACCCTCTTTTGAGGGATGCCCAAACAAACGGGCCTGGAAGAGAGGTTCTGGCACTCTGAGGACACTTCCCTAGATTCTCACACTTAAATTGCTGTCCGAGTCAGACAGGAATCACGTTCCAATCTGCATGGCCAGTGAGGGAAAAACAGCGAAGCCGTCAAAAGCACATGTGCCTCTCCCTCTCTTCCCACTGCGCTTCCCGCTATGAGTTCCGGGATGGGAAACCCAGTTCAGTGTCCAGTCCTGCCGAGGATGGAGGCAGCCAGGCTTTGGGCCTCGGGCCTGCTTACCTTACTGCTTACTACCAAGGCCTCAATTAGCTCATCTTCAGGATGCTGCAGAACTGATTTGCAAAGCAGCAAAATGGAATATTTTTTGGAGTCAAAGTCCTTTCTGAATCATTCATATTTCATGTCAAATACTTTCTCTCTCTCTCTTTTTTTTTTTTTTTTTTTTTGAGACGGAGTTTCACTCTTGTTGCCCAGGCTGGAGTGCAGTGGTGCGATCTCTGCTCACTGCACCTGGGTTCAAGTGATTCTTCTGCCTTAGCTTCCCAAGTAGCTGGGATTGCAGGCGCTTGCCACCATGCCTGGCTAATTTTGTATTTTTAGTAGAGACAGCGTTTCACCATGTTGGCCAGGCTGGTCTTAAACTCCTGACCTCAAGTGATCCGCCTGCCTGGGGACTCCCAAAGTGTTGGGATTACAGGCGTGAGCCACTGCGCCTGGCCTGTTTTTTTTTTAATGTAAAAAAAAAAAAAAAAAAAAAAAAAAGAGAGAGTCTTTTTTATTTCCACTAGCATGACAAAGTCCTCCACTGGTTTCTGTCCAGCCTCCCCAGTTGGTCATTTAAAATTTATGTGAAAAGGAAAAGGAATGCCATTTCTCAGTGCATTTCAGCCTAATCAGATGCATTAAGAACTAAGTGAGAAGCACTACAAAGATTAAAACTGGATTGTAACTTAGGAAGATGGCATCTATTACCACAGGCCTGAGCAAAGCCACACAGCAGGGAACAAAAGAAGTGACTTAAATCCTGGATCTGCAACGAGTTCTGTGACCTGAGATAGATTATTTAGGCTCCTTGGCCACTGTCCTCATTTATACACAGAGAAGGGTGAGAGATTCTGGTCTTTCCAGGCCTATCATGTTATAATTCTATGACTAAAATCAACCTGAGGCAATAAATCCTACTCCATTAATTTATTTACAAGACTAAAAGAAATAAAAACATAAGAAAATATAAATATTTAAAACCAAACAATTAAAAAATGTGATCCAAAGAAAAGGCTTCTTCACTGTGATTGCACATGTCTCTATTAGAAACATTTGGCCATCTAAGGAAAATAAAGAAGCTTGGCTCCTCCCTAACACACAAGTGTAGCATGAGCTTTAATAAGGTCGACTATGGATCTCATTCCTCTTGACCATTTTGAGGTGTCTTTCCATTTATTCATAATCAATCTATCAGTATATCTCCATATGTGTGTATGTACACGTACACACACACACACACACACACACACACACACGCACGCACAAGAACAAAATAGGAAAGTGAAGAAAGACCAGAGTTAGGTCTAACCAAAGACGGAGAAATGAGACTTACAGGAGCTGCCGAGTTTTTGACCGTGACACTGGGGGTGGTTGCTCGCAGGGCCCCACTCACTCCATGGTAGTATTTGAAGCAGATCTTAGTTTCAGCTGAAAGACAAACAAAAAATGAGACTGAGAAGTAGGGTGTAACCCAGGGAGAGACAGCTATGGCCACAGAGGACATCTCTAAGAACTGCAACATAATTCCCCCACGAGCAAGCCAGGCCACACTCGACAATGATGCTCCTCATGTGGCCTCAAGGACAGGTCTGACTTCTTAAAACTGTGACATGAAAAATTGTTCTGGCCTTAACATTTTTGTATCCAAGTTAAGTCCATTATTTAGACTTCTCAGCATCCATCCTACCCCATTAGAGGTCATTGATTTAAAACACTTAGTTCTAAGATGTGAGGTGGGTGGATGCCTATCACCTGTCTGTTTCTTCTGTAATGTCCTATTATTTAATTCATTGTGATTAATATCTTGGTAATTTGCAGAAAGACTTTGAGAAGTTATTGAAGTACATAGGAGAGAGGCATATTTTCTAAACTCCTGTACCCATCAATGATAACCTCTTTGCATCACAATTTGTTTCCTTCAAAGTTCTATAGATGTAGCTGGCAGTGGTAGCACGCATCTGTAGTTCCCAGCTACTTGGGAGGCTGAGGCAGGAGGATCACTTGAGCTCAGGACTTTAATGCTGCAGAGAGTTATAATCACATCAGTGCACTCCAGCCTGGGTAATAGGGTGAGACTCCATTTAAAAAAAAAAAAAAAGAAAGTTCTATAAATGGTTAAGCAGAATGTAAAGAGTTTAGGGGGATCACACTGGGTTTGAATTTCAGCTCCATTATTTACAATCTGTGAGACAATGAATAAGTCCCTGTACCCCCTGTTAAAATAGGACTTCATAAGACGTTGGTTAAGCAAATAAAAGTGCTTCGATTCAATTAAGTGCTCAGTAAATGTTAGTGATTGTGATGATGTGATGACTAAATGACAACATCAGTCCTTTTCCTTCTGGCATTTAGTTCCCTAGAGGACAAGATCTGTAGCCAACATGAGTTTAGTTCATTTGAAGGTGATTTGCTTTCCCCAATTCACTGTTTATAGGATTTGTTTTCTTAAAATTTAAAAAAATTACCAGGCTATGTCTTGGTCCCTTATATTTTGTTTGAAACAATATGAGAAATCTCCAATTTGAGATATTTTTTCTCAAATATGGAAATTTGCCTTCAATTATCATTTTAAAAATAATGTCTACAATTTTATTAGCATGCATTTGAAATGTGCTCAGAATGGAAAATACGAAAAATGAAGATAAGTATAAATGAAATAACAATCTTCTGAGATTTTTGCATAATTGAGACTATAAACTATAGAATAATACATTTTGCTTTTTTAAAAAATTGACATTATGAAATAAGCATGGCCAACTATCATTTAAAACTCCTCAAACAACATTACTTATTATACAGAACAACTGAATAGATTTACACATTGCAAATATTTCCTATATTTGGAAATTCAGGCTTTTCTCTGAAAATCAATTACTTTTTACAAATTATTTTTTAAGTTCAAATTTTCTCCCTAGGACAATGGAGCAAAAATCGCTAGATACCTACCCGGCATCCATTCTACCTTTCCTCCTTAATAACAGAATCTCAGTTTTATTTTGATTGATAATGTCCAGCTAAAGTACTACATTTTGCAGCCTCCCTGGCAGAATAACACCTATGCAGTTTACCATTGTTATTTTAGGATCTCTGTTATATGTAGCTAAACATAAACCTAACTGATATGTAAAGGTTTCCTCAATGCTGTAGATACGAATATTACAGTAGTCTTCTTTAGGTTAAAAGATATGGGCCGGGCACGGTGGCTCACGCCTGTAATCCCAACACTTTGGGAGGCCGAGGTGGGTGGATCATTTGTGGTCAGGAGTTTGAGATCAGCCTGGCCAACATGGTGAAACCTCATCTCTACTAAAAATACAAAAATTAGCTGGGCGTGGTGGTGCACTCCTGCAATCCCAGCTACTTCGGAAGGCTGAAGCAGGAGAATTGCTGGAACCCGGGAGGTGGAGGTGGCAGTGAGCCAAGATCACGCCATTGCACTCCAGCCTGGGCAACAGAGCAAGACTCAGTCTCAAAAAAAAAAAAAAAAAAAAAAAAGAATATATTTTAAGGATCCTCCCTTCCTGGGGCCAAATTGCTTTCCAAATAACACTTTACACTTCTATCAGGAAATGTGACTCTGACCATCTCATAGAACGCTTGTTAGCACTGAGCATCATCACTTAAAAATAGGCTTAAAATAGAATCCGATTATTATTTTTGTTTCATTTATTTGATTATTAGTAGGGTTAAACTTTTTCATTAAATTTTAATCAGCTATTTAAATTTTTTTGAAGCCATTTAATTGCAGTTGCTCAGGTTTTCCATTACCTGGGTGATGCCTGGATGCTAACCAGTCCCTCTGTTAGTGGATGTGTTCTTACTTCAGATATGCCTGTACTTTGAGTTTCCTTCCTGAGTCACTTTCTCGATAGTTCTTTCACATGTCTGTTGATTGTCTTTTCAAGCTCTTGGTGGACAATCTTATAACCCAGTTCTGTACTTATTCTCCAAGACACCTCAAAGTTGTCCCCATGTTAGGTCTACACACTCAGATCCAATACTGTGTTGGCCTGAGAGGCAAGTTTCCCATAAGTCAGGGATCAGGGAAGGACTCTGAATAAAGCAGTAAGCCATCTATCTAGTTAATCACAATGAGTTAGTGTTGCCTAGTGCATGAGTTACTCTGCCTGTAGGTGCCGGTGGGATCAGCATGGAGGGGCCAAATGGCCTCACCTTCATCTCAGTTGGGTGGAAAGGAATTTTAGGTACCAGGAATCCCAAACGGGCACTACTAGATTTCCATTTAAAGAAAAAATTATTTCAATGCCTTTGAGCAAAAAGGTCAGGGAAATTACATACAATCTTGCATTGAACTCTATTGCTAGATGAAAAGATCAGTGCATATTTTGAGCCAAGAATTCATGGAACACTTCAAACTCTGTACTCTTCTTTGTTTCTTCCATTTATAGTTTTTTATTGATACATAATAGATGTACATATTTTCAGGATACATGTGATGATTGAATACATTCATATAATTTGTAAAGATCAAATGAATGTAATTGGGATATACATCATCTTAATTATTTGTCTTTTTTTGTGCTAGAGACATTTGAATTATTGTAGCCATTTGGAAACATATTATAAATACATATAAATATATAAAAACATATTATAAATTACAAATTATAAATTATTATAAATTACAGTCACTCTATTGATGTATCAAACACTAGATTTTATTTCTTCTATCAAACTGTATATTTGTACCCATTAATCAATCTCTATTCATCTTCTTCTTCCTTCTACCTTTCTTGGTCTCTGGTAACCACCAATCTACTCTCAATCTCCATGAGATCCACTTTGTTAGCTCCCACATACGAATGAAAACATGCAATATTTATCTTTCTGTGCTTGGCTTATTTCACTTAACATAATGACCTCCAGTTCCATCCATGTTACTGCAAATGACAGAATTCCATTCTTTTTTGTGACTGAATACTATTACATACCACATTTTCTTTATCCACTCATCTATTAATGGGTACTTAGATTGATTCCATATTTTGACTGTTGTGATCAGTACTGCAATCAACATGGGAGTGCAGGTATCTCTTCGATATATTGATTTCCTTTCTTTTGCTATATACCCTGTAATGGAATTGCTGGGTCATATGGTAGTTCTATTTTTAATTTTTTGAGGAATCTGTTAGTTTTTCATAGTGGCTGTACTAATTTACATTCCCACCAGCAGTGTATGAGGGCTCCCCTTTTTCTGTGTTCTCACCAGCATTTGTTGCTCCCTGTCCTGTTTTAATTGGGGTGAATGATAACTCATTGTGGTTTTGATTTGCATTTCCCTGATGATTACTGATGTTGAGCATTTTTTTCATGCATCTGTTGGCCATTTGTCTGTCTTCTTTTAAGAAATGTCTATTCACATCTTTTAAAAGATGCTACTTAAAAATCAGATTGTTTTTTGCTCTTGAGTTGTTTACTATACCGCATACATTTTGGTATGCTGTATTTCTATTTGATTTGTTTCAAAAAATTTTAAAACTTTTTTCTTAATTTCTCCATTAGTTGTTCAGGAGCATGTAGTTTAATTTCCATGTGTTTGTGTAGTTTCTGAGATTTCTCTTGTTAATGATTTTGTTTTATTCCTTTTGTGGTCAGAGAAGATACTTGATAAGATTTCTACTTTTTTGAATTTGTTGACATTTATTTTGTGGCTTAATACATGGTCTATTCTGAAGAATGTTCCATGTGTTGATAGAAAAAATGTGTATTCTGCAGCAGTTGAGTGAAATGTTCTATAGATGTCAGTTAGGCCATGTGGTCAGTGTGTAGTTTATTTACATTTCCTTGCTGGAATGATATGGCCATTATGGAGAGTGGGGTATTGAAGTCCCCTATTATGATCATATTGTAGTGTATCTCTCATTTTAGATCTATTAATGTTTGCTTTACATATTTGGGAGCTCTGGTGTTGGGTGCATAGATATGCATAGATTTTCATAGCCGCTTGCTGAATTGACCCCTTTATCATTGTATAGTGACCTTCTTTATCTCTTTTTACAGTCTTTGATTTGTAGTCTATTTTATCTGATGTAAGCATAGGTACTCTTGCCCTTTATGGTTTCTAGTTGCATGGAATATCTTTTTCCACCTCAATACTTTCAGTCTATATGTGTCTTTATAGCTGAAGTGGGTTTCTTATAGGCAGCATATAGTTGGGTCTTGTTTCTTTATTAACTCAGCCACTCTATCCCTTTTAATTAGAGAATTGAGCATATTTATATTTGTTATTATTATTGATAAGTAAGGACTGATTACTGCCATTTTGTTGCTTGTTTTCTGTTTTTTATTTCATTTTATTTATTTTTTTAACGGAGTCTTGCTCTGTTGCCAGGCTAGAATGCAGTGGCGCAATCTTGGCTCACTGCAACCTCCGCCTCCTGTGTTCAAGTGATTCTCCTGCCTCAGCCTCCTGAGTAGCTGGGACTACAGGTGTGCGCCACCACACCCAGCTAATTTTTGTATTTTTAGTAGAGACAGGGTTTCACCATGTTGGCCAGGATGGTCTCGATCTCTTGACCTCATGATCTGCCTGCCTCAGCCTCCCAAAGTGCTGGGTTTCAGGCATGAGCTACTGTGCCTGGCCTCTGGTTGGTTTTTAACTGCTCTCTTCCTTTTTTCCATATTTCCTATCTTCCTTTGTGGTTAAGTTATTTTCTCTGGTAGTATGTTTTTTTGCTTTTTATTTTTAGTGAATCTATTATAGGTTTTGCATTTTGGTTGCCATGAGGCTTACAAAAAAATCTTATAGATGTAACAAGTTATTTTAAGGAGATGACAACTTATCTTAGATCACAAAGAATAGAAACAAAGAACAAATTTAAAAAAAAGCCTCTATAATTTAACTCCATCCTCCCAACATTTGGATTTTACATTGTCTCAATTTACATATTTTTATATTACTTATCTCTTAACAGGTTGCTAAAGGTATTACTGTTTTTGATCAATTTATCTTTTGGGCTTCCTACTAGAGATATGAATAGATTGCACACCACAATTACAGTATTAGAGTATCCTGGGTTTGTCTGCGTACTTAATTTTACTAGTGGATTTTATATCTTCAAACGTTTCCTTTTTACTCACTAGTGTTTTTTGTTTTTGTTTTTCAGATTAAATAACTCTCTTAAGCATTTCTTGTATGATGGGTCTGGTGGTAGTGAATTCTTTTAGCCTTTGTTTCTCTGGGAAATAATTTATCTCTTTTCTGTATTTGAAGGATAACTTTGCTGGATACGGAATTCCTGGGAGGCAGTTTTTTTTTTTTTCCTTTCAGCACTTGGAACATGTCATCTCACTCCCTCTTGGTCTCTATGGTTTCCATTAAGAAGTCTGCTGCCTGATGAACTGGAGTTCCTTTATATGTTCTTTGCTTTTATTCTCTTGCTGCTTTTAAGATGCCATCTTTGTCCTTGACCTTTGAAAGTTTGATTATTATATGCTGTGGGATAGCCTTATTTGAGTTGAATCTGTTTGGTGTTCTCTGATCTTTCTGTATCTGGATGGATATATACCTCTTTCTCAAGTTTTGGGAAGTGTTCTGTTATTATTTCTTTGAATAAATTTTCTCCTTGCTGTTGCTCAATTCCTTTTGAACACCAATAATTCTTAGATTTGGTCTTCTGAGGTAATTTTCTATGTCTTGTAGGTGATCTTTGTTCCTTTTTATTGTTTTTTCTTTTTTCTCCTCTGCGTATTTTCAAATAGCCTCTCTTTGAGCTCACTGATTCTTTTCTCTGTTTGATTCAGTCTGCTGTTGAGAACGTGTAATAAATTTTTCACTTCAGCAAATATATTTCTCAGTTCCAAGATTTGTTTTATTTTTAAAATTATTTCAATCTCTTTGTTAAATTTCCTTGATAAATTTCTGAATTGCTTTTTCTGTCTTATCTTGGAGATCGCTGAGTTTGTTTAAAACTGCTATTTTTCAGTTGTTAGAGAGTACACGTATTGCTGTCTCATTGGGGTCAATCACTAGTTCCTTTCTTTGCCCACTTGAGGAGGTCATGGTTTTCTGTTTGCTGTTTTTCTTGTAGATATACAGCTATGTCTTTGCATTGAAGGATTAGTTATTTATTTCAGTCTTCTCTGTCTGGCCTTTTTTTTTTTTTATTATTGGATATGTTTGTGTAGAGATTCTTTGTAATTTACCTGTTGATATCTTTCTTTTTTTTCCCCTACTATAAATAATTGCCTCCTTTTTGACACTAGATGGCACATTAAACCCAGGTTTGCCTCACTTCTAGTAAACAATCAGATTGCTGCCCATCCTGAATGGAGGAGGTCCCAAAAGGTTTATCCCAGGACTATGGAAAAACTGGCTAAGGGCTCATGCCAAGGGGATCTATGGAACAAGCTTTCCACGGCATGGTGCTGCTGAACACTCACTCTGATTTAGTGTCTCCTTTGGCTGAGCTATATCTCAGAGTTTCCAGGGGTGGTGGTCTTTCTTCCTTGCTTTGTCTATGGTTGCTCTCAGGGATAGTTCTCTCTTCAGGCACTCCCAATGCTTCTCGTGGGTTGAGGCAGGGACAAGTCTCCTCCCAGGGAACCCAAAATGATGTGGAAGCTGGTTGTCTACCTCCATTTCACTTTTTCCAGTGTATAAATCATGAGTTGGGGAAAAATTTTCCATGCACTTGGTGCCAGGTAGATTGAGGGGAGGGAGGGGCATTGTGGATATGGAAGTCTGATTCTCTTACCATCTGCTCAGAGTTTTTTTCACTGCTTTGTGGCCCTGAGAGCTGTCTTACCCTCATATTTGAGTTCTGGGATATTGCTGGTGATCATCTTGGTGCCATACAATTGTTTTAAATTTTCTGTGGGGGGAAGTGAAGCCATCTTGCCTCTATACTACCCTTTTGGAAATGGACGTCATGGTACTCTTCTGAGAAGTTGTTGGCAAAGGTTGTTTTCCTTTTTCTTAAACGAGTATTTTAATACTATGTTCCAGTGTTTAGCAACTTGATTATAAATTGATCTTCCTTTTATTTAACCTAAATATCCCTGTAATTTAAAATGATTTCCCATTCTAGCTGAAAAGGGATATTAAATCATTAACGTTTCTTCTTATTTAGGGGTGGGCTACAAATGAAAGCCATCCATAAATATTAAAACACATGCATCAATAATATATATATATTTATATTTTCAAGTTTGGGCCGGGGTGACCATGTCCTTCACGAAGTAGAGCAAAACTGAAGTTTCTACCACTATAAATATGTATATTTATACACAGATTGCAACTATAATCTTTATTTAAGGGCATGTATTCAGAGAGTACAGATTGTTTCACTTCAGTTTATTACCACTTAAAGAAAGGAGAAAATTGCTTCCCTGCCCCCCCACCTTCCTACACTGTTAAGGGATTAGTAGGCCAGCTGTAGCACTGGAGACATCAGTATGCAATGATGATAGGAGACCTGAGTAAGTAAAATGTTCAATTAAGTTTAAAAGCAATGACTTAAATTTGTCTTAACAGTTAATTAGCACTTACTATGTACCAGGGCATTAATAATATTTTCTAATTTGATCCTCACAAGAATCCTATGATGTATAGCCAATCATTATTAGCCTTCTTAAAAAAATGTGTTTAGCACAATGCTTGGCATATAATCAGACCTCAGTAAATGTCACCTGTCATTCTTATTTTACATCTAAGGAAAATGAGGTCAAAATTAAGGCCACTTACATAAGGTCACACATATGGTTCATGGCAGACCTAGGATTTAAGCAAACATTAACTCCTTTCTTGGTGATTTGTCTCTCAAAAGTTTTTAATAACTCAAGTTTGCTGACCAGCTAACAGAAGTAAACTTCCACTTTCAGTAATAATGTACTAGGTAATTCAGAGAACATCTAGAAAAGCTGTTAAAATGTAGAAATAATTCTGCCAAAAGTAGGGTTACCAAATCAAATACAGGACACCCAGTTAAAATTGAATTTCAGATAAACAAAGAATGAATTTTTAGTATAAGCAAGTTTCGATTATTGCATGGAATACACATACAATAAAAATATTATTCATTGTTTATTTTAAATTCAAATTTAATTAGATGTCCTGAAAGTTTTTTCCCCTAGATCTAGAAACCCTAGCCTGAAGGCATCAGAGACCTAGCAAGGCAGTGGAAAATAAAATAATGAGGTCAAGATACAGAACATGAAAACTCAGAGATAAGCCCAGGATTTGGGGTTGTTTCTCTAGGGGTAAGTGTGTTGATTCTAAAAGAAGCATCTGAGAGGCTGAGAAGCTGAAAAGAATATTTGACAGGTTTGCCGGGTTAAGGGGATAAAACTTAAAAATCTAAAGCCTGTCAAAAAGGAAAGCTCTGGTAATTCCCTTACGATTCAAGGTGGGACTCTGAATAATAAACGGATATACTGTTGAGAAATACACCAGCCTTAGCCCTCTGAATCATCTCAAGCCTTGAAATTCAATTGAGGTTATTCTGGATTGCTAGACATTGGTCAGAAGAAAATGTAAAACCCCTCAGGAGGAAAGTAGCATCATTCTAAGCCTCATCTGATTTCTACAAGTTTTCATTTACATTGTACTGTTCTTAATTAAAATTGACCAAGCACATGCAAAGACAAGGCAATGTAAAAAAAAAAAAAAAAAAAGAAGAAAGAAAAAAAACAGCTGACAAAGAAAAGGCAGATACATAGAATTTCCAGATATCAGAGTCATCAGATACAGGCATATGTTCCATAACAAGTAGATGTCACTCCTGGGAATCTCACCCCCATCCCCCACAGCAGCCACAGCAAGACCTGCCCTAAAAGTCTGAGCTCAGACACGTCTAGCCCTGCCCCCACCTGGTGGTCCTTCCCTACCCACCCTGGTAGTGGAAGATAAAGGGCATATAATCTTGAGAGTTCTAAGGCATCGCCCACCACTGGTCCCTCTGCATACTACTACAGCCGAAACTCTCTGGAAAGTGCCACCTCCTGGTAGGAGGCCAACCAGTACAAAAATAGAGCATTGAACAACCAAAGCCAAGGACCCCTATGGAGTCCATTGCACCCTCTGCCACCTCCACCAGAACAGGCACTGGTATTCATGGCTGAGAGACCTATAGATGGTTCACATCACAGGACTCTGTGCAGATAACCCCCAGTAACAGCCTGGAGGCAGGTAGACTCGCTGGGTGGCTAGACCCAGAAGAAAGACAACAATCACTGCAGTTTGGCTCACAGGAAGCCACACCGTAGGAAAAGGGGACAGTACTAATTCAAGGGAACACCCCAGAGGCAAAAGAATCTGAACAACAGCCTTCAGCCCTAGACCTTCCCTCTGATAGAGCCTACCCAAATGAAAAGGAACCAGAAAACACCAACCCTGGTAATATGATAAAACAAGTCTTGTCAATGCCTCCCAAAAATCACACTAGTGCACCAGCAATGGATCCAAACCAAGAAGAAATCCCTGATTTACCTGAAAAAGAATTCAGGAGGTTAGTTATTATGCTAATCAGGGAGGGACCACAGAAGGGCGAAGCCCAATGCAAGGAAATCCAAAAAATGATACAAGAAGTAAAGGGAGAAATAGTCATGGAAATAGATAGCTTAAAGAAAAAAACAATAAACAATTCAGGAAACTTTGGACACACTTTTAGAAATGTGAAATGCTCTGGAAAGTCACAGCAATAGAACTGAACAAGTAGAAGAAAGAAATTCAGAGCTTGAAGACAAGGTCTTTGAATTAACCCAATCTAACAAAGACAAAGGAAAAAGAGTAAGAAAACATGAACAAAGCCTCCAAGGAGTCTGGGATTATGTTAAATGACCAAACCTAAATATAAACGATATTCCTGAGGAAGAATAGAATTCTAAAAGCCTGGAAAACATTTGGGGGAATAATTGAGGAAAACTTCCCTGGCCTTGCAAGAGACCTAGACAGCCAAATACAAGAAGCACAAAGAACACCTGGGAAATTAACCACAAAAAGATCTTCCCCTAGGCACACTGTCATCAGGTTATCTAAAGTTAAGATGAAGGAAAGAATCTTAAGGTCTGTGAGATAGAAGCACCAGGTAAACTATAAAGGAAAACGTATCAGATTGACAGCAGATTTCTCAGCAGAAACCCTACAAGCTAGAAGGGATTGGGGCTCTATCTTCAGCCTCCTCAAACAAAACAATTATCAGCCAAGAATTTTGTATCTAGCGAAACTAAGCATCATATATGAAGGAAAGATATAGTCTCTTTCAGACAAACAAATGCTGAGAGAATTTGCCATTACCAAACCACCACTACAAGAACTGCTAAAAGGAGCTCTAAATCTTGAAACAAATCCTGAAAACACGTCAAAACAGAACCTCTTTAAAGCATAAATCACACAGGACCTATAAAACAAAAATACAATTTAAAAAGCATAAAAACAAAAACAAAGTACACAGGCAACAAAGAACATGATGAAAGCAATGGTACCTCATATTTCGATACTTACATTGAATGTAAATGGCCTAAATTCCCCACTTAAAAGATACAGAACCGCAGAATGGATAACTCACCAACCAACTATCTGCTGCCTTCAGGAGACTCAACTAACACATAAGGACTCACATAAAGTAAAGGGGTGAAAAAAGGCATTTCATGCAAATGGACACCAAAAGTGAGCAGGGGTAGCTATTATTATATAAGACAAAACAAACTTTAAAGCACCAGTGTTTAAAAGAGACAAAGAGGGACAGTATGTAAGGGTAAAAGACCTTGTCCAAAGGAAAATATCACAATCCTAAACATACATGCACCTAACACTGGAGCTCCCAAATTTATAAAACAATTACTAATAGACCTAAGAAATGATATAGACAGCAACATAATAGTAGTGGGGGAACTTCAATACTTCACTGACAGCACTAGACAGGTCATTAAGACAGGAAGTCAACAAAGAAACAATGGACTTAAACTATACCTTGGAACAAATGCACTTAACAGATAGACATAGAACATTTCATCCAACAGGCCGGGTGCAGTGGCTCACACTTGTAATCCCAGCACTTTGGGAGGCCGAGGCAGGCAGATGACTTGAGGTCAGGAGTTTGAGACCGGCCTAATCAACATGGAGAAACCCCGTCTCTACTAAAAATACAAAATTAGCCGGGCGTGGTGGCGCATGCCTGTAATCCCAACTACTCGGTAGGCTGAGGCAGGAGAATCACTTGAACCTGGGAGGCAAAGGTTGCAGTGAGCCGAGAGTGCGCCATTGCATTCCAGCCTGGGCAACCAGAGCAAAATTCCGTCTCAAAAAACAAAACAAAACAAAACAAAAACAAAAACGAAGAAAAAAAAGAACATTTCATTCAACAAACACAGAACACACATTCTATTCAACAGTGCATGGAACTTTCTCCAAGATAGATCATATGATAGGCCATAAAATGAGCCTCAATAAATTTAAGAAAACTGAAATTATATCAAGCACTCTCTCAGACCACAGTGTAATGAAACTGGAAATCAACTCCAAAAGGAACCTTTAAAACCATGCAAATACATGGAAATTAAATAAACTGCTCCTGAATGAGCACTGGTCAAAAACGAAATCAAGATGGAAATTAAAATATTCTTTGAACTGAATGACAATAATGACACAAACTATCAAAACCTCTGGGATACAGCAAAGGTGGTGCTAAGAGGAAAGTTCACAGCCCTAAATGCCGACATCAAAAAGTCTGAAAGAGCACAGACAGTTTAAGTCATATCTCAAGGAATTAGAGAAACAAGAACAAACCAAACCCAAACCCAGCAGAAGAAAGGAAATAACCAAGATCAGAGCAGAACTAAATGAAATTGAAACAAAAAAAAAATTACAAAAGATAAATGAAAACAAAAGCTGGTTCTTTGAAAAGATAAATAAAATTGACAGACCATTAGCAAGATTAACCAAGAAAAGAAGAGAGAATATTCAAATAACCTTACTAAGAAATGAAACAGGAGATATTACAACTGATACCACAGAAATACAAAAGACTATTCAAGGCTAGTATGAACACCTTTATGCACATAAACTAGAAAACTTAGAAGAAATGGATAAATTCCTGGAAAAATACAGCCCTCTTAGCTTAAATCAAGAAGAATTAGATACCCTGAGCAGACCAATAACAAGCAGTGAGATTAAAATGGTAATTAAAAAATTACAAACAAAAAAAAGTCCAGGACCAGACAGATTCACAGCAAAATTCTACCAGACATTGAAAGATGAATTGGTACTTTTGACACTATTCCACAAGATAGAGAAAGAAGGAACCCTCTCTAATTCATTCTGTGAAGCCAGCATTACCCTAATACCAAAACCAGGAAAGGACTTAACCAAAAAAGAAAACTACATACCGATGTCCTTGATGAACATAGATGCTAAAATCTTTAACAAAATAGTAGCTAAATGAATCCAACAATATATCAAAAAGATAATCCACCATGATCAAATGGGTTTTATAAGAGGGATGTAGGGATGGTTTAACATATGCAAGTCAATAAATGTGATATACCACATAAACAGAATTGAAAACAAAATCACATGATCATCTCAATAGATACAGAGAAAGCATTTGACAAAATCCAACATTTATGATTAAAACTTTCAGGAAAATCGTCACAGAAGGAACATACCTTAGTGCAATAAAAGCCATCTATGACAAACCCACAGCCAACAAAATACTGAATGGGGAAAAGTTGAAAGCAGTCCCTCCGAGAACTGGAATAAAACAAGGATGACCACTCTCACCACTCCTCTTCAACATGGTACTGGAAGTCCTAGCCAGAGCAATCAGACAAGAGAAAGAAATAAAGGGCATCCAAAGCAGTAAAGAGGAAGTCAAACTGTCACTGTTTGCTGATGATATGATCGTTTACCTTGAAAACCCTAAGGACTCCTCCAGAAAGCTCCTAGAACTGATAAAAGAATTCAGCAAAGTTTCTGGATACAAGATTAATGTACACAAATCAGTACCTCTTCTATACATCAACAGCAACCAAGCAGAGAATCAAATCAAGAACTCAACCCCTTTTACAATAGCTGCAAAAAAAAAAATTAAATTAAATTAAATTTTAAAAAATTTAAAAAACCTTAGGAATATACCTAACCAAGGAGTTGAAAGACCTCTACAAAGAAAAGTGCAAAACACTACTGAAAGAAATCACAGATGACACAAACAAATGGAAACACATCCCAAGCTCATGGATGGGTAGAATCAACATTGTGAAAATGACCACACTGCCAAAAGCAATCTACAAATTCAATGCAATCCCCTTCAGAATACCACCATCATTCTTCACAGCATTAGAAGACACAATTCTAAAATTCATATGGAACCAGAAAAGAGCCCACATAGCCAATGCAAGATTAAGCAAAAAGAACAAATCTGGAGGCATCATACTACCTGATTTCAAGCTATACTATAAGGCCATAGTCACCAAAACAGCATGGTACTGGTATAAAAATAGGCACATAGACTAGTGGAACAGAATAGAGAACCCAGAAATAAACCCAAATACTTACAGCCAACTGATCTTCCACAAAGCAAACAAAAACATAAAGTGGGGAAAGGATGCCCTTTTCAACAAATGGTGCTGGGATAATTGGCTAGCCTCATGTAGGAGAATGAAACTGGATCCTCACATCTCACCTTATACAAAAATCAACTCAAGATATATTAAGGACTTAAACCTAAGACCTGAAACTATAAAAATTCTAGAAGATAACATTGAAAAAACTTTCTAGACATTGGCTTAGGCAAGGATTTCACGACCAAGAACCCAAAAGCAAATGCAATAAAAACAAAGATAAATACCTAGGACCTAATTAAACTGAAGAGCTTTTGCATGGCACAAGGAACAGTCAGGAGAATAAACATACAACCCACATATTGGGAGAAAATCTTCACAATCTATACATCTGACAAAGGACTAATAGCCAGAATCTACAACAAACTCAAATCAGTAAGAAAAAAACAAACAATCCCATCAAAAAGTGGGCTAAGGACGTGAATAGACAATTCTCAAAAGAAGATATACAAATGGCCAACAAACATATGAAAAAATACTCAACATCACTAATTATCAGGGAAATGCAAATCAAAACCACAATGTGATACCACCTTACTCCTGCAAGAATGGCCATAATAAAAAAAATAAAAAAACAGTAGATGTTGGCGTGGATGTGGTGAACAGGGAACACTTCTACACTGCTGGTGGGAATGTAAACTAGTACAGCCACTATGGAAAACAGTGTGGCAATTCCTTAAAGAACTAAAAATAGAACTACCATTTGATCCAGCAATCCCACTACTGGGCATCTACCCAGAGGAAAAGAAGTCATTATTTGAAAAAGATACTTGCACAGGCATGTTTATAGCAGCACAATTCACAATTGCAAAATCGTGCAAGCAACCCAAATGCCCATCAATCAACAAGTGGCTGTAGTGTGTGTGTGTGTATATATATATATGATGTGTGTGTATATATATATGATGTGTGTGTGTGTGTGTGTGTGTGTGTGTATATATATGATGGAATACTACACAACCATAAAAATGAATGAATTAACATTTGCAGTGATCTGGATGAGGCTGGAGACTATTATTCTAAGTATAATGTAACTCAGGAAGGGAAAATCAAACATTGCATGTTCTCACTGATATGTGGGAGCTGAGCTATGAGGACACAAAGGCATAAGAATGATACAATGGACTTTGGGGACTTGTGGGGAAGAGTGAGAGGGGATCGAGGGATAAAAGACTACAGGTATGTTGTGGTGTATACATGGGTGATGGGTACATCAAAATCTCACAAATCACCACTAAAGAACTTACTCATGTAACCAAATACCACTTGTACCCCAATAACTTATGGAAAATAAAATAAAATAATAAAAATAAAAATAAAAAACCATAAAAGAGAATGATTTCAGTAACTTTCTTCTGATAAGAGATTGCCAACCATAGACTGGTTCTGGCTTGTTTACAGAGGCTGCACACCTGAGTGCCTCCATGTCCCTGCTTTAGCTTTTGATGTATACGGCCTAATAGTAATTCATTTAAATGTTAAGTCTCTACCCTAATGTTAACTTGGGTTGTATGTTACATACATGTTTTTCAATATGCATATTTCAGGAACCCCTTTGTGAATATTCATAACTCCTGCTATAACCCATTAAATATGTATACTTGGCCAACCTGTTCAACATAAGTTCCTCTTCTGCTCTCTCCTCCCTTAAAGTGCCTGTTTCCAGTCTTTGCTGAGCGGAGTCTATACTTCACAGCCTGTGGAATGGCCACCCTGCAGACTATAAACCCTTATACAAAATAAAGTCCCCTTTCTAAATTAAAAACAAAAAACAAGTAGATGTCACTGAACATATACTTAAAACACTCGAGCAAAAAGAAGACAAGATTGAAACTACTAGCAAAGAATTAAGTCTACAAAATGAACCAAACAGAAATTTTGAATCCGAGAAATTCTGATAAACTGTACTTTGAAATAGTGAACTCAATGAATAGGTTTAACAGTAGATTAAACAACACAGAGGAGAAATTTTAAGGAACTGGAATATAGGTCAGAAAAAAACCCAGAAAGAAGCATGCAGAGGAAAAGGATGGAAAATATAGACGAAAGAGCAAGAAACACACAGGATACTAGCAGATAGTCTAAAATATAGGTAACTGAAATCTAAAAGGACAGCAGAGAGATGATGGTGCTACATCGAAAGACATCAAGGTATAGATTCAAAAAGCCCTATGAATCCAAAAGGAACAAAGCAATCAGACATCAGAGAAAAAAAAAAAGACAAAAACAACATCATCATCCAATGAAGGAAAAAGCTAGCTTACCTTCAAAGGAGCAAGAGTCATATTGACAGACGACTTCTTAACACAAACAGAAACAATGGAAGACAAGGGAATGAGAACTTCAAAGTGCTGAAAGGAGATATCTGTCAACATAAAAATATGCTTTAAGAATACTGTTGTCCAGAGGACTTCATGACTAAAACACCAAAAGCAATGGCAAGAAAAGCCAAAATAGGCAAATGGGATCTAATTAAACTAAAGAGATTCTGCACAGCAAAAGAAACTACCATCAGAGTGAACAGGCAACCTACAGAATGGGAGAAAAGTTCTGCAATCTACCCATCTGACAAAGGGCTAATATCCAGAATCTACCAAGAACTTAAACAAATTTACAAGAAAAAAACCAAACAACCCCATCAAAAAGTGGGCAAAGGATATGAACAGACACTTCTCAAAAGAAGACATTTATGCAGCCAACAGACACACGAAGAAATGCTCTTCATCACTGGTCATCAGAGAAATGCAAATCAAAACCACAATGAGACACCATCTCACACCAGTTAGAATGGCGATCATTAAAAGGTCAGGAAACAACAGATGCTGGAGAGGATGTGGAGAAATAGGAACGCTTTTACACTGTTGGTGGGAGTGTAAACTAATTCAACCATTGTGGAGACAGTGTGGGATTCCTCAAGGATCTAGAACTAGAAATACCATTTGACCCCATTACTGGGTATATACCCAAAGGATTATAAATCATGCTACTATAAAGACACATGCACACGTATTTTTATTGCGGCACTATTCACAATAGCAAAGACTTGAAACCAACCCAAATGTCCATCAATGATAGAGTGGATTAAGAAAATGTGGCACATATACACCATGGAATACTATGCAGCCATAAAAAAGGATGAGTTCATGTCCTTTGCAGGGACATGGATGAAGCTGGAAAACATCATTCTCAGCAAACTATTGCAAGGACAGAAAACCAAACACTGCATGTTCTCACTCGTAGGTGGGAATTGAACAATGAGAACACTTGGACACAGGGCAGGGAATATCACACACGTCTGTCATAGGGTTGGGGGGCAGGGTGAGGGATAGCATTAGGAGAAATACCTAATGTAAATGACGAGTTGATGGGTGCAGCAAACCATCATGGCACATGTACACCTATGTAACAAACCTGCACGTTGTGCACATGTACCCTAGAACTTAAAGTATAATTAAAAAAAAAAAAAAGAATACTGTTGCCCAGACATTGCAGTTTGCCAGCACCGTGAATATCTGAACATCATGGCAAGTTTTTAGCTACTCAGGTGTTACAATATCTGCAATGCAAAAACACTGAGATCTTATGAACCAGAGTATAATCAGAGTTGATGAATTAGACAGAGATAGATCAGCACAGCCTTCCATTGTGAAGTCACTTATTTTGCAGAAAGGATCAAATTATCTACGTAGAAACATTTTTTTTTTTCTTTTGAGATGGAGTCTTGCTCTGTCTCCCACGCTGGAGTGCAGTGGTGCATCTTGGCTCACTGCCAGCTCCACCTCCCAGGTTCATGCCATTCTCCTGCCTCAGCCTCCTGAGTAGCTGGGACTACAGATGCCTGCCACTACGACCAGCTGATTTTTTTGTATCTTTAGTAGAGACAGGGTTTCCCTGTGTTAGCCAGGATGGTCTCGATCTCCTGACCTCATGATCTGCCTGCCTGCGCCTCCCAAAGTGCCAGGATTACAGGCGTGAGCCACCATGCCCGGCCTCTATGTATAAACATTCTTAAGAATAATGAACTTAAATCTGCTAATATGTCATTTACAAAATAGATGTGAGACTATATCCTCAAACCCCAAGAAAAGCAATTTTAACCAAAAAAGCTATAATTACTCTGTAAGAGTTAGCCTCAAGAGTTATCTAGAAGGAGGAATGGAAAGTACAATGTCTTCAGATGCTCAAAAAGATTAAGTAACAGTAGAATAATGTGATATAAATTGAGTCTGAAGAGTGTTTAGTTTCAGCAAGAGGAAACAATAAGAGCAGTACTTTTAGAGAAATAATCAACATTAATTGTATAAAACCTTGAGTCCTGCCAGTCTATCCTATATGGCAGTATATCCATTTGTATTTCTTTTTATGAATTAAATGGATTTTAAGAAATAAGCAGCTTAGAGAAAGGCTGTGACTTTTGATCAAAACAAAGGAAGGGTGAAGGGTTTCCAAATAAATGAGGATAAATGGAAATAATGTTCATTGACGAGGCATCTAACATTGATGATTCCACTCTAAGTGTAAATATTCATAGTAAACACTGGAAAATTTATGTTAATTTAAAAACTGATATTACCTGTTGAATCTCCTTAAGGTAAAATGTTAAAGCTTTTCAGGCGTGAGTCTGGTTTTTAACCAACACCAGAATGAAACAGTCATCTTTTATACATACTTGTCCTGCTGCATTTAATTTTAGCAACTTGTATCTAAGAACTCATTCAAAGGGATAAAATTACATAATTTTTAAAGCCATATTAAATTGCACCAAAACAACAACAAACCCTTGCTCTACTATAAACAGCCCTGAAAGTCATGATATTTTTGCTACTCAAATGATATTTTTGTAGTAAAATTATCATTAAAGTAATATATGGCTCTAACAGAAAAAATCTTATTGTATTACAGAATGTCATATTGACAGTCAAAATTTTATAATTTGATACAGGTATCATCTAACTTGGATTTGTACTTCCAAAAGTCATCATGATTTAGAATGCTGTATTACGGACTGGTTATATTAACTAAAACTAAACTAAAATTAAATTAATTTTAAAATAACTGGAAAAGTCATAAATGTTTAATAAACAGTAGATGTTTGTATTTTTAAGAATTTCACATTTGCCTAACTTATACAAATTGCCACGTGATAAACTCATGCTTCTCTAATAGCTAAATTCTGAGCTGTCTGGTTATGTGAATGAAAAATGGTTAATTGCAACTTCTTTTTGAAGTAATTGTGATAGCTGATATATATTTTTTACATGAGTAACTGTATATTACTTGACTAATTTGTTATTTAGAAGAATAAATCCCATGTTAATGTCTTTAAATACGATAGCATAGCAAAAGTGACCAAAACGAACCAATATGTAAAATGACACTGTAACTATTTATTTATTTATTTATTTATTTATTTATTTATTTATTTATAATACTGTAAGTTCTAGGGTACATGTGCACAATGTGCAGGTTTGTTACATAGTTATACATGTGCAATGTTAGTTTGCTGCACCCATCAACTCATCATTTACATTAGATATTTCACCTAATGCTATCCCTCCCCCTGCCCCCCAACCCTATGACAGACCCTGGGGTGTGATATTCCCTGCCCTGTGTCCAAGTGTTCTCATTGTTCAATTCCCACCTATGAGTGAGAACATGCAGTGTTTGGTTTTCTGTCCTTGTGATAGTTTGCTGAGAATGATGTTTTCCAGCTTCATCCAAGTCCCTGCAAAGGACATGAACTCATCCTTTTTTATGGCTGCATAGTATTCCATGGTGTATATGTGCCACATTTTCTTAATCCACTCTATCATTGATGGACATTTGGGTTGGTTCCAAGTCTTTGCTATTGTGAGTATTGCCACAATAAACATACGTGTGCATGTGTCTTTATAGTAGCATGATTTATAATCCTTTGGGTATATACCCAGTAATGGGATCAGGGGATCAAATGGTATTTCTAGTTCTAGATCCTTGAGGAATCGCCACACTGTCTTCCACAATGGTTGAACTAGTTTACACTCCCACCAACAGACGACACTGTAGCTTTAATTTAGGGGAAATACTTACTTCACGTGTCAGGGGGCCAATTCTAAATTCAAAAACAATCAAAAAATGCATTTTGTTTTCATTTCAGTGTTGATTACTGTCACCACCCCCAGACAGAGTTTTTGATCCCTGGGGCTATTGCTTGCACAGTTCAAAGGTAATTAGAGGCCGGGCGCAGTGGCTCACACCTGTAATCCCAGCACTTTGGAAGGCTGAGGTGGGTGGATCACCTGAGGTCAGGAGTGTGAGACCAGCCTAGCCAATATGGTGAACCCCCGTCTCTACTAAAAATACAAAAATTAGCTGGGCGTGATGGCTGGCGACTGTAATCCCAGCTACTCTGGAGGCTGAAGCAGGAGAATTGCTTGAACCCGGGAGGCAGCGGTTGCAGTGAGCTGAGACTGCTCTGCTGTACTCTAGCCTGGGCGACAGAGCGATACTCCGTCTTAGAAAAAAAAAAGGGGTGGGGGGTGGGAATTAGAGACTTCTTCTTTCTGCTAGGATAGAGTAGTTGCAGCACATGAATGCTTCTACAGCTAACTAAGTAAGCTGATTTTAAAACAAAATGTTTCCAGGCACTGCAGAGCAGTGGAATCTCAGATAGGACTAAAACTTCTAGATGAGAGGTTTCTGGTAACCTGTACCCCCTTTTTCCTGGTGGCTCACTAGATGGGGCGAGAGTTACAGCACAGGAGATCTCAAATACACAACTGGTTTCCCCTCAGACATTCACAAATACTGAAGCTTTGAGGGCAAAAGACTAAAAATCTAATCATGAAAACATTTGAAAAGTAGAGGCAAAATTTTCCATCTCTTGGTATTGAGGAGATCTGGCAGGGAGAGGGGCCCCACTGAAAGCCCTTGAGAGGGGTCCTAAGGAACATGGGATAGCCAGAGGGAGACTGTGGCTTACCAGAATTGGACTGCACCCCGCGGAGCTCCCCTCTTATTGGACAAGGCCATCAGCACCCCAACTGCCTAGCTGAGGACATGGCAAACCCTCTTTGGGAGAAGATGTCATCACCTAAAGTAACTCAAGTGTATAATATTTCATACCCAATGTATGGCAATTGACAGAAAATTACCAAGTACAGCAATAGATAGAAGCAGGGAAACAGAATCCTGATGCTGAAGTCATCTGGCAAAGACTTTAAAGAAGCAATGATGTACATAGAAAATGGATATATTAAGTACAGCCTTTGCCAGAAAATTAAAACCAATAGAAAAGAATCAAATGAGGATTTTATTACTGAAAAATAGAATAGCTGAAATTAGGAACTTTATGCATGTGTTTAGCAGGAGATCAGGTAGAGCAGAAAGAGGGTTCGTAAACCGGGAGATAGGTCGACTGAAAATATCCGGATTGAAAGAAGGTAGAGGAAAGAAAGGGGAGAAAGTACATAGAGAAAAAGGAACAGAGGGACACAATGGAATGATCCACCGTATGTAATTGGAGTTCCAGAGAATGGGGTAAAGCCAACTTTTGAGAAGATAATAGCTTCTCATTAAGCTTCAGGATAAGCCGTAGGATAAAAACAAGAAGCTCTGGTAAGCACATCATAGTTAAACTGATGAAATCCAAAGACAAAGATAAAAGTCTTAGAAGCATAAGATGGGGGAAGATAGTTACCTTCAAAGGAATGACAAAAAGACTAACCATTGACTTTTCAGAAGATAAATGACATTCCTAAGTGCTAAAGAGAAAAACACCTAACTTTGAGTTCCCGCTATATATATTGTGAAATTACTCTTCAAAACTATAGGTGAAATAGTGATGTTTTCAGACAAACAAAAACTGAGACTATTTATCTCCAGTGGGATTGCACTAAAAGAAATACTAAAGGGAACTCTTTTTTTTTTTTTAGAGGAAAATGATCCCAGACAGAAACACAGATGTGTGAGAAGGATGAAGAGAAACAGAACAGATTAAAATGTGAGTAAAGCTCTGCTTCTTGATTTGAGCGCTGTTTACGTGAAAGAGTTCCCTTTCTGAAAAATTCATAAGCTCTGCACTTAAATTTGTGCACTTTTCTGTGTGTGTGTTGTGCTTCAGCAAGAATTTTACCAAAATAAAGCAAAATAAAAACTGCTTAGAGGAAAATTGACAGTCTCATTGCATACATTAGACAAGAATGGCTACAAACCAACGAGCTAAGCAGCAATCTCAAGAAATTAGCAAAAGAACAACAAATTAAATCCAAGGAAAGTAGAAAGAAGGAAATGATAAAGAATAAAGAGCAGAAAGTAATTAAACAGAAAACAAACATATATAGAGGATCAAGAAAATCAAAAGTTAGATCTTTGAAAAGACTAATAAAATAAAAAATCCCTGGTGAGGGATATAGAAGGCAAGAGTGAAGAATATGAAGTATGAAAACAGGGCATCACACAGCACTGACGCTGCAGTCCCCTATCCTGGATGGAACCAGCTGAGTACTTTCTAAGCCTATCCCAAGCATTCAGGCTGGAGGCAGGGTATCCCAGCAGTGTCTCCCAGGCCAACGACAAGAGCAGCAGTAATATCATCACTGAGTCTAGTGCCTTCTGTGCCACAAAAGTCCCTAATCCTAGATCACTGGAGTAGGTCTCTGTGTTTCAATCTAAGTGGAGAGAATAATCTTGGCTGGTCAGATGGTGGAGGACTGAGTTGCCTGAAACCAGTTTTAGCTCTCTGGCACACAGGACATGGCAACTCAAAGCACATAAATATGCCAGGCCATCTGGCATGGTGCATATTCAATTGGTAGTTGCTTCTCCCAGTTGCAGTTGATTCAGATTCAGGGTGCAGGAACTGGATGTTTGTTCCTTCTAAGGGGCCCCTGACACTGCAAATGCAGCCTTCACAGCAAGTGAGTGTCTTCTATAAAAAAAAAGACATTGTGCTCCATTGGTGTGGGATTTCATGAAACTATAATGTCTGTAGGTTTAGAATTTGCTGGAATTGTTGCCTCTTGGGAGACAATGATCTTGGCTATTCGGCTGAGTTGGAGAGGCCATCCAGCAAGAGCATCTGAAGACACTGAGATGCTGTGATGAAGCAGGTTAGTGTCAGACTGTTAGAAGAAAAGGTGAGAAATGAAGTACATGCACATACCATCCTGTAACACCTGGGAAATAGTGTGTGCCTTCCCACAACATGTTGCAGCATGCACTGGCCACTTGGCTGACCTAGAGATGTCACCTTGGGGCTCTTGGCCACTTGACTGACCTAGAGATGTCACCTTGGGGCTCTCAAATATATCTTTGTCTGGGTAGGCTCAGAGATGAGTCTATATCAGATGACTCAAACAACTCAACAAGAAAAAAACAACCACATTAAAAACTGGGTAAAGGGCATGAACAGACATTTTGCAAAACAGGAAATACAAGTGGTCAACAAACACATGCTCAACATCACTAATCATCAGAGAAATGCAAATTAAAATCACAGTGAGATATTATACTAGTCAGAATGGCTATTATTTAAAAAGTCAAAAAACAATGGATGTTGGCATGGTTGCAGAGAAAGGGGGACACTCATATACTTTTGGTGGGAGTGTAAATTAGTTCAACCTCTATGGAAAACAATATGGAGATATTCCAAATAACTAAAAATAGAACTACCATTAGATCCAGCAAACCCACTACTAGGTACCTACCCAAAGGAAAAGAAATCATTAATTAAAAAGACATCTGCACTCCTATGTTTATTGCAGCACTATTCACAATAGCAAAGTCATGGAACCAACCTAAGTGTCACCAATAGTTGATTGGATAAAGAAAATGTATATATACACCATGGAATACTACACAGCCATAAAACATAAAATCATGTCCTTCGCAGCAACGTGGATGGAGCTGGAGGCCATTATCTTAAGTGAACTAACTCAGAAACAGCAAATCAAGCATCACATGCTTTAATGTATAAGTGAGAGCTAAACAATGGGTACACATGAGCATAAAGATGGAGATAATAGACTGAGGACCCCAAAAGTGGGGAGATTGGGAGAGGGATAAAGGTTGAAAAATTACTTATTGAGTTCAATATTCAATATTTGGGTGATGGGTAGATTAGAAGCCCAATCCTCATTATTATGCATGTAATACCCTTATAACAAACAAGCCATGTACCCCTTGAATTTAAAATGAAATAAGAGAAAATAAACAAGAAAAGAAAAAGTCATGGTCTGCACAGAGTCCTGAGAGGGAAGCTGGATTTTCTTTCAAAAGTCCAAATCTTGGCTGGGAGTGGTGGCTCACACCTGTAATCCCAGCACTTTGAGAGGCTGAGGTGAAGGACCACTAGAGGCCAGGAATTGGAGACTAGTCTGGATAACATAGTAAGACCCCATCTCTAAAAAAAATTTTTTTTTAAGTAGCTGGGCATGGTGGTGTGTGAGTGTGGTCCCAGCTACTCAGGAGGCTGAGGCAGGAGGATCACTTGAGCCCTTGAGGCCGCAGTGAGGTATGATCCCACCACTGTACTCCAGCCTGGGCAATAGAGTGAAAGAGAGAGAGAGAGAGAGAGAGAGAGAGAGAGAGAGAGAGAGAGAGAGAGAGAGAAAGAGAGAGAGAGAGAGAGAAAGAAAGAAAGAAAGAAAGAAGAAAGAAAGAAAGAGAAAGAAAGAAAGGGAGGGGAAGAAAGAGAGAGGAAGGAAGGAAGGAGAGAGAAAGAAAGAAAAAGAAAGAAAGAGAAAGAGAAAGGAAGGAAGGAGAGAGAGAGAAAGAGAGAGAGAGGGAAAGGAAGGAAGGAGAGAGAAAGAAAGAAAGAAAAAGAAAGAAAGGAGAGAGAAAGAGATAAAGACAGAAAGAGAGAAAGAAAGATGAAGGGAGAAAGAGAAAGAGAGAGATGAAGGGAGAAAGGGAGTCAAGGGAGAAAGAGGAAAAATGAAGAAAAGGAAAGAGATGGAAGGAAGGAAGGAAGAAAGGAAGAAAGAAAAAAGAAAGAAAGAAAGAGAGGAAAGGAGGAAGGAAGGAAAGAGATAAAAAAGGAAGGAAAGGAAAGGAAGGAAGGAAGGAAAAAGAAAGAAAGATTCCAAATATTGTAAGAATTTGTTTTGTGAGTATCTAAGTCATTTTGGACTGCTATAAAAATATCATAGACTGAGTTGCTTAAACTACAGACATTTATTCCTCACAGTTCTGAAGGCTGGAAAGTTCAATGTCAAGGTGCTGGTGGATCAGGTTTCTGCTAAGGGCTCTCTTCCTGGTTTGCAGATGGCTGCCTTCTTGCTGTGTTCTCACATAGCAAAGGGAGAGAAATCATGTGTCTCTTCCTCCTTTATAAAGGCATTAATTCCATTAGGAGGGCCCACTCACAAACATTAGTCTATAGCAGCGAGGTTGTAAGGTCACCATAACCACTTCATATGTGTCAAGCAGCTAGACTTCCATTTAACTGGTTCTGATATTTGAATATTAATTTTTTATATTGAGTTTGCCTGAAATGTATTTTTCTCTAATTTGGGAACTGCTGGTGATTAGGCTAGCAGTAAGGGTAAGGCCTGATTGTGGATTATTTTGACTACTTTTTTCTGCATGTTCCTGAACTCTTTCTGCCTTTTCCCTTCTATTATTGACTGTTTAAAAAGAATTGACATAATCTACTCTTCCCCTTCTGAAAAATATTTCATCATATTATTTTAATACTTAACCTTTTCATTGTTGAAGGGTTAGGCAGGTTTTAAGTGTTTAATTTTCACCAGAAATTTATGTTCTGTGTTATAGAAAATTCATATTGTAAAATAAGCCTCTTCTTTTCGAGGGTAAATATGAAGAAAAGAACAGAAGTTCCAAGAAAAGGCTGTGTCTGTAGGTCCAAATTTCTAGACTCGGTATAGAGATAGAGTATTTCATATGCCATTCTCTGGTAGAGGGTAGACTATTTGTAACTGTATTTTCCCCAAAGGATATGAGAAGCATAATGTCACAATTTCTCCCCTCTAAGGTGGGTTCTCTGATTTGGGATTTAAATTCATAAGCCTTGGATAACCTGGAAGAGACTGACATTCATTCTAATGACAATAAAACAAGGATGACTTTCTCCTTTTTCTTTTCTGCTTTTTGTCTGCTTACTTTCCTCAGGTAACACAGCTGGCAACAGCAATGTAAGTCTAAATATGTACCAGGTTCTGCAAACTCTGGTTTTGCTTAGAGAGAAGGAACAAGGCTTAGATTAGTAGCTGCTGCAACGGATAAGGGTTGTTTGTGTCTAAATTTTGTGGGTGTTGGCGGATTTTTCAATATTCTTAGGTACCATATTGACTCTAGAATTTTGGGAACGTGTGATACATGAGACAGAGACATCTGCATTAACAACATTTTGGGAGAGGTTTTGTATATTTTTGTATTGTTTGGACTCTGAACACTTTCCTGGTTGTTGAAAGCTGGAGTGGACAATGTAGCTGGCACCATTTGACAATGGCCTTGCAGTTGACTAGAGACCTATCTTGACTGATGTCAGAAAGTCCTGAGAGTGACCTCCGAATTGGTCCTGGGTAGATAAGATGCACAGAAGCTGCGAAAGTACTCAGGAAGGCACACACAATGTTCAGGCAGGACTTTCTGAAGCTCCACAGATCTCTGTCCTCACCAAAAACAGCTGTGGCTATGCACAACCATTGACTTGGCTGAAACACTCAATAGGTTAAAAGAGAGAGGTATAACGTAGGAATAAAGTGGAAAAAGTGAAAATTCTCCCTTTCCACTGCTTTTCTAACATCCGTTTCCTGGTCCCAGTGGAGGGAGGAGGAGTTGCTAAACTGGTTGGTCAGATTCCCAGTGTGGATTGGGCCATGTTTGACAGAGAGCAGAGTCCTCTGTTTTCAAAGGTGGTAACTTTCTGCCACCTCTTTATTACAAGGGGAAGGTAGATAGGTCAGTTGACTCTGTTATCTCCCTGTGGCTGACCCAGAGACCATCTGGCCCCTTCCCTCTGCCCGCATTTCCCTGTCTCTTCCTCTAGCAGGGAAACCCAACGTTTTGGGCTCAGGGGCATCTATAGGAAAGACAAGATGTAATGGCTGCTGTCCTTCAGCATAAGTCTCATGCTTCCTGCACTGGAATACTGAGCACCAGCTTAATTCATTCATTATATAATTGAATACATACTTATTAAGCCTTCTAAGGGGAAATGCTACTAGCAATAAAACACTCTTCTAAAATGTTATCTAGGTGTTGAAATTATAGACGATTTTTGCTTTGATCTTTTCCTCAAATTTTCTGTAGGGAATAAGTAATACTTTTATAAATGCATATACAAATGGAATCCATCCATACATAACAAATGCACCAAAACAGGGGCGATTCTGGATTTACCTGTGAGGAAGCGATTGAAATCCTGTGTTGCCTTTTCTTTTAATGTGACTTTCTCTACAGCTTTTTATAGGAGGCACACTGAGCTCCCCACTTGGGATCATCTGGATATGAGAAAGACTGTATACTAACCACCTTGATCTTCCTTCCAGACCTCCATTTTGGTAGAATGTGATAGTCTAGTGATGTCTGTATTCTCTGATGCCCCCCACATTTCCTTGCCTATCATACCAGGGAGGTAAGGCCCCCAGGAATGACTCCTACTTCAAAGTTCTATCCAGTGGATAAGCCAGTACTGAGCTCTCTATGGGACCAGAATTTTGCACCAATCCTCTGCCTTAGTCATGGGACCCCTACTGGCCTACTTTGGTCTATTGGCTAAAGAGCAGTCTCTGAAGGCAGGCTGTCTTGGTTCCCATCCCAGTCCTATCACTTGTTTGTTACCTGTGACTATGGGACCGGTTGAATTATCTTCCTCTGCCTCAGGTTTCTCATTAACAAAAAGGAAAAATAAAAATATCTGCCATCTAGGGTTCCATAAGGATTAAATGAGGCAATATATTTAAGGTGCTCAGCATGATGCCAGGTACATTGGGATGGCTCAAAGAAGTTTAGCTGCTGGTATTATTAGTGTTATTCCTCTACTCAGGACAGTAGCCTTACCCCAAACAACAGCCCAGGGGTCGGACCTTGCAGCCCATGTACTGTTCCCCAGGGATGAGCACAGGCCACACTCCTGAAGTGACCGCAGCCGCCTTTGCTCCCATCTGCTGTGTCTGTCTGTGTAATTGGACACCGTGGTGATCAGCTTGCCATGCCCTTCAGACACTGCCTCACCCACCTGGCTGCAGGTCCAGACACAGAATCTTAGTTAGGTCAGTGTCCCTTGTCTGCCCCATATTCTTGCCTGCCAAATTTGGCCTCTCGCCACACACACCTGCAACAGGCCTTTAGAGCAAGGCCCCATTTCAAGAATGTGGCCTGTGCGCATGCCTGGGGATCTGTATCCATCTCATGGAGATCAAAATGGGTTAACAGTCCCTTCCTTGGGTTGTTGAAGTCTTTAGAGGGTCTCAGCAGCCCGGGTTGAGGTTCCAGCTCCGTGTGTCTGTGATTTTGAGCAAAAGAGATTCATTTTGTATGTAGAGTGGCTTTGAAGAGGAAGAGGAGAAGCTTTTTATTTATTTATTTATTTTTGTAGAGATCCAATTTCACTGTACCACATCTGTGTAGATGAAAATCACTCCTGAGTTCTTCCAATTTCTTCTTATTATTTCTCTTCTTGTTAGGAAAGCGGGCACTGTAGAATGGTCAGCAGAAACACATTTCTTCCTGTCTCTTTGTTCCCATCTTGCACCTGCCACCTGCGTCACCCACACTTCTGGTCATCCCACCCCTAGCCAGTCAAGAGCTTCTAGGAAAGTCCTGTCCCATAACTGTTCTCTGGATCCTGTTGCCTACTGACTCCTCATGGCCTTCAATCCATCAAACTGCCCTTCAATGTCCCATATCTCTGACATTCCCATGGGCTCTGCCATGGTGCTGAAGCACAACAGATAATCCTGACCTCAAATCCCAGCTCCACCACCTACCACTCTGAACCTTAGGCAAGCTGCCATGATGCTCAGAGAATAAGATTTCTCACTGGATACAACAGTGATGGCGTCCACCTCATGGTAACATCCTTGCCAAGAACGTTGATACCTGTAAGCACTAAGTTAATGAGAGTCCCTATTTTTATGGCCTATTCCACTCAGTCTATAAACATGTGCAAGCTCACCCTGATCTTTTTTTTTTTTTTGAGACAGAGTCTTGCTCTGTCGCCCAGGCTGGAGTGCAGTGGCGCAATCTCGGCTCACTGCAAACTCCACCTCCTGGGTTCACGCCATTCTCCAGCCTCAGCCTCCCGAGTAGCTGGGACTATAGGCACCCACCACCACGTCCGGCTAATTTTTTGTATTTTTTTTAGTAGAGATGGGGTTTCACCATGTTAGCCAGGATGGTCTCGATCTCCTGACCTTGTGATCCGCCCGCCTCAGCCTCCCAAAGTGCTGGGATTACAGGTGTGAGCCACTGTGCCTGGCCCCACCCCGATCTTACATGGATGAAGCTAGAAACCATCATTCTGAGCAAACTATCGCAAGGACAGAAAACCAAACACCACATGTTCTCACTCATAGGTGGGAATTGAACAATGGGAACACTTGGACACAGGGTGGGGAACATCACACACGGGGGCCTGTCGTGGGGTGGGGGGAGTGGGGAGGGATAGCATCAGGAGATATACCTAATGTAAACGACGAGTTAATGGGTGCAGCACACCAACATGGCACATGTATACGTATGTAACAAACCTGCACGTTGTGCACATGTACCCTAGGACTTAAAGTATATAAAAAAATAAAATAAATAAATAAATAAATAAATAAAAGACTTCCCTTTGATTTTATTCCTCATTTGGTTACCTTCTCAGAGCCACTGTCATTGCCAGCCATCCCACAGGACTGCTGTATTCCCCTGGCCTCTTCTTTATCAGTGCAGACTCACCAGAGGGTCACCAACCACTCCAGCATGTTCACGCCTGAGCTTTTTCCTGGGACACAGAACTATTAGGGCCCAAACCAGGAGAGTTCCAGCAAACCAGGATGAACCAGTCACTCTATACCTTTCAGCCTACAGTCTTTCTCACCAACTCCTCGAACTATTTAGACAAAGCCCATAGCCCCCACATGGCCACCCTCCACAGGTGACTTCTGTATCTTCTGTGACTCTGTGGCGCTCAGCAGGTCATATTGATGACATCCTTGATGGTTTCTCCTCCCTTGACTTCCAGGGCCTTGCTCTTGATGGTTTCTCTGGTGCTCTGGTTACTATGGCTGTATAATCATCAAACCAAAAACTTGACAGCTTCAGCAGCACCCTCTTATTATCTCTCAAAGTTCTGTGAGGTGTGGGCTCAGCATGGCAGTTCTCCTGCGGATCTCACATGCTGTTGCCATTGACAGCAGCTAGGGCTAGACGTATGATGTGGCCTCTTGCCTGGTTGAGGATGGCTGGAAACTCTGGGCCTGCCAGCATGCTCTTGTCACACAGCCCCGAACACAGCTAGCCAGGGCTTCTCCCAGCCCAGCTGTCTCAGGGCTTTAAGAGTGAGTGTCCCAGGAGGGAGGAAGTGGAAGCTTCCAATATCTTGAGGCCTAGGCTGGAAGTTGGTACTTTAGTTTGGAAACCAGCCCAGGTCACAGCACCCACCCAGGCTCAAGGGGAGGCGACATGGACCCCGCCTCTCAATAGGAGGAGCATCAGGGAATTTATGGCCACCCTTAACCTGCCTAACTCCATGATCTCTCTTTCTCTTCTTCTTCCTCTTGCTCCTCGATGGAATTCCGTCCTCAACTCTCCTCTTCTCACAGTCTGTATCAGTCATCTTCACATTTACAGGCATATCAGAATAACATGGCATGCTTATTAAAAAGAAAGGCTCTTGCCTATGGAATCTGCATTTCTAATAACCACCCTGGGTAAACGACTGCCTTGCAATTTTCAGCAGGCTACACTTTGAGAAACACTACTTTACACTCCCCCTACACAAAGTCCTTCACACCCTCACTTCACACAGCAGTTGCTTGTTCCTTTCCCATCTCTGTTTCAAAGCCGGGTTCTTCTCCTTAGCACGCCGTGTCCGGGCAACTGTGTGCTGCATCTTTCCAGCCCACAGACACTTCAGCCTGAACTTGGTGTCTTCAATCCCCAAACTCGCCCCCTTTCTGACCCCTCAGTCTTGGATGATGTGCCGTAGAGGCAGCTGATTCTCCTTCTGCCCCTTTCCTCTCCCCAGGCACACATCCAGTTCCTCACCAAGCCATGTTGATCTTACCTCCTAAGCCTCTTTCTGAATCAGCCCCTTCCATTTTTCTCATTCCAGGTGTTCTTTGTTTCTCACCTGTTTTTATGCCATAGTTTCTTGGTGGTCTCAAGCCTCTAATATCAGCACCTTACAGTCTTCTCGCCACACTTCTGCCAGAATGCAGTTTCTAGAATGCAAGCCTAATCGGAATGCTTTTTCTACTTAAAGCATTTGCATAGCTCTGTGTGCTCTGCAGGCATATGTCTAAACTGCCTAGAACCTCTGACCCTGGGCTCCTTCCCTGGAATGTTTCTTTTCCAATTCTGTCTCACCTACCCCAGCCTCACCCCTTCCCACCCCTGTATGCCACTTGGCCCTGAGCCCAGACCTTCCTTCCCAACTGGCCGAGTTCCTGTAACTTGGAGGTGATTAGGTCTTTGCCCCAAGGTCAGGCTAGGGCTCCTCCTCTTACTATTTCACACAAAGCACAAAAAGAAGTACATGCTTGTCTCCCCAGTGTAATGCCAGAACCTTGGCATGCAGGGACGGAGCCTGCATGTCTAGATCTGAGCCCCTGGAGACCAGCACGATCCCCAGCAGGCCTCCAGCACAATAGGGCTAAGAGAGACAGCTGTATCTGTTATGTTCTCACACCGACTTGGCAACTTAAGGTTAATCCAGAAAAGTGTGACTTTGGGTTAATAGGGCCTTGACCCTTTATTTATGTCGATTGAGTGTTTTCTTCTCATTGGGAAGATCTGACATGTATCTGACTGGAAGCCGGCACCATCGTTTTGTATTGCTGCGAATCTGAATGGAATGTTCCGGTTATATCTTTCTGGCTGTTTTCTGTAATAACGCTCAGTCATGCTTTGTTATTTAATCTGAGGGACTGAGACCTCCATGCACTGCAGGTCAATTTTGATGTCCCCCAGATGCAATGGAATCCTTGATGTGCTGAGAAGTGACTGCACGCCTGCGTCTTGTCTTCCCACGTGGGCTGGGCCCTCCACTGCCACACGCCATTGTCTCATTGGCCGTGTTCAGTCAGATTGGCCTCTGGCAGCCCCATGCAGTTCAGACAGGGACCAGCAGCAACCGCAGCCCCTCTAGTTCACTGCTTCTTCTGTGTCCCATGTTGCAGGCCTTGACTGGGATTGCTGAAGGTGGATATGTTTCCCTGAAGTTGCCTTGCACGAATAGTCACAAACCCTTGTTTTTTTTGTTTTTTGTTTTTTGTTTTTAATTTGAGACAAGGTCTTGCTCCATAGCTCAGGCTAGACTGCAGACCTCCCCAGCTCAAGTGATTCTCCCATCTCAGCTTCCCAAGTAGCTGGGTCTACTGGTGCATGCCACCAAACAGAGCTAACATTTTTAAATTTTTATTTTTTGTAGAGATGGAGGTCTCACTTTGTTGCCCAGGCTGGTCTTGAGCTCCTGGGCTCTAGTGATCCTTCCGCCACTTCCTCCCAAAATGCTACGATTATAGGTGTGAGCCACTATGCCTGGCCCCAAATCCGTTTTATCATGTCATCCTAAAACTAAAATAATAATGATAATAATAATAATAATAATAATAATAATATAAATGGTTCATAGACTACATAAAGTCTAAGCACTTATCTTTCCTGTACTTCTCAGCTCCACCCTGCCGTGCCTTTAATCTTGCTCTTTAATCACTATTATGTTCTTTCTACATCCCATTAGCACACAGGATGCATAATATCTAATATATGATATCACATGATGCATGATAACCTCAAAGGGACAAAATTATCACTGTATGAATATTTCCAACCCTTTCACTTGGGGCTGCTAGAGAGTGCCTATGGACTTGGTAGCTTGGGCTCCTTCCTCTACCCAGGGGATGCCTCTCTAGCAAGATTAATTCTTTTGGGATTTTAAAGCAAAACTGGAAGGAAATAACGAAGGGAAGACCAACATGAGTACGAGGTATAACCAGAGGTAGGTTTATGGAGAAGTTTAGGTGGTAGGGACAGCAGGGAGGGGAATTAATTGTGTGGTGAAAGGATAAAAAGAATTTCAGGAGTATCACTGTGAACTCTATATTATTTTCCTAAAATTTAAGAAACACAAGTAAGAATATAAGCAACACGAATTACTTCACGACCGTTACACAGTGCAATTTTAACCATGATTTCAATTTAGCGTAGTGCTAAAGTGGGTGGGCAGCGGTGGGGGGAGTCTTGGTTTCCACGGAGCTCTATAAAAAAATCAGATGGCACAATAATATAAATACGCCTATTATCTTGCAGATATGTATATGGAGTCATACTTTTTCCTAACAGAAAACCTGTGAAGCAGTGCAATGATCACACCTTTACGTTGCACAGGTGGGGTTCAGTCTCCTCATGTAGACTTAACCTTCTTAAGGGCTTAGCGCCTATGGCCCAAGTATTTATTGTAGCACAGATTGAGACATCTCCTTGGAAATAACACAACAGTGATTGAAAATGGCAGCCCGCGGTGCAGTCCTTAGCCACACTGGCTCTAAAGGCAGAGCAGTCCTGGTGAAAACATGCCCAAGTTGAAATAAAAGGCTCTAACAACATGTCACCTTAACCATCTGGACTGTGGCCTGATGAAGCCCCTGTGTCTAGTCTTGGTGCTGGTGCCTCTGGTCCCAGCGAGCTTGTTCTGGCTCTGGCTGCTTCGCCGCAGGGAAACATTGCTCTGAATGTCAAGGGAGAGAAGGCCACCGGCTCCCCTGGAGCCCTGCTTTTCCTCCAGTGCCCTTTGGTCTCCAGCTTTGGCTGCAGAGCAGAGGGTTTCCCCACAGAAAACTCTCAGCATAAAGCCATTCATGTCTCAATTGTCACCAAGACACCAATATGTTCATTTCCAGAGCAGAAATAAAAGGTGGATGTACGATCCTGCCCTGTTTCCTCTCAGAGTGACACCTGTAATTCCTAATTCACAGCCCTCTAATTATGGCAGGGGGTCTGGTGTTGACTGAGCTCTTACTGTCCCTGACACATGGCTGGGCACTTCTCCTGAGTTTTTTCAGGTCATCTTCATGGGGCCGCCTTGTGGAGGACATATATCACTTTCATTTTATAGATGAAGAAACAGAATCTCAGAGTCCAGAGGGCCTCCCTGGGCGTGGGGTTGAGCCCCAAGTCACCGTGGCCATCATGCTGCCTCTGGCTTAGAAGCCACTGGCTGAAGCCCAGAGTGAGGAGGCAGATCCCGACAGCCCCTACCTGTGTGAGGTTCACCTCACCATGGTCAAGGGGGGAGTCATTACAAACTGTCAGTAAGGTTGGCTGCTTAGATTTTCTGTTATGTATCATCAGGAGCCCCTGTGTGTTTTTAAAATATGGGATGATGATTTAAATGGGATTAATGCCCTTGTAAGAGAGGTTGAAGGGGCACCCCAGCCCCTTTGGCCCCTCTGGTCCTACGCAGAAACAGCAAGAGGGCACTGTCTTTGAAGCTGAGCAGGCCCTCAGCAGAAGCAGAATCTGTTGGCACTGTGATCATGGACTTCCCAGCCTTTAGAATGGTGAGAAATAAATTTCTATTATTTATGAATTCCCCAGTGTAAGGTATTTTGTTATAACAGCCTCAACGGACTGAGACAGATGGCATGATGGAAAAGGATTTTAAAATGAGGTGCTAAAAAGGTTGAGGGGCGTTCTTCTGATGGGTGCAGGGAATGATGAGACCACAGCGTGCAGCAATCTGGGTGTGCATCCAGCCAGGTTTCCACACGAGGAAACGAGGGGCAAGACAGGCCGAGCCTAAGACTGACCCGGGAGGTGAGGTGGGATCCGGGATGAGTGGTGCTGACTGGCGGGGGCAGGACACTAGGGCAAGGCACGGAGGTTGAAAATGACTCCTGATTTCTCATTTATGCCTGGACAGCTGTGAGGAGGCGGTGCCTACGACAGTGACGACAACACAAGGGCGGGGGAGAAGGGCAGCCCCTTTGGCAGTGGTCTCTTTTTGCTGTAATCAGAGGTCAGTCCAGACACACTGCCCAGTTCTTCCTACTAAAATTGGATGAACAAGGAGGTACACAGAGCAGATCTTGGCCAGAGATCAAGACAGGATACCTTCTTTTCAGGATCACCTCATCTCAGTGTTCTGGGGCAATCCAAGCCCTGACTTGGAAGGATTCTGACAAAATACACAATGAACAAGGACTGTGCTAGCTCCCTCTGAAGGTCTGAATGGGCCAGCGGAGCCCAAATGCATGTATTAAAAAATGATAATTGAGTTACTACAATAATACAGTATCATATGACTTTATAGGATGGGTCAACTTAAGATTTCACCAGTTCTGTCTTCTGTCAGTGTTCAAGTTTGTATCTTTAGAGTTCTCATGTTATAGCCATTGACACTATGGTCAAATAGCCAGGTGCCCACTGGAGAAAAATTATGCCAGAGAATAAGAAATGATTCAGGCTTTATTTTCTTTAGTATTTTTATCAGGTATGTTACTCCTTGGAGAGTGCAGAAAATATTTGTTTAAAATATTCCTAATTTGATGGTACTTTCAAAATCAGATTTAGTCAGACCATTAAAAATTGTATAAATCAATAGCAATTACCTACTTCTAAATTGAATCATTATCCCCAAAGAAAAGTGCTATTAGAACCCTGCAGACTCCAGGTCATCTGCAATATACATCCAATCTCATAAAAAGAAATAACAAAAGGAAAAAATAAAGGGAAAAATAAAAACCAAAATAAAAGGTACACCTCATTTTATTTTATTATGTTAATTTAATCCCCAGGTAGAAAGAATGAGCTTCTGTTGTACTTCAATGTTTAAAATCTGGCCAATTTTTAATGTTTACAAAATTATTTTTAATTTTAAGAGAGTATAATTTACCAATTAGATTAATTGTGTTTATTACTGCCGGGAGACTGCAAAGAGTCTTATTTTTAGTTCATAATAGAAGCTTCTGTAACCCTTTGGATCATGGCTGGGATTCTGCATTTTTATTATAGCAAGAGAGCTTTGATGCTTGGATGTGTTAGGGAAGGATAGCCATATGAGAACGTTTCGTAGAGCCAATCTCTCCCTACTTGTTAATTTGGCACCTCTCAATCATACATTTTTGAAAGCACTAATTATTTCACATAACATGTAAATTTATATAGCATCTTATATACAATTTTAATGCATTCAGATCCCTAAAGCTATAATTCATTATAGCATCTTATTTTATTTATATTAATATATGTGCCTTGAGTTAATACTCTAATCATTTGCAAACTGAAGCTTTGTCTCAATAAATTTTTACTTTTTGACAAATTATACTACATTAGTTTGATATATTTGCAAAATGTAAGTACCTGCCTTTCCCATTGCACTTTCATTGATATTCCCAAAACACTGGGACATTGCTAGTCCAACAGGTATATTGTGGACCAACATCTTCTCAAGTCTGCACAAAAACATTTTACAATGTCATTATCTAAAGTGTTCAACTTTCAGTTATTTGGAATATGCCTTCTGCAAGCCTTTTTTTTTCTTTTTTGAGATAGAGTTTCACTCTTGTCGCCCAAACTGGAGTGCAATGGTGCGATCTCGGCTCACTGCAACCTCCGCCTCCCTGGTTCAAGAGATTCTCCTGCCTCAGCCTCCTGAGTAGCTGGGACTACAGGCTCATGCCACCGTGCCTGGCTAATTTTTGTATTTTAGCAGAGATGGGGTTTCACCATATGGGCCAGGGTGAAACCCTAGGTTGAACTTCTAACCTCGGGTGATCCCCCTACCTAGGCCTCCCAAAGTGCTGGGATTATAGGCATGAGTCACCGCGCACGGTCAAGCCATTTGTTTTTTATAGGATGCTGCTGCTTGACCAAGTTTGAATATGCTTTCATTCCATTATGCCAATGTTTATGTATTATAAAGAGATGGTTTTATATTATAATGTATTTTTGTCGTTGTTGTTGTGTTTGTTTTATGAGACAGGGTCTCATTCTGCCGCCCAGGCTGGAGTTCAGTGGCCAGGCTAGAGTTTAGTGGCACTATCATAGCTCACTGCAGCCTCAACTTCCACGGTACAGGTGATGCTTCCACCGCAGCCTCCCAAGTAGCTGCGACTACAGGCATACATCATCATACGTGACTAATTTTCTGCAGAGATGGGGTTTTTCCACATTGCCCAGGTTGGTCTCGAACTCCTGGGCTCAAGCAATCTGCCTGCCCTGGCCTCCCAAAGCTGGGATTACAGGTGTGAGCTACCTTGCCCGGCCTATAATGTATTTCTAATAATACTTAAAGTGTGTTTTCATACTGCCCATGAGGACAATTATATGAAGTGGTTATTTGGAATAAATATACAAGAAATGTTCTATATATGTTACAGAAATCTTTCAAAACTGCTTTGAAGAGAATGGCACTAGGGCTGGATTAATTTACAACACAAATTCCCCATTTTTTGGTGTGTTGGGCCATGCAAATGAGGAGATAGTCAGGAGATCATATAGTATCAAAGTGTAGAAGAGATGTGGCTTTATGGGATGTGGTCACTGCCCTTTGAATCTGAGTCAGGTATATTGAAATTCCCACCTAGGATTTCCTCTTCCTTAATATTTATCTTCTGGACTTAAAAAAGATAAAAACTTTCAAGTTGTGTTTGTGCCAGCACCATTGAGAACTGCTACTTTACTGTGACCTTAAAATGGGTTCTTATGTCTATTTCTCAATTAATTAGAGGCCAAAGGGAAAAAATTGGTGCATGGTGAGAGAGAAAAACCTCTCTTACCAAACTTCCATTGTAGGTTTGTGCACACATTCGAGTATTATGTCTAACAATCACTACTCATGCAAGTTTGTATCCTTTCCATTCTTCTTGAACTTTAGGAGGTTTATATCAGGTACCACTTGCTGGAGCCATCTTTACACCCCAAATAAGCCCATATTTCCTATGCTGAATGATGCTATTTGTTAGGTAATGGGAGAGGTCAACATGACCAGGGTGAAGGGTGTCTGCTGGGGAGGATGGAGAAGTAGGGCTGTGGGCTGAGGGCGAGTTTATGTTGGGGCTTGGCAGCTGAGCAGAGAGATTGCAGCTGATGCAATAGGAAAGAGGATCCATGGAGCTTTGGGGCAGATGGTAGCAAAATTGGGTTTAAGGGATTTTGCCTGGCATGGATTAGAGAGGAGAAAAGCCAGAGCCAGGGAGATAAGTAAAGAAAAGAAATTCTGGCCAGGTGCGGTGGCTCACGCCTGTAATCCCAGCACTTTGGGAGGCCAAGGCAGGTGGATTGCCTGAGGTCAGGAGTTCGAGACCAGCCTGGCTAGCATTCTGAAACCCCATCTCTACTAAAAATACAAAAAATGGTGGCAGGTGCCTGTAATCCCAGCTACGCGGGAGGCTGAGTCAGCAGAATCGCTTGAACCCGGGAGGCGGAGGTTGCAGTGAGCCGAGATTGTGCCATTGCACTCCAGCCTGGGCAACAAGAACGAAACTCCGTCTCAAAAAAAAGAAAAGAAATTCTCTTGCTGGGAGTTTTATTATGCCTATCTCAAACACAAGAGCCAGAAACCATATCTTACAAAATCATGTTCCCTCTACACCCTGATAGCATAAAAATTTCCTCGTTGTCTATTCATTCTGCATGAGCCAACACAAGAAAGAGCTATTGGTGTCATTGCCGGGAGCGGGGATACCATAAGTTTCTTCAAAGACAGACACCAGGACTTTCATCTTCACATCTATAGTCCTTGAAATACAGCAGGTCTTACAAAAATGTTTGTCAAGGGAGTGAATGAAAATAAGAGTGAATGAAAATGAAAGCAAAATATACTTGAGGATATAGTTTTTCCTGGACCACAAGTCAAATGCCAATGGATAACTTCAGATTCCTAGCCATGCATCTTTTTCTCTGAGAACTGGATAGCCGGAATAACAGATCACTCCATTTCCTTTCTGACATGCCACATTGAATGAACATCTGCTAACAACCAGAAAGTGCATGAAGAAGTTTGTCCATGAAATCACTCCATACCCAAGTGGAGGAGAAGGAGCTGTGGACTGAAGGTAAGCTGTGCATTCCCTCAGCTGGCAAATGTCAAGCCCATAATCTGAGCTTCGTATGTAGGAAATACCTACACACGAAGCCCACCTAGGTATTTCCTCATGCAATGAGAAATACACCAGTATGGGGACCCATGAAAAAAGCCTGCCATAACTCTGATAATGATTTATTTTCAAAGGCAGAAGAAAATTTTAGAAAACATATAAATAAGATATATGATAGAAAGTTTATACATTCAGAAATGTCAGTAGATTAAAAATCAAAGAAACAGGCTGGTAGTACCAATGTCTCACAGCCCTCCGGGGGAGCTGTGGCCAGAGCCAAAGGTCAGAGCAAAATGTGGAAAATCACTGACAGACTGGGACCATGGGCAGGAAGCCTTGAAGGATTTGGTCAAGCAAAGGCAAAACTGGAGGGTAGGATGCCTGTTGAGAAGACCTGGTCTAACTATGGCCACATTGGAGATGCCCCCGGAGGAGCCATGGAGTGAAAGTTAAGGGACCTGAGCCAAAGGGTCCCAAGTCCAGAGGCTTATGAATAGGAACCAACTCTTTCTTGGTATTAAAGGGGCAGCCCTCTGGGCTGGTTGGCTGGCTTTTATCCAACTGCCCTAGACCTCACCACTTACTACTGAACATCTTTTTAAGGATCTCTTTAAATCTACACCTCTCTTTTAGAGGGCCCATTTCTTAGTGGAGGCAGTGCAACGGGAACAAATAATGAAACAGTTGAATTCTGCTTCATCCATGTCTGCCAAGCCACAAGAATGGTAAAGGTACTCACGTTCCACAAAGTACGAGCTGGCATCGATCTTCCAGATGATCTGGCCCCGATGAGAACCATTGACTCCACGGTTTTTATAGTCCAGAAAGTTTTCGGACAAGACCTCATCTATATTCCCAGAGGAAGAAAGCAGAGCAGAGAAACATATCAGTCAACAGCATATTTAGGGGAATAAAAGAAAAGCAAAGGATACAAATGCTGCTTCCATCTCAACAGAAGAAAAAGCACCTGGAACCAGAGAATCAGAGAGCAGGAAGCACCCCAAGACGCCATTGGGACCAAACGCTTTTTATGCCGGGATCGCCTCCCAACCCCATAGCACTGCTGGCAGGAGATCATCTAGCTGGTTCTGGAACACCTCCAGAAACAGAGAAATAATTACTGCTATCGCGGTTCACTTCACTTTTAAATAGCTTTTCTATGTGTGAAAGCTCAGTGTGAAAATCTTCCTCCTAAAGCTTCTATGAACTGATCCCTATTTGAGCCTAAGGGCGAGACATAAAGAAAAAATCTCCCTTTGGGGTCTAGTTCTCACGGACTCCACTTCGAATCATCTCTCCTCCCACCTGGGCATCACCACCATCCTATACATGGTCGCACCCATGAACTTATCCATCCATCCATCATGCACTCATGCATTCATTGTTCATTCAGCAGCTGAAATCTAACCATCTGCCAGATGCTGGGGAAGGTGCAGGGGCTGTGGTGTTGGGCAAAACCAGTATGGTCTCTTCTGAACCAAAGCTTACAAACAATTGAGAAGACAGACTGTAAACACTAAGCAAAGGAATAAATGTTTGATTGTAACTTGTGATAAGAGATGGAAAGGAGGCGGGGTGCAGTGGCTCACACCTGTAATCCCAGCACTTTGAGAGGCCGAGGTGGGAAGATCACCTGAGGTCAGCAGTTCGAGACCAGCATGGCCAACATGGTGAAACATTGTCTCTACCAAAAAAAAAAAAAAAAATTACAAAAATTAGCCAGGCGTGGTGGCAGGCACCTATAATCTCAGCTATTTGGGAGGTTGAGGCAGGAGAATCGCTTGAACCCAGGAGGTGGAGTTTGCAGTGAACCAAGATCATATCCAGCCTGTTTACATAGCGAGACTCTGTCTCACAAAAAAAAAAAAAAAAAAAAAAAAGAAAAGAAAAGAAAGGAAAAGAACAGGGTGCTGTGATAGAGAGTGACAAGGAAGGAGGCCGGCGGGTGGGGGGCGGGTGGTCAGGAGAGCACTGAGGGAGGAGACGAGGCCTGGGAGGAGCTCTGGGTGACAGTGTGCTTTCACCTCCTGCTGTTCTCTGCTCATCACTTTGCAACCTATCGATGTTCTCTCTTTTTTTTTTTTTTTTGAGACGGAGTCTCGCTCTGTCGCCCAGGCCGGACTGCGGACTCCAGTGGCGCAATCTCGGCTCACTGCAAGCTCCGCTTCCCGGGTTCACGCCATTCTCCTGCCTCAGCCTCCCGAGTAGCTGGGACTACAGGCGCCCGCCACCGCGCCCGGCTAATTTTTTGTATTTTTAGTAGAGACGGGGTTTCACCGTGTTACCCAGGATGGTCTCGATCTCCTGACCTCATGATCCACCCGCCTCGGCCTCCCAAAGTGCTGGGATTACAGGCGTGAGCCACCGCGCCCGGCCCGATGTTCTCTTTAAAACCAGTGCCTGGAGAGAAATGCGGCATTCTTGAGGAGGACAGATCTGAGAATACCAAGCTGCCTGTCACCTCCTTGGTTCCAGACCCCACACTTTCAGTGCAGACTAAGACAGGGATGTGGCTTTCACCTTGATCTTCTATGGAGCCCTTGTAGTTTCCACTTCACCAGAAATAATCTGAGCTAGGTGGATCTGAGGCTGTGGGGAAAACCAAGTTTTGAGAGTCCAAATCCACCGTAGGGGCTGGAGGGACAACCTGGGCAAGGGCACCTGAGGGCAGGCCCAGAGCCCCAGCTCTGCAGAGAGCCCTTTTCATGATTGCCCTTTTCTCTCCTGACACCCTGCAGTTCACATGCTGCATCTGGCTGGACTGAGAAAACAGACAAGAGATGAAGTGCAAAAAGCACTGAGCTTGAAGCCAAAGGGCCCAGCTCTTGCCTTTTGTGCCATTTGCCAATAGTGTCACTTCTATAGTCTTTCTTCATCTGCAAAGTGGGGAGTACTTACAGGGGAGCACTAAATGAGATAACTGGTAAGCCTACTTGTAATCTGCTATGTGGATTGCACATTTTAGGCTGCCCCTTCTCTGGCAAAAAAATGACTGGGCAAATGAACACTCATTACCGATAAGAACTGTTTGTATCCTTTGGAAAATCGCTTGTTTGCAAAATTTGCCTGTCTTTTTATTCACAGTGTGTGCTCACAGCCCTGTTTGGGTTACCATGAAGATTGCATAATACATCTTTTACAGTAATTGCCTCATTTCTGCAAAAAGGCATAATATTTTCCTAGCTCCCTGGGTCTTCAGCAGAGATATAACAAGTTTCACACCCAGGTAGAAATTTGCCTCATTATAGCAGTTCTCCAAGGGATAGTATTTCCCCGAATTTCTCCACTCTGATCACTGGGATATTCCCTTTAATAGTCAGGGTCAGGGATTTATAGACAATAACACCTGGAAGAAGGATGTCCATTCATGCATGAGATAATGGGTATTGGGTACTTTGTTCTGTTCCAGACATAGTGCTAAACCCTGGGGATACACTGGTGAACAAGTCACGGTCTATGTTCTCAGGGAGTTTCTAATATATTTGGAGATTTATTCAAGAAAACAGGTAATTTCATTAGAATATAGAATGTACAAAAGGGGGTTAATTATCAAGGAACCACAGGAACATGAATGAGAAAAGGATGAAGGGGAGGTGGGAAGAATCAGCAAAGGATGACGAGGATGGCAAACACACACACACACACACACACACACACACACACACACACACAATAATGAGAAAAAAGTATATTTTGCTGTACACATTTAAACACAATATATTTTAAAGGACTGGCTGTTAGTCCTGATAAGCATCCCCTTCCCTCACACTAACAATAACACTTAATCACAAGTATCACACAAGAAAAATAGAGTAGTCAGTATTCTTGCCTGGGCTGAGAGGTCAAACCCTTCCCCAAAGGCATTTGTTACCAGTTGTTAGAAAAGTTACTAGTCTTTGCTTAGGAATCAAACTGCATTGACAGGGTCAGCTGCAGAAATCCAAAATCAGTCTACATATTTTATGCAGAAAGGGATTTAATGCAGGGAATTCAGGGCTGGAGAAGTGGACTCTAGGCAGGGCCTCTGGAATCAGGATAACTGCCTAACTGGCTCTCCAACGAGGCTGATGCCTTTGCCTCACTCGCAAGGGCTGCCCTGGGACCTGCTGAATATGAAAACTCAGTACAGTCACTGCAATCTGGAGGGCAGGAGGCTGCTGTCCAGGCCATGGCGGCTGTCTCTCCACCGGCGAAGACAGTGACCAGCCAGTGGCAAGCGGAGTAGGTCACTGCCTGCCCCCACCCCCACTGCCTGTTGGTGTCCAGGAAGCTAGAGAGTAGACACAGGATGCTGCTGCAGAAAAGCTCCATTTCTCAAGGCCATGCTTGTAGCAGCCACAGGCCCAAGAGCCTGGTCTAAGACCACTAGCTGTATTAGCTCAAGGAATCCTTTCAACAAGATTTTGAGGTAGGTGCTTATAGTATTTATCCCTATTTTGTAGTGAATGATTAAATAAACTGCCTAAGATCACATAGTAATGGTAGATGTAAGCTTCCCCACATTTCACATATTCACCTTCCCGATCTTGCACAGGTGCAGCTAAATGAATCGAATTTGCATCCAGAACATGGCTGCATGGGAGTCTGGGAAATGTAAATTTAGAGGACCAGATTCTGCACTAGGGGAAGGCACAGGAGATGAGAGGAAAGAAGAGAGTAGAGGGGAGGAGACGGGACGGGAGAGGAGAGGAGAGGAGGGGAGGGGAGGAGAGAAAAGGGGAGGGGAGAGGAGAACTGGAATGGATGCTGTGGGCCAAGCCACACTCTCCACCTCAGTGTGGAATGGGTGCTCTAGGCTCTCTACCAGGAGGCTGTTATTTTCTGCATTCTTGTCATGATGGAAGCCTCTTTGTGGGAGCAATATTACATCCCCTTTGAGGCAGGAAGCTTACATCTACCATTATTATGTGATCTTAGGCAGTTTATTTAATCACTCACTACAAAATGAGGATAAATACTATAAGTACCTACCTCAAAATCTTGTTGAAAGGATTCCTTGAGCTAATACAGCTAGTGGTCTTAGACCAGTGTCCAACATCTAATAAGCAGCTATTTCTGCTTAGAATCTGGGCCAAAAATAGGGCCCTCTATTGCAAATCCCTATGACACTTACTATGTAAAACCATTAATAATAACTTGAAGCACTAGCTCACATCAGTACTGTTCAAGATTTTGTCATCGTACATTTTGTACATAACATGTACAGAAAAGTTCCTCAGGAAAAGATTACATTTTCTGAGTGGTATGCATTTCTTCTGGTGTGTAGAATCCTACCACCTGCTCCTCAGTTTATAATAGAGAAAGGATCTTTGTGGATTATTATAATTTTAATCAGAAAGGTCTAATAAAGCTTACAGAAACAGACATACCTAAGAAACAAGTAATATATTTTCTCTGGATTTGTCTTCAAAATAAAAATCATAGCTATGATTTCCATGCCATAATCTATAATAGAAGAGTGGACAACAAACATGCTATTGCTGTTAAGAGTGGAATGAGCAAGTGAGCCCATAACTGATTAAAAGAGAGAATCAATATACTACCCAGGTCTCCTACACCCATCAGAAAAAAGATATGGCTTCCATTTTTCAGAGTAATTCATGCTTTCTGACAACCAAATCTTGGGAAAAAATCTCCCAGGATTCTCCCACTGTGGCTGGACCATGACTTCACTAAATAATGGGACAGGGCCAGGCGCGGTGGATCACGCCTGTAATCCCAGGAGTTTGGGAGGCCGAGGTGGGTGGATCAACTGAGGTCAGGAGTTTGAGATCAGCCTGGCCAACATGGTGAAACCCCATCTCTACTAAAAATAGAAAAATTAGCCAGGGGTGGTGGTGCATGCCTGTAATCCCAGCTACTTGAGAGGCTGAATCAGGAGAATCGCTTGAACCTGGGAGGCGGAGGTTGCAGTGAGCTGGGATCGTGCCATTGTACTCTAGCCTGGGCAACAGAGCGAGATTCCATCTCAAAATAATAGTAATAATGATAATAATAATAATAATAATAATAATAACAATAATAATGGGACGGGAGATATGGGGAGAATCTACTTGTCTTTCTTACTACTAGGCCAATGATGTAGAAGCGCCATTCTCTTGCAGAAGCAGGAACTCTAAGCATAAAGTGATAGAGGAGCTCCTAAAAATCAATGCCACTTTCTCCCCTTCTGTGGCCTTTCCTTCATATTGTTTCTTTGGACACAAGAATTCTGTTTGTGCCTTATACAGCTTCTGCTCTTCTAGATTCTAATAGGGTGCCTGATGTAAAGGAAAAACTTTAATTCTTCAAGAGTTGGGTTCCATAAATCAGCAGCCACACTTCACCCTCTACATCCAGGTATCTTCCCCCTCTTATGTCAGAACAGTCCTATTTGCTTTGAGAGCTCTAGAAGTCCTACCATGCTGAAAGCATCACAACCCTGGCCTCTGCTGGACATTTGATGGCACACGGATGTGCCATGGCCCATACCCAACACTGCACCACAATGCTGTGCTACCCCTGTGGCAGCATGAGTCCTGAGCCAGGGGAGGCAGCTGTGTGACTGTGGGAGCCACTGATTCGACATCTCCTCATTCATGAAATGACAGATGAGATGAAATCACCATCTCTACATTTCTCAGCCTAGATCTCTGATTTGATCTCTGGCAAAGCACGGAAAATGTGGAAGATAAGCTACTAAGGACTTACACATTATTGACTTTTAAGATTCACAGACAATTTCGGATTTGGAAGTTATTTTTGAAATGCTATGCCGTTGAAAGTGTTGGCATTTTGCATTACATAACTTCACAGTTATATATGTGTAGCTACAATGAGAATAACAAACTGTCAAATTAAGGTTCTAGGATGATAAGTTGTGGTTACTTTTGTCTCAGTCAAAATGTCATGTTAACACCAGATCTTATTCATTCATGGAGTTTCGTAATACCTGATATGGCTACCCACCCCCTCCTCTACTACCCTCTTCTTTGTTCTCTCTAGTCTCCTGGTTATCCTGCCCCTTCACCACCTCCTCTTCTTCTGTTTGAGTTCCTCGTCTGCCTCTCCCCTGCCCCCTCTCACTGTGACTATCTGGTGCTCTCTTTCTATACACAACACTAGAGTGAGCTTATCCACCCCCAAGGTGTCTGTTATCCCAAATCTACAACCCTAGCTCGGATCCCTGGTTGAGCTTCAGAACCATTCATTCATTCACTCACTGTGGACGCACGTCCCTCAGGTGTTCCACACTCAGTAATTCCATCTTGAGCTCATTACCTTCTCCCCAAACAGGCTTCTCTTCCAGTGGGTACCTAACTTGAGGAATAACATCAGCACTCACCAGCTGCGGGAAGATGCCCTTGAGTTGACTCAAAACTAGATCTGGGCTGGGCATGGTGGCTCATGCCTGTAATCTCAGCATTTTGGGAGGCTGAGGCTGAAGGATCACTTGAGCCCTGGAGTTTGAGCCTGGGCAATATAGTGAGACTCCATTTCAATAAAAAACCAAACCAAAAAACAAACCAAAACCAAAACCAAAACCAAACCAAATCAAACCAAAACCCTAGATTCGGAGCCTAAACCTAATTGCCTCAAGTGCTAAACAAAAGACACTCATGATGAAGGTCCGAATGGGTGGGAGGGGACTGTGGCAACACTGAAGGTTACAGGCCAGTCTAGGGAGGGTGCAGACGCTTAACTCCAGCTGATTAGAACCATGTGGTATCACAGGCTCAGGCTGCCAAATTGGAGGCTTTTGTGAAAGAAGCTAGAAAGTTGTGTTTCAACTTGAAACTTCTACATTTTAAGTGTGGATAATCAATCAAATTTAAAACAAAACAATGTAAATGAAACAAAATATGCGGCCGAGGGCAGTGGCTCACACCTGTAATCCCAGCACTATGGGAAGCCAAGGCAGGTGGATCACCTGAGGTCGGGAGTTCGAGACCAGCCTGACCAACATGGAGAAACCCTGTCTGTACTAAAAATACAAAACTAGCCAGGCGTGGTGGCACATGCCTGTAATCCCAGCTACTTGGGAGGCTGAGGCAGGAGAATCACTTGAACCCGGGAGGCAGAGGTTGCGGTGAGCTGAGATCGCACCACTGAACTCCAGCCTGTGCAACAAGAGCAAAACTCCATCTCAAAAAAAAAAAAAAATGCTCTTTAGGCTGTTATTTTGCAATCTCTGTTCTTAATCTATAGTATCTACTTTTATTCAAGAACAATTTTTTTTCAGAAATAAATTGAATTTTAACTTTTGGAAATCCAGTTCAGCTAGTCACAGCTATTTGTGTAAAAATTTCAACAATTTATGTACCTCCATCTTTACATTAATGTGTGTATTATAAACGCACTAACCAAGCTGATGGAAAAACCTTTAAGAGACCCAAGAATATTTCCCTGAGAACTAGTTAGTCAGCTAAGATCCCTTTTATTTTATCAGAAAAACTGTGCAGGTTGTAAACTACTCATAACAATCCATTACTTTCTGTGATGTTAAATCCGGTGTTGTGTGTCTGAATGTGCAAATGTTGCAGAGCACAGACTGAAGGCAGAAGGCCTGGCCTCGGATGACCCGGTGTTGAATCTGTTGACTCTTGTGGCCTTCCAGCAATTATAACTCGACTTTTGGGTAAACACATCAATTTCCATGACAGCTGATTCTATCACATAAAATAGATGAAATACATTTTTCATTTAAATTGGTTTTCATAATTATAAGATTTTCAAAACCAATCCGTGGGAATGGTGAAACTTTCATAAAAATAATTGCCTCAGCATCCAACTTATTTGCATAATTTGTTTTGTTTGCAAAGACCTGAGAAAATTCACATAGAACAATTTCTTCTAGTAAACTTTCAACTTTGGAACTTTCAAAATTTTGAATAAATCTCCACCTAAAGTAAGGCAAGTCAACTTTCTCCAACACCATGCCTGTATGCCTGTGAGTATAATCCCAGCTTGTCTGTTGAATACAAAGCAGTAAGAATGTTGGAAGAGCTGGCAAAGATTATGCTGGAAACTAAAGTGAAATTACCTCTACATACATTGGTTGGGCATATGGTGTTACTTTGTCTTATAAGCACATAGACTTAAAAACAGGCTTTGATATTAACTTATTCACAAGTAGAAGAGCTTCTATAGTTGCAAATGATAATGACATTTGTGTTTAACCACACCTGACTCTGCTATATCTCATGATTTTCTTCCATGGAATGGAGATGGCAAGAGAGACCTTATTGTCCATTTTGCAGAAAAACAAGGTCATGCAACAGTGGTCTTCAGTGTGTTAGAATCTGGCATATAACACAGTTGCTTGTATATTTTAATTATATTGTAGAGTTTATTAAAATGTGACAGCATATGTAAAAGTGAATTATGAATAATACACTTGGCACATTCTACTCACCAATGAGGTACATGCCAATCCAGTCCCCAGCGTCCACTTCCTCCTTTATGTCCCAGTGGATGACCAGGTCCTGAGAGTGCCCGATGGAATAGTAGGAGCTGCTGACCATGAGCGTGGAGCGGCTGTCCGAGGTGACCAGGTCAGTGTCGCTGGTGGAGCGGGGAATGGTGACGCCATCGTGGGGGCCGCCCCTGAGGTCCATGTTGTGGAACTGGTCGGGGTTGTAGCTGTATCGGAGCGGCTCCTTGCACCGGCGTCGGCTCTGGGAGTTTCTAGAAGGAGACGCCATGGCGGCCAGGCCTAAAAACCTGTTCTGGTACAGATTCTGTGGGAGCAAAGAGACAGTGAGCAGGGTCAGGGCACGCCGGCAACTCAGTCACCGTCATCACACGAAAACGAAAGATGTGCTGGGAGACACGCGCTGTGAGTGAGCTGCCCTGCTGGGCAGATATGAAACATGGCATAGAGCATCTTCCTCGTGACAAAGGCTGCAGCTCTGGGTTCACACGGGGACAGCAAGAACAAAAACACAAGTGCACCAGGGTGTCCTGCGTTTCCATGTTTTGTTGGAGTCTCTGCCTCTCCCGGCTCTAACCCACTTGATACCAGAAGGACTGGGATGTGCAGAATGACCCTGAAGGTGTGACTATTCCCCAACCAAATGCCATCCCTCGAGTTCTCCAACGTCAATTAGATTGGATCTGATTTTATCCTTCTTTAAGGCAAACGATGATTATCATTATTAACCTCTGAGTGATCCCTGCAGCATTCAGGTCCCTACACACAGCCCAGAATTAGGAGTGGTCCCTGCTGGGTGAGGCAGTCACTCCTCCATTTACATCTTTCACTCTACAGAATGCCTTCGGGCTGTATGAAGTTTCTATGAAGGATTTCAAACATCCTAGTACTCTTTGAATACGATGATTTTCAATAAAATCCAATCTCAGAGGACTGTATCTCCCTTGGAGCCAATGTTATTGTAGAAAACATTGTACCTGATGAGAAAAAATGCATTTTTGTATTGTTTACAACTTTGAGCACTTAAAATGAGCCAACCTGATGCAGAGCACTAACTCGTTTTGGGCACAGATAACTTTGAAAATACAGAAGGACAGGCAGCAAATAGAACTCATGCAGAAACAAGCAAGGGTGATTCTGACTTCATCAAAGTATATTAAAATTGCGTTTAAATGAACATTTTTGGGGGGTCCTGGTTATTGAAGTTCATGTTGTTCTATATGTAGTTTTCAAGAAGAGAAGATTAAGGCCTAAAAAAGTGTTGACTCATGAAGTTTAGATCCCAGGAACTGTAACTTCTTATGCACCTAATCAAATGCAAATTATTGACTTTTTGTTTACCAGCTATGATGAGCAGACCACAGCAATAGTCTACTCTTTCAGTTAGATCAATCTAGTTAGCAGTAATTTAGGCCTGCACTTTTTCCATCCTCCAAGACCAGGATGTTGTAAAAAGTCTATTAGCCTGAGAAAGCACAGCGTTGGCATTCTGAGTCTTGGTCCTCTATGGCCATGGGGCAGGCAGGCCCTTTCACTCATCTGTGTCTCCTGTTTGGAATTCCTTTGGCCCTACTGATGGTTGCTGCAGAATTATGACAGGCAGACAAGACAGACTCCAAAAAGCATCTCATCACCTTATTGGGGCCATATTTCTTATTTTTTCAAAATGCTTGTCACTATAGCAGTATGAAAATAGATGGACCATGGTGTTGCCTGGAAACCATCCCTCCTCTCAGGAAGACTGGCAAAGCGCTGAAGGCCAGGGAAGCAGGAACCACCCACCTATCTCAAGGCACCATGGCTATTCTGGGCAGTTCAGGGAGGATCTCAGTAAACTGACAGCCCTCCAGGAGGCTCTGTCCAGAGACCTTTGTAAAATCCCCAAACAGAAAGGCTGCTGCAAGAGCACAAGGTTTGTTTAGTTCCCACATACTTTAAGTGGGCTAATACCATCTTACAGTATTACAGAGATTCAAAATAATTATGAATTAGACCATAATCAAAGCTGAGGCAGCATCTACCAGCTTCCCAGCTGTGGGTCTATCACTGGACAATTTAATCTTTCTGGACCTCGGTTTCCTCCTCTGTAAATGGGCTGTTGTCAGAATTTAATGAGACAATGCAAGTCAAGTTCTTAGTACAGTACCTGCTCAATAAATAAAAATCTCTTGCTAAGATATTACTGGTAATGCTTTAGGAAGGAAACCTCACTGAGACATAGGGCCTGGGCACTCAGCCAGGCTCCGTCACTGAACAGGCTTCCTTCATGTCACCCCAGAGTCCTCACTCTTATGAACTTGCATTAAATTCAAGAAACCTTCAGGTTTTCTTACAAAATCAAAGTGCCAAGGGTTACACAGCCTAGTGTGTTTGTAAAGGTGCTCTATATACTGGTGCTCAGGGGAGAGGCTCCTTTATTTGTAAGGTTTACGATTGAGTAGGATATATTTGCATTCATGATGAAGAGCCTAAGATAAAGATTTTTATGTACGTGGTTTCAATCAGGGCCTCAAAAGGATTGTAGGGTCTTTCTCTTTTGCTGAAGACAATTCTGCTATTGTATTTTTACCAAAATCCCCTGGAAACTAGAGAACTCTCCTGAAACTGTCAAATTACGCCAGTGATCACTGTCCACATGGTGAGAGCAAAGATAGAGAAGGAAACATTAGTCAAAGAAGACGTTTGTCAGTGATTACTGGATTGGAACGATGACATTTGTCCGGGGTAAGCAGGGCAGCCTCAAAGCCGTCCCTTGCACCCCACCCTCTCCCACCACCCTGTCTTTGCACACATCCTCCCCATTCCTACTTGCAGGCAGGATCTGCACTTCTGCATCAGAATTATGCTCCAGCACCAACTCTGCTGTAACCGCTCCTTGCCTCCTTCCCATTCCCAAGAGTGGAACTTTCTGCTCCATGATGCACAGGAATCCCATTCCCCTGCAGGGATTCTTAGGTACTGTTGCTAGTTGATCTGTCCATGTTCACTCCTACACTGTGAAGTTTTCTCCTCTGTATATCCCCTGTACCTGGCATAATTCCTGCCATGAAAAGCCCCCAAAGCTTTAATTTATAGAAATTATTTTATTCAGTGATATCCCTTCTTGTTCCAGAAAGGGTTTAAGATGGCTTATAAAAATAGATAAAATGGCTGGGAGTGGTGGTTCAGGCCTGTAATCCCAGCACTTTGGGAGGCTGAGGCAGGTGGATCACTTGAGGTCAGGAGTTCAAGACCAGCCTGGCCAACGTGGCGAAGCCCCGTCTCTACTAAAAGTACAAAAATTAGCCGGGCGTGTTGGCAGGTGCCTGTAATCCCAGCTACTTGGGAGGTTGAGGCAGGAGAATTGCTGGAACCCAGGAGGCGGAGGTTGCAGTGAGCCAAGATTGTGCCACTGCACTCCTGGGCAACAAGAGCGAGACCCCGTCTCAAAAAAAAAAAAAAATTACAGAAAGGCATGATAATTTAGTAGTAGATGGTACATAGAAGAAAATAAAGATATGAACACAAAGTTATGTAGGAAGGAGATGAACTTAAAATTGTATTCCATCATGTCCTAAACAGATGTTTTATTAAAGACTCACAACAGTTGCTCCTTTTTATTTTTAATTTCCCAGCTTTATTGAGGTATAATTGACAAATAAAATTGTATGACTTTTAAGGTGTACAATGTGAAGATTTTATATATATATAAATATATTATATGTTATATTATATATAAATATATCATATAATATATATAAATATATCATATAATATATAAATATATCATATAATATATATAAATATATCATATAATATATAAATATATCATATAATATATATATATTATATATTATTATATAAAAATATATCATAATATATAAAAATATATATAAATATATTATAATATATAAAAATATATTATATATAAATATATAATATATAATATAATATATTATATATAAATATATTATATGTTATATTATATATAACATATATAATATATAATATATTATATTTATATATTATATGTTGTATTATATATAATACAATATAATATATAATATATTATATATACTGTATATTATATATTATATATTATATGTTCTATAATATATAAGATATACAGTATATATAATATATAATAATACATTTCACTATATGTGTGTGTGTATATATATATATATATATGTGTATATATATATATATATATAGTGAAATGATTACCACAATCAAGTTAGCTAGCACATCCATCCCTCACCTATTTACCCCATTTTTATTTTATTTTGTTTTGGTTTGTGGTGAGCACATTTGAGCAAATGTCAACAGTTGCTTCTTGAACACAGCAGGTGGATAGAGCTGATTGCTCAACATGCAATTCGTTTGTGGCTATGTTTCTCCCAGACATTCACAAGTGTTTCTAGCATATACTATAGACTCATCAGTCTGGAAGAAGCAATTTAATCATTCTCTCTTCACATCTGAACTGTGGGAGATAGATGAAGCTCTGTCCTGTTTTTAAATAGCCCTGGATAAAAGGCCACTGTCTTCCTAGACAGTGATTCCAATGTCTTACAACTCCACCATTCTTCCTAACCTCTAAAGCAGATCTCCCCAACAGGAGACCTCCTTTCTCTTTCCTCTCTGCAAAGGGTGGCCCTCCCAATCTCTGTATGTATGGGAAATCAACGGATATCACTAAATTTCTCCCAGCCTTTTCTCCAACCCACTAATAACTCAAGTATCTTTTGTCTTCTTTTCCCTTTGGTGATAGACAATATGAACTGATAGGAGGACCACAAGAATATCAGCAATAGTTTCAATAACACTGTAATTTTCCAGTTATTGGTTGTAATCACGTGGCCCTAGTTACGGGCTATGTCAAGCATAGATTTTAGTTGACGCTTGAAAAAATGGGTCTGATAAGTGAGCCTCTGAGAGCAATTTAAATACACTGTACAAAGTGCCCTGCTATGGGAGTAAAAACCATCTGCTGGTTTTTTTGTTTTTGGTTTTTTTTCCTATTTGTAGCAGAAGAGCCACCAATGTTTTGTTTATTTGTTTTGCTTTCCAACTTAAATGACATCGTAATTGTTGAAATGTTTTGAATTAAGTGATGTGCTCTTTGTTGTTTTTCTTTTTTTCTTAATCTTGGAATAGGCCTTGTGGGTTTAATATGTTTTAAGATAGTCTCATGGAGTATAGCACATTAACAAAAACAAAACCTGTAAAAAAACAGAATCTTAAAAGCAGAAAATCATCACTTCTAGGGATGGAACATGTTATTATGCATGGATTTTTTTTTTAAGAACCTGGAGACAAAAGATTCTGCTCTGTCAGTTTTTATCTAACTAAGTCATTAATAGCATTTCTGTCTTGGAATATAAAGCCGTGAGTGAGTGCCATCTCAGAAATGAAAAGAAAGCAGACAAAGGCATGTCTATAATAGAGAAAATGACTCTTAAAAATGGCCTCTACACCAAGGAATCAAAAATTGTAAGCGAAATACACAGCCCTTGAAGGAAGCTTCATTAAAGTATATAAGATGAGGTTATAGAAACTGGCATTACTTAGTTGGAAGAAAGAACGTAATACTTTTTTAGTCCATGAGCAGATTTTACTTTGATCAAGAAGATGCCTGCAGCTTTTGCTATCCTACACTCGGCTTTGTTACGCCACCAGGTGGGTAATGGGATTTAAAAAAAAAAAAAATCAAAGCTTATCTTTTTCTACAAAGGATTTGAGAAAATTTACAAACCAAGAAATGTATAATAAAATAGGAAAATACAAAACAGACAGAAATCAGGAAGTAGCAATATGAAGGAAGACAAAAATAGTTCTGAGCATTTGCTCTATGCAGCGGACTGTTGTACATCTCATTAAAACATTATCAAGGCCAGACATGGTGGCTTATGCCTGTAATCCCAGCACTTTGGGAGGCTGAGGTGGGTGGATTACCTGAAGTCAGTAGTTCAAGACCAGCTTGGGCAACATGGCGAAACCTCGTCTCTACTACAAATACACAAAATTAGGCTGGGCAGGGTGGCTCACACCTGTAATGCTGGCACTTTGGGAGGCTGAGGTGGGCGGATCATCTGAGGTTGGGAGTTCGAGACCAGCTTGACCAACATGGAGAAACCCCGTCTCTACTAAAAATACAAAATTAGCCAGGCGTGGTGGCACATGCCTGTAATCCCAGCTACTTGGGAGGCTGAGGCAGGAGAATCACTTGAACCCAGGAGGCAGAGGTTGCAGTGAGCCGAGATCGTGCCATTGAACTCCAGCCTGGGCAACAAGAGCGAAACTCCGTCTCAAAAAAAAAAAATTAGCTGGGCGTGGTGACGGGCGCCTGTAATCGCAGCTGCTGAAGCTGTGGCAGGGAGAATCGCTTGAACCCGGGAGGTGGAGGTTGCAGTGAGCCGAGATCATGCACTGTACTCTGTGACAGAATGAGACTCTGTCCCCCCCAAACAACAAACAACAACAACAACAACAACAACAACAAAACACTATCCAGTTTCACTATTCTCAGGTTGCTAGAAAACCCAGCTCAGAATGTTAATAAAAATTCTGAGGTCATCCATCGTGTGGCAGGAAATGGGGATTTGAGCCTGTTTATGGGCGATTATAAGAGGGCACTTTTATCATTCTTAAGCATTCTCTCCAAATTATAAAACAGATGGACAGAATTGCAGTAATTGAGATTCAGATACTTCTCTGAGCTTCTCGGCAGCCAAGAAGATAAAAGGAAAGCTTAGTTCTTATGATCAGAATACAGGGACTTTTTTCTTCCTCCAAGTTCTTAACGAAATGTTTCATCTTAGACTTTCTGTAGGAAACACAATGAAATGTGGTGAGTAAGATCTTAAGAGACTTTTAATCACGATTATAGTGGCAGATTCCTGGTACAAGGCTTTGACAAAAGCCAAGGTCATCGCAGGAAGAGAGTTCATTAGGGACTGAGCGACTGTGCTGTGTTGCCTTCCGACCACATTCCAAAGTCTACCTGGCTCAGTCACTTCTAGGGGAAGCTTTACCCCAAAGCTTCCACTCTGAACTCAGTGACTGTTCTCAGTCCCGCAGCTTCCTCTCTGGCCTCAATGGAGATTTCGATCAGAGCCTGAATGAGATGTTCTGTCTAAAACTGCCTTACCTGTCAACTTATTTTTTGTCAGTCCCCTCTACTTAGAAGGCAGGCACCAAGACAGCAGCCCAGCCTAGCTCCTTTAGGTCTGCATTTCCAGCAAAAGTAGTGCCTGGCAAGAACATAGATGATGCTCAGTAAATACTTTGTTGAGGCTGGGTGCTATGGCTCACGCCTGTAATCCCAACACTTTGGGAGGCCAAGGCGGGCATATCACCTGAGGCCAGGAGTTTGAGACCAGCCTGGCTAACATGGTGAAACCCCGTCTCTACTAAAAATACAAAAAAATTAGCCATGTGTGGTGACACGTGTCTGTAATCCCAGCTATCCCAGGAGGCTGAATCAGGAGAATCGCTTGAACCAGGGAGGTGGAGGCTGCAGTGAGCTAAGATTGCGCCACTGCACTCCAGCCTGGGTGACAGAGTGAGACTCCATATCGATAAATAAATAAATAAATAAATAAATAAATAAATAAATAAATAAATAACTGTGTTGAATGAATGAATGCACTTGTGGGTAACGTGTGGGCTGGGGTGCACCTGGACATGGGGCTCTGCTCCTTGAGCTCAGGAATTCTTGTAAGCACTAGGCTTGGTGCCCAGAATTGCTCGAATTGAGTTCCTGGTTCCTGGACTGCACTGGGATGGGTCAGGTGTCCGGATGCAGGACCAGCAGAAGCACCGGGAATCCCTGAGGCAGTACAGGAGAAGTGGGGATGGCCTGGGTTGGAGGGTTTGGAGACAGGCCAGGGCAGCTTTATCCAGAGCTCTACTTGCTGCTGGGCCCTGCTGGTCCTAACAGTCTAAAAGCAGAAACCTCCTACCCAACCCAATGGCAGGCACAAGAGATCACAAAAATCACTGCAGCCCACGCATTTCCTCTGAGTCACGACTGTTAAGGGAAACAATTCGTTAGGCTAAAAAGAAGGGCTCCACCTCTCTGGGAATTGCCTTCATCACCTGTCAAATAAGAAGAAAGTGTTGGGATGAGATTAAATACTGCCCCTGGGTCCTCCTCTCCCTCTCACATCCTGAGATTTGAGTCCTGCTTACCCATTTGTACCTCTGCTTGGGAACTGCTGTGTATGAGGGATGTTGTGGGACAGGGGCGGGTGTAGGGGCTCTCAGGTGTAAGGGAGGAGAGTGGGAGGTGGCTGCTAAACCACCATCTCTGTCTAACTCTTCAGCTCCCAGACACCTGTTCCTGAAACCTGTGCCTCAATTTGTGCTTTCAGCCTCAAAGCCATGTGCTAAAAAAGCTTTCTTTTGTGCTGGCCATTGTGTGGAAGAATATCACAGAATTACATAAACTAAATTGTGTGGGCTTCTTTTCTTTGAAAAAGAAATAAAATCCCACTCATTGCTGGCTGAAAGGGAACATTAGGGGGAGAAAATTTTAATAAGCAAATCAAGCCAAGCCAGATAATATCCACACAGGAAGTCATGATTTAAAATACAAGGAACTTGTTAAAATGCCAGTCAGACACATTATTTTAGGAACACATAATGCCTTATCGCTCATAAAAAAAAATCCACCAATAAGTGTAAGGTTGAACATCCCCTCCCACTTTTGACTCTGCAGCCCTTTGATGGCAGGTGTTGGGGGGCGGGGGGTGGGGTGGTCTTTGCTCCTTGTCGCTCGCACACCATTCTCACTCACACGTAAGAGAAACCAGCTGGAGGCCAGGCTCCAGGAGGGGCATGATTGGACCATTCACTGCTTTGCTCAAGTCTAGGACTGCTTGGTGCAGCTCTGGGTTATTTGGGAGGTTTATGTTTGGAGGCGTTCAGCAGCGAAGTTGCTGAAATCTGGGTGGTTTGTATGGGCAGAGGAATGGGCAGGGGGCTGTGGGTGTGGGAGAGGGAGGAAGGTGGCAGCCAGGAGGGCCTCGTCAGGTTAGCTGGGGCAAATTCCTGTTCATAATATTTAGCACCTCCTCTGGTTTACACAGAAAGGAAAGGTGAGAACTGGTATTCCTGTGTGTGTGTGTGCGCGCATGTGTGTGTGCACGTGTGTGGGTGTGTGTGGTGTGTGTGTAAGACACAGAGACAGAATGAATGGGAACTTACAGATGTGAGAAAGAGACCCATTTTTCCCTTCTCAATGTTAGGAAATACTGTTTCTTCCTCAGGAAGGCACTAGCCTGATTGAAAGTGGAAAAGTTTCCTCTTTACCTACTGATACCTGCAGAGGAAAAGGATATGTGTTCACCTCCCAGAACCACAGTGCGGCTCCAGGGGCCCAAGGCGCCCAGCTCCAGGAGCCCTGCGGACCATACAGGAGAGAAAGGGAGGTGGAGCTGCTGTGAGCCAGCCACATCATCCTCCCGGGGCGGCCCCGTACCGGGCATTTGTGAGGAGCCCCCATGATGACCTCAGCCTCACTCCATCCTGAGCCCAGCAGGGCTTGTGCTGTGCTGAGTGGGGTCACTGTGCCTCTTCCCGTAACCAGGGCACCACCACCTGCTTGGCTACAGTCCAGTCTCCAAAAGCCAACCCACAATACTGTGAATCACACAGGAACCCACAGTGACAGTCATGGGAGGGTTCTGGGCCAGCCCCTCCTCTTATTCACCGGGAAGCTGAAGCCTGAGAAGGGCAGCTGCCTGCCCTGACCACGCAGCAGGGGAGCAGCAGGGCCCCAAGTGGACCTTGAGACTCCCTGCGGCCAGTTAGCTGCCTCATCCATGGCCTGAGCTGCCTGGCTTGGGAGGGAGCCTCAGGCTTGTTGAGAAGCCTGAGGAGCCTCAGGCTGTTGTAAGCCAGTGTGTTTCCCTCCTCCATTCATGGTCGTGTCCTCATTTGCCTGCTATTAGGTGATGGGGCCAGACAGGGATTACAGTTCTAAGAAATACACTTAGGAGGGTTTCAGATGCAGTGCTGAGTTTGTATCCTCATTGAAATTAATACTCAAAAGCATGTTATCATTTGTCATGGAGGATCAAGGTGCTGTAAAGATGCTCTCTTTTAAATTCTTATATCCCCTGGGTGGTTTGACCCAGCATCTTTGGGTTTATTTTTAAGTAAATCCTGTCTTTGGTTTTATTCTCCTGCTTCTTTTTTTTTTTTTTTTGACAGAGTTTCCACTCTTGTTGCCTAGGCTGGAAGGAAATGGTGCGATCCCAGCTCACTGTAACCTCTGCCTCCCGGGTTCAAGAGATTCTCCTGCTTCAGCCTCCCGAGTAGCTGGGATTACAGGTGCGTGCCACCGTACCTGGCTAATTGTTTTGTATTTTTAGTAGAGAAGGGGTTTCACCATGTTGGCCAGGCTGGTCTTGAACTCCTGACCTCAAGTGATCCACCTTGACCTCCCAAAGAGCTGGAATTACAGGCGTGAGCCACTGCATCTGGCTTCTTCTTCCTTCCTTTAGCCCAGTCAATCAGGAAATGTGGATGGAGTCTTTAGTGTGTACCAGGCCTTGTGCTAAATGCTGAGTATGGATACAGAGAGGACTTAAACAGTGCTCATAGCCTCGGAGAGTTTGGTGCAGGAGGCAGACATTTAAGCAGTCAACTATGACACAATGGTGAGGGCAATAATGGGGTGGTGGGCATGGTCCCCCCTAGAAGGGAGAGAGATGCTGGGACCACCTTCCCAGATGGGAGGACATGGAAGCTGGACCTGGAAGGAAGGGGCAAGAGCTGAGGGAAATCCAATCTAAGCAGAAGGAACTTCTCGTGGAAAAGCGTATCTTTACTAGAAGCATGCTGAGCTTCCAGATTCAGCAGAGCTCCTCTTAGCTGTCTGCCAGACAGTGTTGGGGGCAGCTGGAAGTGTGTGAAAGGGGTCTCCCATGGCACACCAAGAAATAAGACCTTCTCCATTGGAGAGTGGGGGGCCACGGAGGTTTTGTTCACCTTAGAAACTTCACACTGCAGCAATGAGGGGGAGAGCAAGGTGGACAGAGCTGCTGTGTCTTGGGGAGCCCAAGTATAGCTCTCCTGAATGCCAAGGTCTACATGCAGGGAGAAGCTTTACCAATCAAGTGGTCCCTCAAGTCTAAACAAGTGGCACCGTGGCAGAAGTTACTGACAAAGTAGCAGGGGCGGCTCCTGGGCGGGTGCAGGGACAGTGTGCAGCTCTCACATCAGTGTGGGAGGTCATCGTACCTGCTTTTCCAGATCACCCATCAAGCCAGAAGAAGGCCCCATGTTGGACTGCAGCTCTGATAAGTGTGCCAGTCATTGGGATTATGAACCATAATGCCCATCATCAGTACACAGTGGGGTTGAACCAGCAGCAGCAGCACTTTCCTTTTGTGATCAAAGTGCCCCGGATGAACACGGCCATATCTGATATAAATTCAGTGTTGATGTCTCAGAGCATTTATGAGAGCAACTTAGAGCCATGATGAAGAGTGAAGCAGGCATGGCCGTTAGCAATATAAAGTCATCTCTCTCTCCTACATTTCATACCTATATTGGCAATATAAAGGAATCTCTCGCTCCTTCCACCCTTCTTCCACCCTCTTCTATCCCTCTTCCACCCTTGAAAGGAGACAAAGCCAGTTCATATTCCAGATGGGGCCACAGGTAGCACGTTCCTTCCCAGGTTCCTTCCCTGTCATCACTCTGCCCACTCTTGTGCTCTTTCTAGCTCTAACTGTCACTCAGTTCCAATTCTGGCTGCCACACGCCTTAGCCACACCAGGCTGCACCATCTCAGCAGCAGGCTGTGATAGGAGGACTGGCAGAGGTGGTTTACCTCAAGAGATTCCTATTGGAAGAGGAAGGAAATAAGGAAGAACTGGCAATATATGTATAGAATAGGCCTATCTGTAGTGATTTAGGATAGAATGGGGGAATTGAAAGGATAAGGAGGAGAATTAACCCACCAGCACCTCCGTCAAGCTCTCAACATTGATAGAAGAAAGAAATCACAACGAGGCAAAGACAAAGCCTTGCTTTTTAAGTGAGCCACAGCAGAATGGACACCTGTCTAACAGAGTAAGAGCTCCATGGGGAAAAGTCCAACAGCATCAAGATATCCCTGTGATCAAAACCAGCAAATCAGGTGACCTAGATGAGTGGCATATTGCTTTATTAGCAATTATTCAGGGGAATGGTAAAAGAAAGGAACAATTCTATTTTGAAAACAAAAAAATGGGATTTGATACTCAGCTCTGACAGCAAAGGAGAAATGATCACTAAGACTCTGTGATGTGGGCTGGGAGTGTGGAGGAATCACCTCAGTCCAAAGTTTCACTGGGTTCTAGAAGAACATTAAAAGGAAGGGGACACTTAGCTACTATGATTTCTTAAACGTCTCAGGCGACACTTACTGCTGAAATTCTTTAACATATTTAACAGAAAGTCTCTTCTGACATTTTCCACACAGCTAATCTTTCTGATTTTTCAGAGCTAAAAGGAAGGGACAACAATTGAGGCAGTTTGGAAACTTTTTTTTTTAAGTCTTTTTCTCAATTATGCAGGACTAAACTTGGAACCTTTGAACTCACGGACAAAAGCTATAGTCTGCTGTGGGATTTTGGACAGTATTTTCAATTTTACAGATGAGGGAAAAGGCACGGTTTTCGTGCAGTCCATCTCTATTGCTTAGATGCCCGTGACCATCTCCTAAGCTTGTCTCTGATACACCAAAGATGCACCAAATATACACCAAAGATACCGGGAAGGTACCAGCCCCACGGCCTCTCCCACCGATTCCGGCCTCGTGGAATCTTTGCTCAACAGTGTAGTATAGGTTCACATTAAATTCCATGAGATAAACAGTTGAATTGGTACTACCTCCTTGACTCTCTGTAGCAATTATCAGATGGCAAACCGATGATTATCATCTCACTAAGACATTTTTCACTTGTAAGCTGATGCTTAGACATCTCTGGCCTCGAGGATACGGTAATAGATTCAAGGGCACTCACTGCCATTTCCACTGGTTACAAGACAAGCCATCTATGTCCAGACTAATAGAAACTCAGAAGTCTCAATGATCTGGATATTTTAGAATTTCCTTTTCATTTGAGGCTTGAATTAATTATTCAGATAACATCTCTAATTTTCCATTTTTTACCTTGTATGCGGAAAACAGCAGAGATTAAAGTGCGGTCTCGCTCCAGAGAATAAGAGCTGTGAAAGGAGCCTCGAGATGTGGGGGCGGCAGACAGAGCCTGCACCTCGTGGTAAGTGGTGGCAACGGAGACCAGCTCATTGCAGCGAGGCCCCTGACTTGCCATTCACACTGCTTCTCAGGCTTTCTACAAAGCTCCAAGAGACTAAGTATTAAAAGGAAAGTGAGACAATGAAAGTAATTTGGGTTTTTCCAAGAGGAAACATCAGTGCTGAGGAAGCTAGAGCCACAGGTACATGCTACTGAGTCTTAATGCCTCACACACTGCAAGACTAGGGCTTTGCTCTTTGCAAAGGACAGGTCTCATTGCCATCGGTTATCAGAGATAAACTCATCATGTCAGTGCCTCAATTATGATCCCCAGTCGGAGGCTGGCATATGACTACTGCTTTATTAATACTACTTGGAGGCAGTTAGAAGCACATGTCAGGGGGACTGTAAACTGCTAAGGGTGCATTTCCCAGCAGGGCTTCATTTATTTATTCAGTCAACAAATGCACATGCCAAACCCTGGAAAATGAACTGAAATAGAAATCATGGCCTCTGCCCTGGAGATTTAGGACTTATTCGCGTGAAAATTTAATAACTCCAAATATTCTATGGAGTTTTCCATACCTAATTGCCAAAATGAGGTTGTTAGAAGAAAGCACCACTGCAGGGAGAGAGTGGGGTGAATATTCCAGACAGGGCGAATGGTGCACTCTATTCCAACTAGAATATAAAGGTACCAGGGCACATACTCTAAGTCCTATCCAATCTAAATTGTTTTTTTTCCTATTTTTCCCCAGAAACAGGGTCTCACCCTGTCACCCTGGCTGGAGTTCAGTGGTGCCACTAAAGCTCACTGCAACCTCGAATTCCTGGCTCAAGCTATCCTTCTGCCTCAGCTTTTTGAGTAGTTGGGACCACCGTCATGTACTATCATGTCTGGCTAATTTAAAAAAATGTTTTTCTAGAGACAGGTCTCTCTATGCTGCCCAGATTGGTCTTCAACTCCTGGCCTCCAGTAATCCTCCTGCTTTGGCCTCTCAAAGTGCTGGGAGTATAGGCGTGAGCCACCATGCCTGACCCAATTTAGTTTTTTTTTAGAAAAATCACTATGTTGTTTTCTAGTGACTCCACTGTATATATGTTTAAATTGCCATCTTATAAACACACTGGAGAAGAATCCTTAGAGCCAAACCCAATGCAGCTGTATTTTTCAGTCTTAGAGTGTCCATCAAAATCTGGGCAGTAATTTTCATCTCGATTACAGGAGCAGCGGAGGCATGATGGATCCTTGCTGTGACTGGTGCCTGGACATCCCTGCCAACCACCTTGGAGAATGGCACCTTCTGAGTGTGCCTGAACCACTCTTCTCCTTGGCTACCACTCTGAGTACTATCCCTAGAGACTACTGGCCACACACATCCACAGTCTCAATGTCCACAGAAGACATTGTTTTGCAGCATGCAAAAACAATCTGAAAGATGATAAAAAGCAATTTTCATAATTAATAAATTTCTACCTGCTGATTAGGAAGTGTTAGAAATAAATAAACAAACAAACAAGTGTAATTGTGACATTTTGGCAAGGGTTCCAACTTAAGGACTGAAATGTGCCCTTGCTCTGACTGTATCTAATTCAGTTCAATTGAACAAACATCCATTGAATATCTATTGTTTGTAAAGCTCTGGGCTAGCTGTTGTTCAGCATATGATCTCTGTTCTCAGGTCAAAACAAATGAGGCAGAAAAAGCTGAATGCATGAGATGAAAACAAAATTAAAAATAAAACAGCCTTCTTCCTGGAGATTCTAATTCAATAGGCTGGATGGGGCCCAGGCAGCTATATTTTACCAAGCATCAGCTCAGCCTGGTTCTGACCAGCAGGCAAGCACTCAGAAGGAGGCCATCACTGTCTCTAATTGGTGGTTGTCACAAAAAGCTGCAAAGGGGAGGTATAGTCACCTTGAGATATTTCAACAACAACTGCATGTTAAGTGCCTTGAAGGCACAGGTCAGACTTGGGCAAGTGGAGGACACAGAAGGGGGATGTTTCCAGCAAGGAGCAGAGCTGTGGAGGCCGCAAAGTGCACCCTGAACGGCTGGCCCTCTTGAGAGATGTCAAGAAGAACGTTGTTGGAACAGTTCATTTCTAAATGAACTCATCAGCCTTACTTTTTTCCATTAGTTCGCATTTGGCCTCATTTCTCAATCCAGAATGATGCAAAGGAGCCATAAACCTGAATTAAGACAAACAAAAGTGACATGGATAAATTTTCCTTGGACATCAGAGCACCAGGGTTGAGAGAGGAGAGAGGAGGGCTCATGTTTCAACTTGAGGCTTCCGCAGCTGCGTCCACAGCTGCGCCGCCAAGTTCAGAGTTGAGCATTCATGAGTGTGTGTCTTGTCATGAACCAGGGGCCTCACTGTCACCACTAGGAGGACACACCATAGACCTTCCTGGGCAACAAGAAAAGCTGAGCCACACTCTGCAAATTCCAAAGGCCTGAGAGAAGTCCAGAGTCGGGACTTTTGAGGAAAACCAGTCCATGCTAAAAATTTGAAAAATACAGAAAATTAAGAAAAAACAGCAAGGCCCCATAATTATGTAACACAGAGACTACCAGAATAATTATGCAGAAATATTTCCTGCATTTTTCCTTCATGCGTTTTACAAGATAGTTGGGACCACACATTTTTGTATTCTGCTTTTTTAAATGGTTAACTATTATAGTAGAAGAATTCCTCTTATGTGATTACAAATATATCACAAAATTATTTCAATAACCATAACATTTTAACACATGAATATTTATAATATAATTAGCAAGGTAATTCTATTTTTGTAACTTTAGGTTTCTTTAATTTTTCTCCATTATAAGTAATGCTAATTAAGCAGGCATGACCATGGGCCAATGAAAATATCTAAGTCAAAAGCAGCAATTTGTCTATAGATTTGAGTTTTTAAAAAATGATTAAAAACAATACGTCAATGTCATAGATGCCACTACTTTTGGAAAACAGTTTATTGCATCTTTCTCTGTTTATCTGGTATGAGTATAAATGGGCTTACAATGAAAAAGCTCCCTTACCAAAGTGATGTAGGAATTATTGCTTAGAGCTATGAGACTGAGAGATAGTGGGATATAAACAAAGGTCTCTTCTAAGGTCTTTAAAGGAGCTGGAAAATACGTAGGTCATGCAGATGTTCCACTGCCGCCACCAGCCCCTCCTCCACCACTCCTCCCCTCCCCCTTGGGCCTCTTGCCTCCCTGCCCTCTGGTCTTGTCTTCATTCTAGGGAAAGTCTCCCTCCAACAGCAGGCTGATCCAGGCCCCCCTGGGGAGTGGGACCTTCTCCGTATTCAGTATTGGTGTCTGCATCAAGGATGGCATGACAGTGGAACATCCCTGAACATAAAGATTGGGAGAGTGAAAGGAAAATAAATCTCAGGACTTTAAAAGCACTAAGCCACAGGGAAAATTCATGCTGGGAATTGTCTTGGGCCAACCTGCCTCCTATTCTATTCCTAAATAAGATAGCTACAAAGATAAAAAAGCCATATACCCCCCTCACAATTATAAAAAAGCTATATACCTCCCTCACAACTATAAAAATGATATACACCTCCCTCCCTCTCTCACAAAAGGAAATTCCTTGTGGACAAATAACAGGCAGAACTCAAAGTCGTCCCTCTGCTCACACGAGACAATGCATACCTGATTTTTTTCTTTTTTTGCCCTATTGTTTCACTAAGCCAGACTAAGGCATAAGTGACTATTCCTGTAAATTGTGTATTCAGTGAAAAGCTAATCAGAAACTCTAAAGAATGTAACTGTTTTTTTCTTATCTGCCTGTGACCTGGAAGCCCCCTCCCTGCTTGGCGTTGTCCTGCTTTCCGGACTGAATCAATGTACATCTTACATATTATACAATGTACATCTTACACATATAGATTGAAGTCTCACGTCTCCCTAAAATGTATAAAACCAAGCTGTTCCCTGACCACCTTGGCTCATGTTGTGAGGACCTCCTGAGGCTGCGTCACAGGTGCATCCTTAACCTTGGCAAAATAAACTTTCTAAATTGATTGAGACCCGTCTCAGATACTTTCTGGTTTATGGGGACAAAAGCTTTTGAAGTCAGACTGACCTGGGCTTAAACTCTCTTCCACCTGCTGCACAATCCTGACCAAAGACTAGGCTCTCCCAATGTCAGCAGGTTCAATCAAATAAGTCCTGACCCCTTCAGGAAATGTTGCTACAGCCACAAAACTGGAAGCTGGGACTGGGATGGGGACCGAGGAGCCAAGTATTAGCCAGGTGAATAATCTGCTTTTTTCTGACTGCATCCAGTGAGACCGGGAGGAGCTAGTTTTACAGCAACAGTGGCAGCTGATTCCCCAGGACTTCTGGAAGGCTCCTGGGAGGCTGAGTCACTTCACCTCTCTCTGCCAAGAAAATGCTATCTTAGAAACACCCTCCCTCTCTCATCCTCCCCCCTCCCCCCATGGGAACAGCTAGTTGCAGGACTATTGCCATTGTCTTGGAGATCTTCCCTGTTGTGGTCAGGTCACCTGTGTGGATGTACACGTTGCTCTTAAAGCCAGTTAGTGGACATGCCAAAGGCACCAGAGCCTCTGTGGTCCTAGGAGATGCAGCACCCTTTTTCCTTTTGGGAGTGAGCAGCTCAAAGTGTTTGGAAAACAGTGCATTTCACTGAGAGGTTTCCACTGCAATGCACATGAGAGTTTGCCCCTGCAGCAGCGGTCCCCAAACTTTTTGGCACGAGGGATCGATTTCATGGAAGACAATTTCTCCAAGGACAGTGTGTGTGGTGGGGGGTGTTTTCAAAATGAAACTGTTCCACCTCAGATTATCAGGCATTACTTATGTTCTCATAAGGAGCATGCAACCTAGATCCCTCAGATGTGCAGTTCACAATAGGGTTCATGCTCCTACGAAAATCTAATGTCGCTGCTTGTCTGATGGGAGGTGGCACTCAGGTGGTAACGCTTGCTTGCTGCTGCTCACCTCCTGCTGTGTGGCCCAGTTTTTAACAGGCCATGGGCTGGTACCAGTCTGTGCCCCAGGGGTTGAGGACCCCTGCCCTAAGGGTTTAAAGGTTATATAATGCACTAAAATTAAAGTTTCTAATTTAAAAAACAAAATCCTACCACCACACTAGAGGCTTTCTTCAGATCTGGAGCACTCCTTTAGGCATGTGATGCTGAAGGTTGAGGACTGAAGCTACAAGAAATGGCGCATTATTTGATACACGTATCTGAGGCAGCAGAATAGGGTCTGGAGACAGGGAACCTAAGGTTGTTTCATGCCGACTTCCTAGGACTAAATTGAAAGGAAAACCCTAACTTTCCATGCTTAAGTAACAAAAGGACCAGAGGCTACTCCCTTTGACCTTGTCTGCACTGCAGATGGGAATTTGGCTGTTTGTAACCAATCAGACTGATTGTGGGCTACCACTTCAGTTACAGGAGGTGAGCATGAAGTGGCCAATGGGAAACCTCTAGGGGGTATTTGAACCCAAGAAGATTCTGTATTCGGGCCCTTGAACCGCTGCTCGGGTCTGCTCCCACACTGTGGAGTGTACTTTCATTTTCTTTTTTTTCTTTTCTTTTCTTTTTTTTTTTTTTTTTGAGACATAGTCTCGCTGTGTCGCCCAGGCTGGAGCGCAGTGGCACAATCTCGGCTTACTGCAACCTCCGCCTCCCGGGTTCAAGCGATTCTTCTGCCCCAGCCTCCAGAGTAGATGGGACCACAGGCGCCTTCCACCACGCCCGGCTAATTCTATTTTTAGTAGAGATGGGGTTTCACCGTGTTAGCTAGGATGATCTTGATCTCCTGACCTCATGATCCACCCGCCTTGGCCTCCCAAAGTGATGGGATTACAGGTGTGACGTACTTTCATTTTCAATAAATCCCAGCTTTCGTTCTTTTGTTGCTTCATTCTTTCTTTGCTTTTCTGGGCATTTTGTCCAATTCTTTGTTCAAAATGCCAAGAACCTGGACAACTTGCAGTCACAACCCTCTACTAGTGACATATCCAGATTTTGCCTTGTACTATCATAGGGGCTGAGCTGAAGACAAAGCCCTCACACCCTGCTAGGAAAGTTTGCCTCACATGCATAACTTCAGAGAAGAGCCCCGGGTGCTGGGTGACATGTGCTGAATGGAAGAGGTATGTCACCAAAGGTCACCTTCCTAGCTCTGTTCCCAGTCCTCCTCTCCTCACACCTTGCCACTTACTGCTCAGCTGTCCCCTGAGCTCCCTCTCAGGCTCTGGGCCACACTTGTGCTTAGTCCTTGGTGGGGAATTTCAGGTGACACAGCAAAAAATACAACTGGCTTCTATTCTACTCTGACTTTGTGACCCTGGGTATTAGTTGGGCTTCAGTTGTTCTTATAACTACACCTTTGCCCTGATGCCTTGTTATCAAGGCTGGTTTCCAGGGGCCTTGTGATACAGAGGAGAGAGCATGGGCTTTGGGTCTGGACAGACCTTTGCACAAGTGCTGGCCGTAAAACTTAACTAGCAATGTGTTCTTATGAAAGCTAGTTGGCCTCTCTGAGCCTCCATTTCATCAGGTGAATAACCATCCTGGCTGGTTGTGATGGGGCTTAGGACACATTATCCTAAGATATGATTGTAGGAGACCAGAATATGCCACCCCAAAATATGCCTCTTTGGCATAAGGATTATTTCGAGCTGTTTATTTTGAGAAACTGCAGATGCAGAGAAGCTCTGAAACTGTTACCCTTTTGTAAGAGAAATTTACATCTATAAAGGAAATCTCCATTTGTAAGAGTTTCTCTCTCTCAGCCCCAGGAAGAGAAGGGTGACCCTGAATCACTAGAGACTGAATTAATGGAGAAGGCAGGGACTTAAAACTGCATAAAAAGCCTTACCTTTGTTTAAAGTGCTTTTCCTGGCCTCCTAATCTTAACTGGGCCTTTCCCTAGGCCCTTCTCTCTTTGTATTGGAGAACGATGTTATTTAAGCCTGACTTCTAAGATAATACTTTGAAATCTACTCGAGATTTACCCATTTCTCTGAGTTTTCCCCCATGAACAGATGAGATATACATTATTAAACTTCTGTTTGTTTTTCTCTTGTTAATGTTAATCTGTCTTTTGTTAGAGGGAGTCCCAGCTAAGAATTCATAAAGAACTGTAGAAAGTAAAAAGTTTCCTCTTCAAAGTTTCCTTTGTTGTTGAAGAATAAATCGTAAGTGTTAGAAATAGTAGTTTCTTTTAAAGACTAACTTCCTTCAAGTTTCCTTGCTTTGTGCTAATAACTCTTTGTTAAGCCCTATCCTATGTAGCTGCTAAATATAAAGGAATAAGTACATTCTATGTCCTTGTACTTTAACCAAGATATTTGTGCAGGACATGCTCACAGGAACGTTCCAGCTTGCAGCCTATGTCCCTTCCCTACTTGGCATAAGCAACTTCCTCTTTTCCTTTGTTCTCCCTTGCCTTTACCTATTTAAAAAAAGTTTTAAACTGTTAGCCAATCAAATTCAGTTTAGATTGTGAAGTCTAGCTCCAGCCAATGGATGCAAGACACAGCAGTAAGGATGATCCAAATGCGTAAAGGATAAATATGTCTGCTTTTCCTTTGTTCAGTGTACTCTCGTAGCAAGACTGCTAGCAGGTGTACCCTTTCTGCAGAAAGTAAAAATTGCCTTGCTGAGAGAACTAAATTTATGTTCGAGTGCTATTTCTTTGCAGCACCACGGAACAAGCATTCTGTTTCTAAATAAACATTGTACATATAACAGCGTGGAGGAGAAAACTATTTTTCCCCCCTGCAGATCTAAACAGTAAAGGGAACTGAGGTGGGGTTCTCTTGGCAATGGTTCATGTTACCACTGTGAGTATTCTCCATATGCAGTCTTCTCTTGATGGAAACTTCATCCTGGCTCCTCTGGGATGGGGTCCCTGCCTCGTCCTGCTATTCTCCCTGGACTGAAAACTGCTCCTGGAACTTCGTTCCACCATGGCTCTTAGGTCTCCACCATGACAACAGCTGGCTTGGATCCCAAGCACTGCCTCCCTGGGCCCCACCATGGGCACTCATGTGGGGGACTCCCTGTTGGCTTCAGAGACCCTCTGACTGCATGGACTATCCCCTACTACTTGTCACTGGGGCTCTGGACGTTATGACGTCCCTGTCAAGCTCCTAGGGACTGTAAACCAAAAATAAAATTCAGACATTGCCCAACTGACGGGATGGACCCCCTCTTGGCCAGGATGACCCCAGAGGAACCTGAAAAATGGAATTCCCATCCATGACAAGAAGGGAGGCCAGACATGCCTCGTTATACCCCCTCCCTTCTGGAGTTTAGGCACAGCTAACCAGCATTGAGGTTAAAAATCACAAGACCTCTATTTTATAGACAGAACAGGCTCTTTGTGGCAATAAGATACCAATACCAAATTATAAACAAAACCTAAAGCCATGCAATGCAAGTCACACCCTACAAACCATAAAATCTCATTAAACAGGCTTTTAAAATTTATCTTGGTGTCATGTGGCTTACTTTCCAAACTGACTGTGGTATAACATCACATGACAGATAGCAGACCCTGGAGAAAATAAAAATATTTTACCCCCAAATATATGTCTTTGACATCTTTTGAAATGGCCCTGCAAAGCTGTCTTTTGAGGGGGAAATCTGCATCTGTAGAGAATCTACATGAATGCAGACAGGCCTTCACTTTCCAGACCTTTCTTAGATCTAGGAGAGATTAAGTAAGAGTCTGACACCTTAAGTTCTGAAAAGAGACATTTACAATCTGTCTTTCTGAAGCCTTCTACCGATAAGGCTTCATCTACATAACAAAGGCCTTGGCCTCCACAACCCGCTTTATCCTAACTCAAGCTTTCCTTTCTACTGACTTCAAGTCTTTAGACAAAGCTCAACTCTCTCAACCAATTGTCAACTAAAGAATCCCTAAAACCCATCTATGACTTGCAAGCCCCCACTTCAAGATGTCCTGCCTTTTCCTGCCTAACCAGTGTACACCTTCCATGTACTGATTTATGTCCTTTCCTGTAACTCCTGTCTCCCTAAAATGTATAAAACCAAACTGTAACCACCTGGGCCACACTTTCTCAGGACCTCTTGAGATTGTTTTCCAGGCAGTGGTCACTTATATTGGCTCAGAATAAACCTCTTTAAATATTTTACAGAGTTCTGTTCTTCTGTTAATAAGACCACCTATGGGCCAGGCCAATGGGCATATGCCTGATCTACCAATGGTGGCTGGATTACTGTCCCCAGGGTCCTCGTTCCTCCTCTTCCACACTAGCCCATGACCTCCTAAAGTCCAAGCTATCATTCAGACAAGTAAGAACATCAGGGAGGTCTCATAAAGAGTCTGGAACCCAACCCCTGTAAGGGTAGAGCTGCCACTGCATGTAGGGACAGCATTAGAAAGTGCTGGAGGCTGGGCGTGGTGGCTCATACCTGTAATCCCAGCACTTTGGGAGGCCAAAGCAGGCAGATCACGAGGTCAGGAGATTGAGACCATCCTGGCCAACATGGTGAAACCCCGTCTTTACTAAAAATACAAAAATTAGCTGGGCGTGGTGGCACATGCCTGTAATCCCATCTACTCGGGAGGCTGAGGCAGGAGAATCACTTGAACCAGGGAGTCGGAGGTTGCAGTGAGCTGAGATCACGCCACTGCACTCCAGCCTGGTGACAGAGTGATCGATACTCTGTCTCAAAAAAAAAAAAAAAGAAAAGAGAAAGTGTTGGAGATGGCACTCCATTCTTTCACTGGATGGGAATTGGGAAATGCCTAGTACCAGCCAGGCACTGTTGTAGGCCATGGGATAAATTGGTGAGTTAAAGAGACAAAAGGCCCTGCCTGTGTGGAGCTTGTATTTGACTGCGTATAGCGCACCTGGATATCCCCGTAACTAAAATATAAGAATAAGGCAAGAGAGGTAGGCTGGGGCCAGGTCTGGGGAGCCCTGAATGTCAGCAGAAGAATTTGTCTTTGAGCTGAATTACCAACAGTGGGTGAGATGAACCACTGCACATTTGTCAGAAGAGTGGAGAATAACAGGGCAAAATGGACTTTTAGAAAAATGTCTCTGACAAGAGAGGGTGGGTGAATAATGACAACAAAACCTTTGCACAGCATTTTCCAATTTATAAGAGGCTTTATCAGCTATCACATCTCACAATCCTCCTGGGCTCTGGGAGTCAAATAAAGGCTCCACTCAGAGACAAGCCTGGGCACTGAGGGAGGAACTAGCCTGGGGCCACAGGATGAGTGAGTGGAGAGCGGGGCCTCAAAGCTCTGCCTTGTGACATCTCATCTTCTAGTCTGTATATTTCCCTTTCCTAGCAAAGACTGTATTTACCAAACACAGTGCACATTTTCTCTTTAAGGAGGGTGTTCAACTTAAAATTATGGAAAGCTTTATTACAATGTTTGCAGAAAAATGTCAAGAGAGAAGAATACTACCAGTATTGCCTGGGGATTTTTTTCAAATACACATGGCCACCTTCCTCCCTCCCTGCTCCCGGATTTTGACAGTGTCACTTAGATGTGTCTAATTTGCAAGAGCTCCTGTGACTCTACTACCTACAGCCTTCACTGCAGCATGTCCAGCTAATTCCCCTCCTCTTCTCATTGAGAAAGTTCAGTCCTGGTGGTTTGGGCTGTGTGTTTAATTGAAAAAGCCCTAGAGAAAGAAGAGATGTTAATATAACACTCTTGATGAAACAAGACAAGGGGAATATGTTTCCCATTTGTAACACACAGAAAATCTAACAATGAGTGCTGGTGGGTTGCTTTCCTCAACTATCTCTGTCTACATGGATATCTAATATGCATCTCAAGCCCACCTCCAAAAACAAGTTCTTGATTATCCCAGCCTTAAATGTGCTCTTCCCCATCTCCGTAGATGGTAACTCTATTCTTTCAGGTACCAGACTGAACACCTAGAGGCATCCTTAATGATTCTTCACACTCCTCAGGTACAATCCAGCCAATGCTGAAATGCAAGCTGTCTAAATCCAGACAATGCTGGCTTCAAAATCTGCCCTGTCCTCTGACCACTTCTCAGTCTCCCACTGCTATCTTCCCAGCCTCAGCCACCAGTATCTCTTACCTGGTCTATCAGGTCTCCTGACTTCTATCTTACATTCTGCTCTCCACAGAGCAGCCAGAGAAACCTTTAAAAAACCTAAATCAGGGATGCACATGGTGGCTTATGCCTGTAATCCCAGCACATTGGGAGGCTGAGGCAGGAGGATCACTCTAGGCCAGGAGTTGGAGACCAGCCTGGGCAATATAGTGAGACCCTGTCTCCAAACAAAGAAGAAAATGAAAAGAACTCTAAATCAGATCACATCCCCTCTGCCAAACCTTCCATGACTTCCTTCTCCCACCATTGCCTCCTTTTCCCTTGGGTCCAGCAACCCTGGACTCCTGGCTCTTCCTCCTGCCCGCCCATCACAACCCTGCCTCGGGGCCTCTGCACTCCCTACTCCCACTGCCAGGAATGTGCACCCCCAGACATCTCTGGGCCTCTGGCTCTCCCTTCATCAGGCCTCCATTCCAGCATCTCCACAGTACCTGCTCATCTACTCCTCCCTAATCCCCTGTGTAACATCCTTTGCCATGCTCACTCTCTTTCCCTATTCCCTGTATTATTTCTCTTTACAGAATTTAACACCACTGAAAACAAACATACACTCCGTTAGTTTATTGTTCATTTCCTCTCACAACAAGGTACATTCCATGAGGACTTTGTTACGTTCACTACTACGTACCTCCCCACCACCCCCAACCATCCTTAAACAACTCCCCGCTACCCCCAACCATCATTAAACAATGCCCGGGACACAGCAAATTACTCAATAACTTTTGAGTGGATGAATGAGAGAATGTCATTGCTATCATTGTATGCAAATTCTTCAAATCTATTGACTTTCACATTTCATTAGTATGGACAACTTAAATGATGACCCATGAAGTTCAGGGTGCTTCAACAAAAGGCAGGCATTCATGTAGCATATGGAGCTTCCTGAACTCTGTCCACAATTTTCAAAGTCTATGTAGGCCGAGACTATGACTTTTTAGTAGTTATAAGGTGTGATTCTGGGTGAGGCCTTGGTTGGTGATATCCCTCCTCCCAAACACCTTTGGGGGGGTGGGTGGCAGTTTGAACTTTTACCGGGCACAAAAATCATTTAAAAAGTGACAAACGAAAACTGCATTTGCCAATAGAAGTAGTAAAGAAAAAATAATAGCTGCCATTTTTGAGAGCTTATCATTTGCCAGCACTTTTACTAAATATTCCTTTAAATATTTACTATAATGAAACTGGCATTAAATTTACTTTCCCAGGGTAAAAACTGAGCAATGGTCAACTGGACAATCAGGAGAAAGGAAAATGCAGAAGTCAGCGATCCTGGTTGCACTACATCTCTGAAGGTTTGAGGACCCAAGCTAGCCTCAAAATCAAGGAAGGCTGTCATAGGGCACCCCCATCATAGGCTTGGGCAGTCTTGATGGCATTATCACTGGGCTGCATGCTCTGTGCTTCATGTGGTCCCAATAGTTGGATCTCAGAGGTCTCTTTTCTTCAAGGGAAACTTGTCTGTTTGGACTGTGCTGATTTCTCATCATCTCTCTGTTCAATTCATTTCTCTACCTGCCCTCCCTCCAAGTCATCCACCCTCTCAGGGTCCTGAGCTCCTCTCTTGAAAGCAAGGGCAATAATGTACTTACCCTCTGGCTTGTCCTTTCCATCTTGGACATGGCTCGAAGGTCTCTCTGATCTATCTCTGTGGTCTCTGATTTTTTGCAAGCCATATGACTTACTGACATAGACTAAGACGTCCCTAACTAGTTCTTGTGTTTAGACCACTGGCCTTTGCCAAAACTTGGATTCCTAGTACTTTCAGTATAATCTATTACTTCATGTCTAAGCATTTTCCTGGGATTAAAAAGAGTTAGCTTGCTATCTAGCTCACTGTCATTTATTTATTTTGCCCACTCAGTTTCTTTATTTTATTTTATTTTATTTTATTTTTTGTTGAGATGGGGTCTGTCACTCAGGCTGGAGTGAAGTAGTGCAATTACGGCTCACTGCAGCCTTGACTTCCTGGGCTGAATAGATCCTCCCACCTCAGCCACCTGCATGAGCCACCACACCCAGCTATTTTTAAAAATTTTTTAATAAAGATGGGGTCTTGCCATGTTGCCCAGGCTGGTCTCAAACTCCTAGGCTCAAGCAATCCACCTGCCTTGGCCTCCCAAAGTGCTGGGATTATAGGTGTGGACCACTGTAGGTTCTTTATTTTTTATGACTTTGGGTGGGCTCATTCCCGACTGCACTCCTGATGAATGGTTACAGTCCAAGTGGCATATGACTCATGAACTTCAGAGATCCTCATGGACCTATGCAGGCTGAGTTTTGATTTCCTAGTCCAGTGGTTGCCAACCTGGGATGCATGTTGAAATAGCTTGAAGAGCATTAACCAATGCAGATGTCTGGGTCCTAGCCTCCAGGGATTCTGACTTAACTGGCCAGTGGTGAGGTCTGAGTATCACGGTTTTTCAGAGCTCCACAGGTGAGACCCTGATCCAGTTTGTCTACATATCTAATCCCAGGAAGCTCTCACAACAACCTGTTCCATTTCCCCCTTTTGTCTTGAGCTGCATTTTACTGTGTCTATAAATATTGTCCTAGCAAGACCCAGTTAGCAGTAAGACTTGCTCTTTTTAAAAAGAGCTGGTCCATTTTTTACCCAAAAGTTATAATAAGTTAATATAACTACACTTAATAAATTCAAATATGAGAACCTTAAAGCAAAAAAAAAAAAATCCATACAGAAAGCACATAAATGTGAATAAAGCACAAAAGGAATAAAATCAGAGCCCTTCAAAGTTTCACATTATAAGACCTGGGGCAGTCCTGGCTCTGCCACTTGCCAGATCTGCAACCTTGGGTGTTTCTTAACCTTTTTCCTCCACAATTTCCTCATTAATAACATCAAATGTAAATTATATGATTTCCCATGTTTGTTGTGGAAAGAAAATGGAATAATACTTGTAAATGTACCTCATAAGGTTATTATTTTATTAAGAATAGAATAAAAATTATTTCAGGGAAGGGAAATTGGGGAGATGTTGGTCAAAGGATACATTTGACAGGATACATTAGATAGAAAGAATGAGTAAGTTCAAGTGATCTATTGTACAACAGGGTAACTGTAGATAATAACAAGGTATTGATCTTGAAAATTGACAAGGGAATAGATTCTTTCTTTCCCTTCCTTCCTTCCTTCTGTTTCTGTCTTTTTTTTTTTTTTTTTTTTTTGTAGAAATGGGTCTCACTTTGTTGCCCAGGCTGGTCTCAAACTCCTGGGCTCAAGCCATCTGCTGGTCTTGGCCTCCTAAATTGCTAGGATTATAGGCATAAGCCACTGCACTTGGCCCCAAGAGAATAGATTTTAAGTGCTCTCGCCACAAAAAAATAAGAAGTGTGTGAGATAATGCATATGTTACTTAGCTTGACTTAGCCATTCTACAATGCACACATATTTCAAAACAACATGTACATGATAAAGAAATATGATTTTCATTTGTCAATTAAAAAATGTTTAAAAAAGAAAATTATTTCAGATCTGGGAAAAACAGTCCTCCCATTTCCTATAAGATTACCTGTCACTAGGCAGCCTGCAGAGAACCAGGTGAGAAGGGTCCCCGCCCCACGGTCCTGCTTTAGAGTCACGTATCTCAAACACAGGAGAGCCCTGCTGCTGGAGACCCCATTATTAGCCCAGGCCCCTGACTCAATCCCCACATCTCTACTTCCCTTGTCCTTGAATCAAAGGGCAGACGCATCCTGGTGCTGGGAAGAGGTGTGGCTGTTCCACTCCTGACACTCAAGGCAGCCGCAGCTGGGGGAAGATTTCAGAAATGACACGCTCAGGTAGGAGAAATGACAATTTAATTAACTTGTCAACTGTTTCTCTCAGAAAACATGGAGGAAATAGATTGCTGCATTAAAAAAGCATCCTTTCCCAGCTGTGTCCAGTCTTATGTTTTTCCTCTTCCAAGTCAAGGTCCTACTTTGGGGTCCCACTTTGAGGGACGTTTTGCAATATTGAACAATATATGTTACTCTTACATCGATATATCTGTAGGTCTAAATCAGTGCTTGGTAAACGTTTTGGTTTCAGGACTGACCAACAATCTTGAATATTATTGAGGATGCTAAAGAACTTTTATTTATGTGGCTTATATCTATCAGTATTTATTATGTTAGAAATTAAGGCAAAACATGCAAACTATTTATATTGGTTCATTTGAGAACAATAAGAAACCCATAAAATGGATAACATATTTTATGCAAAATAAATACATTTTCCAAAATTAAAAAAAGTGAGAATTATGGCATCATTTAACATTTCTGAAAATGTCTTTAAGAGCTGGTTTAACAGAAGACAGCTGGATTCTCACACATACTTCTGACTTCAATGGGTTGTGATTATCACACTTCATGGAGCTTCTGAAAAACTCCGGTGTTCACTCGTGAGATAATGAGAGTGAAAAGGTCAAATAAAATCTTAATATTGCAATGAAATTAGTTTTGATTAGTTTTGACCTTACAGACCTTACTGAAGGCTCTGGGGGCCTTCCAGGGGTCCCCAAACTGTACACCGAGAATTTCTTTCTTTCTTTCTTTTTTTTTTTGGAGATAGTCTTACTCTATCACCCAGGTTGGAGTGCAGTGACAAGTGACATGATCTCGGCTCACTGCAACCTCTGCCTCCCAGGTTCAAGCAATTCTCCTGCCTCAGCCTCCCGAGTAGCTGGGATTACAGCTGCTTGCCACTGCGCTCAGCTAACTTATGTATTTTTAGTAGGGATGGGGTTTTCCCATGTTGGCCAGGCTGGTCTCGAACTCTTGACCTCAGGTGATCTGCCTGCCTTGGCCTCCCAAAGTGCTGGTATTACAGTCGTGAGCCACCGCACCCAGCCAACACTGGGAATTTCTGTTCAAGATATGCTGTGAATATCATGCTGTGAAGCATAATATTGATTCTATACATTGTCAGTTAGATGACTGTTGGATGCTAGAGAGGCAAATGGTCTTATAATAATATTTAATAAAATATAATTATTGAAAGTGTTTAAAATCAGCTTTATTAGTGACTTGCATTTAAATTTGGTATTTTATTTAACAATTTTAAAAGATATATTTAATGATATCTATTTATTATATTTTCTTGAACAGTTTGTGTCTCACTTTATAACTTCCAAATACTTAATCATATGTTCGGTCTCTCTTCTTATTCTTGCTCTGCTCTGGGCCTGGCATGTAGTGGGATTTGAGACAGCCTGTGAACACTGAACACTAGGCAAGAAACATGCCCATAGGGGCTGGAAACGACTTTACAGAAGGCAGATCTGACCCTTGTCGCCAGCTCCTGTCATCCGGATGGCATCACAGGGAAGGAAGTTCTCAGCAGATGAGTGAAGTCAGCGAAAAAGAGTGTGATGCGGGGCCCTTGCCACAGCAGCCCTTGCCTTGTCCTGCCACCTGCCTTTCCTCCTGCTCTGTTCATTAAAGTGATGCACCAGCCACTGAACTGGGTTTGCCCATTAAGCATCCTGGCTGGAGGGACATAAGTGACCCATGCACACAGCCGTAAGAGGCACATTCAGTGATCTAAGCTGAGCAAGACATTGCTCCTGCTGTAAATACATGTCCTTCAATCTAGCAGTAGAAATTAGACCTGTAACTAAATAGCTGCACAACTAATATCTGAGGCAGAGTGCAATAAAGTCACATTGCTCTATGACAGCTGGAAAGGAAACACAGTTAAGCTGGATGAGGGACTCGAAAAAGGCTCATGGAGAGAGTGTCAGACATGTTGGGACTTAAAGGATGCAGGGCAGGACTTTGAGTTCTTGCACATGCAGGATGCCATAAGAATCCAATTCTGAGCTAAGCATGGTGGCTCACACCCATAATATTAAATCCCAGCTACTTGGGAGGCTAAGGCAGGAGGATTACTTGAGGCCAGGAATACAAGAGACTAGCCTGGGCAACATAGTTAGACCTTGTCTCTCTAAAAAAAAAAAAAAAAAAAAAAAAAAGAAAGCAAAGAAAGAGAACAGAAAAAGAAAGAGGAGGATCTAATTCTGAAGGCAGAGCTAGAAGAGGCTTAGCAAGCAGTCTGGTTGTTAGCTGCAGTGCATTTGAGGGAGAGTGGACTGAGAGAAAGAAGAGCTGAGGCTGGAGAGGAGGCTACAGACTTGAAAGAGCTTGTGTTTGAAGTCAGGTCTGGGTTTAAACTCCAGCTCTCCCCTTGCTATTGTGATATTGCACAACTTCTGAATAACAGGTTTTCTATCTGTAAATGAGGAATAATTGTATTTCCACGATAAAGTTGTTTGAAAATCAGGGCTAATTCATGTATAGAGCTTGGCACACAGCAGGTGTCCACCCAATGTCAGCTATTGTTGGACACCAGCTGTGGAGAGCCTGGTGCAACAAGTCGCAGAGAGGGGCTCAGTCTGCAGGAAACAGGAGATAGGAGATGCCGTTTTGGAGCTGAGCCTGAGACAGTGATGGCCATGACGCAAATGATTCGGGCTGGGGCTTCCTGCAGTGACAGGGCCAAAGGCTGCTGAAGGGACTCTCAGCAGTGCTCTTTGCCACTTGCTTGGGTGGGCGGAGGTGAGGGGTGCAGAACTGCTGTGATGAGAAGCAGCGGGTCAGAAATCGCCTCACCTCCACTCCCCCAGTCAATGAGTGCAGGATCCTAGAATCTTAAGCCATCAAAAATCTTAAATGCCAATTTTCATGGGGGGAGAAACAGCCCCAAACAAAACGGGAAAAGAGAATACTGTGTCGGGAATGCATGAAAACCTCAGCATTTGGGTTACATTTCCAGTCTTCCTCTAACTGGAGACTTCCCCTCTCTTAACTGCCTTCTCCCTGTTCCTCAAACCCATTTGCTCCTAGTGAGCAAGAGTGTTATTGTCCACCTGAGGATATAGTTGGCTGGGGTTCTTTTCTTCAAGTGTCTCAAAGTGTTCTTTTCTGGCAGTGTCTTGAGGTCCTTTGTGTGTTCGTTCTCTTTCCAACAAAGTTGTAAAGGGAATGAGCCGAGATCCATTTCAGATCACAGAAACGGGGTGCTGGCTTTCTCATTGTACTGGGATTATCACGAGTACTCATCCTCCTCTCAAAAGTCTTCTAAGTGTGCTATTGTGCTCTTGCTTAAATTTGTAAAACTTTTTCTCCTTGTATTTCTGCTCACCAGGAACTACAATTCATCAAATAAAAGACAAGCTGGCAAAACTTGTCTTACGTCTCAGTGGCCTGGGATTGAGGTAACTTAGGTTCTAGTTGTCATTCTGCAGTTAACTAGCTGTGTGACTCGGCATTTTAATCGCCCTTTTTTGGAGTGGATTGCTATTTCCTAGAGTAAATTTGGACCAAATCCACAAGGTCCTGCCCCTCCCTGACACTGGACGGGTAAGGTCACAGGTGTTCAGTGGTGGAATCGCCACTCCATCTTGTGACCCTGCACTCCTGCACGATGCTATTTCCATGAGGATCTTGGATTAAACCAAAAGTGCAGATGGGCTCTGTCACCACTGGTGTTACCTAGAGGAGGCACTCTCTCCTTGGAGCATCTGACTCCTTTGGGAAAAGGTGATAAGAATTCCTAGTCCTGACCCAGCATCTGGGACAGAGATTTATCAGAGGATCCAGGGTCCCTTCACTCACCACTCCCTTTCCATGCTGAGACCACCCCAATCCCATTCTGACCTTCTCCTCTTCAGCCTCCCCAGTGAGCTGTGAAGACCATCTGTCTTCAGCAGATGCTCTGTCTCAGAAGATGGTCTAACTCAGAAGAGTTCCCCAGTGAAGGGAGCTCTTGGTGATTCTTGACCAAGGGGAAAGGCCCACTGAGCATCTACTGTAATAGTCGCTGCACTGCTGTGGTTTAGACAAAACAAGCAATGGTCCCTGTTCTCAAGCAACATAGAGTTTCAGGGAGACAGTCAAGGAAACAAATACACCAATAAAAATATACTTACAAATTACTATACCCCATGAAGGAAAAAAATCAGGTGCCATAAGAGAATCAAGGTGGGAGATATTTTGGAGAAGGTGGCAGAGGAGCTATCTGCAGAGAAAACACATCAGCTTCAGAACAAATGAAATGGGGACAAGGAGGGCGCACATTCTAGGCAGACGCATAGCCTGTGCAAAGGTATGAAGATGGGAATTCCCAACAGGTTCAAGGAACTAAGTGAAGACTAGTGAGGCCCCAGCATAGTAAAAAAGAAGAGCGTGGATGGTCGGGTTAGGCTCTAGATGAGGCAGAACCTTGCAGCTCACCGAGAGGATTTGCAATTTGGCCTAAATGCCATGGGACACTTTAGAGGGCAACAGGATCTGATGAAAGTGCAGGGCCTCTGGCTTATGAACAAATATTTTATTTAAAATGCTTCTTCTCACTCAATTGAAACTGTAAGGTAATCCCTCCCACACCCTAAAAAAAAGGACACAGAGAAGCATTTTGCTTTGTCTGCTACTTGTTCAAAATTAGTTCATAAAAATAAAACTTATTCAGTCAGTTCATTATCACAGAGTCCCCACAGCTGGAAGGGGAATGCCCTTACACATAGCACAAATTGAATACCCAACCTCAAGCCCACACCAAATGTTGAATCTGAAATAAATGGGTAGGAAATATAATCTAACCCAGCTCAAAGAAATAACACTGTCCTTGCTCTCAATCACTGAAAACTGCTGGATGTATTCATTTATGCAACTGACTTCCTGTAAGCCAGGGACTATGCTAGGCACTCCAGATACAGCAGCAAACACAGACAGAAATTTCTGTCCTCACAGAGCTTGAATCCTAATGGGGAGGAGACTACAAACAAGACAGTTAGGTAAATTATAATCTATATTAGAAAGGGATGAGGGTGTGGAGTGTGAGGCAGGGAAGGGAGTTAGGGAGCGTGGGTGGTTGCAATTGTAAATGCGGTGGTCAGGAAAGACCTCCTAGGGGTGACTTAGGAGGAGGAGGAGAAGTGACAACTTAGACCTCAAGGGAAAAAGCACTGGAAGCAGAGGGGAGACCAAGCCTGACACCCTTAAGCAGGTGCACCTGGGGAGTGGCAGGGAGGCCATGTGACTGGAGTGGAGAGAGAGGAGGGGAAGGGGAAAGAAGGCAAAAGGGGGATCAGATCACATAGAGCCTCGGAGGCCATGGTTGGGGCTCTGGGAGCCATCTGAGGCTCTGAACAGGGAAGTGACATGTTCCATGCTTTGAGAAGGCCCATGCTGGGGTCTGTGATGAGAACGGGCCGCATGGGTGGGAACAGGAGGAGCAGGTGGGAAGCCGCTGCAGTGATGGGGGAGCTGCCGCTTGCTAGAACCAGGGTGGGAGCTGCGGATGTGCCGAGAGACGATCAGATTCCAGATCTATTTTTGAGGCTAGAGGTTTGGATGTGGGGTGCAGAGAAAGGATGAGTCAAGGATGACACCACAGGTTTTGGCCGGAGAAACAGGAAGGAGGGAATCGCTGTTCACTGACATGAGGAAGATTGAAATGGCTGATGATCAGATAAGGATGTTGGCTGGAATATTTTAAGTTTGAGATGCTTATAAGACATCCCAGTTGAAGACCTCAAGCAGGAGCTGAATATTCAGGGGAACATTCAGGGGCAGGGTCTGAAATGGGCATATACATTTGGGGGTCACCTGCCAATATATGTTATTTCAAGTCACAAGAGTAGATGCGACCACCAGGAAGGGTATGGATAGCAGGAGAGGGCCAGGTCTGAGCCCAGGGGCAGCCCACAGTTAAAGGTCTGGGGGAGTCAGGGAAAGAGCCCAAGAAGGAGCACGAATTTGGAAAAAGAAAACAGGGAATGATGACTTCCTGGAAGCACATCAAGCTGCATTTCCTGGGAGGTACAGTCAACCGTGTCCAGCACAGAAGATGAGGGCTGAAAATGGGCCAGGGGAATTTCCAAAGTGGAGATCCTTGGTGGTTCTAACAAGAACAACTTTACTGAGGGAGTAGGAAGGAACTTCAGGCAGTCCAGATGCTTCTTGGAAGAAGTTCTGCTGGAAGAGGGGAGAAGACAATGTGTGGTAAATGGAGAAGGAAGTGGGAGATGACAAGATCTGGGAGAAATTGCTGGTGGATGCCTACGGAAATGGTCTAACTGAGGGAGAGAGAAGCTGCTGGAAAGACATCCTAGCAGGTGGCAAAGGGCAAGGCCTGGTGTGCAGGTGGGTCCCAGTCATGGCGGAGAATACAGTCATGGGTTCTTAGTTTCTATTTTTGGTTGGGCCAGTAAAGCCCCTTCCTCATCCCTCTTATCTGCTTATCAGTACAGACAGAAACGAAAAACCATGGCTTCAGGCTGCTAAACACCTAAAACAAAACCAAACGGAACAACAACAACAAGATAAGGTGGGTTTCACAAGCTTGGACATGCGGGCCGTTCACCTGTCATATAAAGGCAGGGAGGCAGCGTCATGGCGGCAGGTGGCAGTGGGAGTCAGTGGAAGCTCTTTTCTGATCCCTGCAATTGTCTCAACAAAGTGTGAAGTAGGGTCATCCATTGCCTGAGTAGGAGGATGGAGAGGAGATAAGGGAGGTTTGTTCATCTTCACATTTTACCTAATGAATGAACTGATTTCTCTTTCACATATATTATAAAATCTGTTCTTACATTAGATAGAGAAAGAAGAGGAGGACTAGAGAAAGGAGGAGACCAAAGAGCCCTGAGCATCCTGAAAATCCAAGAGAAAACCCAAATGAGGCTTCTGGCCAACACTGAGAAGATCCAACACATTTCTGAGTACAAATATAATCTGGCGAAGTGGGATTAGAGACGCCTGTATTTCTGCTGAACGCACTTTCTAAGCTCCGTGAGTGAAGGAGGGTTGCAGAGCATTCTGTATGGTTCAGGTGGTTGACTTCACTTTAGGAAAAGTAAAACTAAGAAAACAGAGAAGCTGGAGCATGTGCCAAATAAAGAACTTGCTCCTCAGGAGACAGGAAAGCTGAGCTAATTTTGTACGTACTATAAATCGTCAGTCAGCTTCAGTTTCAGATCTAGTTTCAAACCTGGAGTGTGCCAGTGGACAGGGAAGACTGCATTGGCCTAAAGCATTTAAACTTGCAAAAATAAATAGTATCATCAAATAAATAAGGCACATTTTATCAGGATTAGGCATAATTTATAATGACATAAAGATGATGGAATTCCACATGACACAGGAAAAGAACAGGCTACTTATGATTTTTAAAAGTAATTGTAATGTGAATTTCTACCTGCATTTTATTTTGACCAGTATCTTATTACCTATATATTTTTTAAAATGTAGTCTCTTTTTAAATTCTACAAACGACTGTGTGAGAAACTTATCCTTTTAAAATCAATGCCATACTGGGACCAGCATCACTGGAGGTCTCTATTTACTTGCTGGGACATAAGGGGAATTCTCAGGGGACCCCCACACACAAAGAGCTTATGAGTCTTGACATGGAAATCAATGTCCCTGGCCTTTTAGTAACTCTAAAGAACAGGCTATGCTAGGAGTCAGTCTGCTAGATTGATCCAAAATAAACTGTCCCTGGCATAGTTGTTATGTAAGATCATTTCTTACCATTTCTGATATCCCTTACACAGACAAGAAAAAAAATGAAAAGGTCACATCTTCCCACTGGGCCCCCATCAACAGGAACCAGAGCAGAGCCATCTGATAAGGGGCCTTCTGCACAATTGATTCTTTAAACCTCCTTATTCCTTAAACCTCTGCCTCTGTCTTCCAGTACAAGTATTGAATGCCATACACTATAATAGATCTCAATGTATGAAACAATTTTAACCACAAAAATCTAGTAAGAAAATTCAATAAGAGCTGACACTATAAAACACCATAAATCACCAGAGGTGGCCTGTGGATCAATTAGCAGGATATTGGCAAAACTCTGTAAAGCATTTGATTGAATAAACCCACAGCCACCTATCCAGCAAATTAACAATGACTGAAATTGTTGCAGGGAGTGAGTGGGGGAGGGTGGGAGGGTAGTGTGTGTGTGTGTGTGTGTGTGCGTGCGCATAAGAACAGACTACTTGGTGAGTAAATAGTGGAGGAAGATAGTGTGGATGAATTAATGACCAGGCTTCAAGGCAGCTCCGTAATTTGGGGAGGTGATTAGTGCATTTGCATCTACATTACTCTCCCTCACCCCTACTTTTCTAAAACTTAATACCATTTCTTCCATATTCACAGTTTTTATGATAAAAACAATGCTTACTAATTACAAGTAGTTTATAACAAATTTTTTAAGAAGCATTCAGAGAAAACCAAAAACCACCTCAAGCGTCATCACCCCAAGATAAGCACTATTATTATATTAGAGATTTCCTTCCATTCTATTTTCAATGCATGCATGTGTATTTTTCAGCCAACAAATACTATGCTGCATATACCATTAACATTGTGATTTACTTATGTAACATTATGTTATGAGAGATTTTTATTTTATTAAATAGTCTTAGGAGAATTCTTTCATAAAGGCTACACATTATTCCATATTATGGTATTACTAAATAGGATTTCAAGTAAACTTTTTGTTGGATTTTTAAAGATATTCTTAATTTTACACTATTTTAAATATATATATAATGCTGCAAATGAACATCTGTATAGCTTATTCCTTGCACCAATTTCTGAGTACTTTGCTCTGTTATTCTCTGAGGACCCTGATAACTCAGTGACACCATGGATGCTGAGCACCAAACTGCTTGCAAAGCACACGTAGAGACCCCTGGACACTTCCCTCTGCACTGAGTGCCCGTCTCAGGACATCTTCAACAGCATTGAGTTGTATAGTTTTTAATTTTTTTAATATGATAGGCAAAATGACAGTACTTTTCATTAGTTTGTGGTTTGTTTTCTAGCATGAGTAAATATCTTCTCATTGATTTCACAGTCTTTTTAAAGTTTTTACATGTCCTCACGTGTGACTCACATCTATCACATTGGCTGGTACACCATAGGTGCTCAATAAGTGTGTATCAAATAAAAACAATAAATGGAGAGATAGTTCGTGTCTATTTTTGTAATAGGATTTTACTGCGCGCTCTCTCTCGCTCTCTCTCTCTCTCTCTCCCTCCCTCCCCCGGGGCGTTCCTGAGTTTATTTGGGGCACACCCGGGGCGAGGAACCTGCACCTAAAAGAAGATGTTGGGCCTCTTGGTGGTGAAGCGTGGCCCGGCGGCACTTGTTGGCTGCGATCTCCTCCACCTTCATGATCTGGATGCAGTGGGCCTGGGTGCGGTGCCGGCCCATGGTGGTCAGGTCCCAGTATTCCCTGTATGTGTTGTGGGTGCAGCTCCGGGAGTCATAGAGCAGCCAGACGCTGAAGTTCTTTACCCGCAGGGGGACCTTCTCAAACACCTGTCCACAGTAGACAATCCAGCCTGAAGTCATCTTCATCTTCTTTAACTGAGATACAAAGTACCAGAAGCGGGACTTGGCGACGACATGATTTAGGCGCAAAGATTCGCATGCAGTAGAGGGGCAGTGTGTGGCATTTGGGGGTGGGCAAAGAGAGACCACCACCTTGTACTCTTTTAGTGCACCCGAGGCCTTCATGGCGTCCTTTCCGTGCCTGCCGCCACCCGCGCTTTTCTCCAGCACTTTGGGAGGCCGAGGCGGGTGGATCAACTGAGGTCAGGAGTTCGAGACCAGCCTGGTCAACATGGCAAAACCCCGTCTCCACTAAAAATACAAAAATTAACTGCGTGTGGTGGTGCGACCTGCAATCCCAGCTATTCAGGAGGCTGAGGTAGGAGAATCGCTTGAACCCGGGAGGTGGAGATTGCAGTGAGCCGAGATTGTGCCACCGCACTCCAGCTTGGGTGACAGAGAGACTCCATCTCAAAAAAAAAAAAAAGAATCATATTTTACAACTTCTGTCATATATTAAGGGAAAATGGGAAATTATCCACCGTTGTTGTAAATATGACACAATTTCCCAATATTTGCTTATCTTTTTATTTTGCTTATTTTTTTAACTTACAAAACTTCAACATTTTATATTGTCAAATATCCTGATTTCTTTTCCATTGTTATCATTCTGTTATTTTAGGCTTAAAAGATTTCTGTCTCTAACTTATTTATCCATATTTTCTTTTGAGTTTTTATGATTTCATACTTTATGTTTCACTCAAATCTATCAGGGATTGAGGTATGGGTAAAAGAGGAAATATATCTTAAAGTTTTTTTCAAAGTAGTTAACTAATTGTATTAGTAATACTTATTGTTTAATATATTCTTTACTCAAATATTTTTTATTCTATCACTATTATTTACGAAATTTATATTAGGGTCAATTTCTGTTCAATTTATATAGTTCCACTAATCTGTCATTATGTTGCTGCACTCATACCATTTCAATCTATTTATTTATTTATCTTTATTTTTTTCAACTTTTAGATTCAGGGGTACACGTGGAGGTTTGTTGCTTGGGTATATTGTGTGATTCTGAGGTTTGGGGTACACGTGTTCCTGTCAACCAGGTACTGAGCATTGTACCCAGCAATTAGTTTTTCAACCCTTGCCCCACTCCCTCCATCCCCCTTCTAGTAGAACCCAGTTTCTACTGTTGCCATCTTTATGTCTGTGAGTACCCAATGTTTAGCTCCCACTTGTAGGTAAGAACATGTAGTATTTGGTTTTCTGTTCCTGCACTAATTTGCTTAGTATTAATGGCCTCCCGCTGCATGCATGTTGCTGCAAAGGACATGATTCATTCTTTTTTATGGCTGCCTAGTATTCCATGGTGTATATGTACCACATTTTCTTTATTCAGTCCACAACTGATGGACACCTAGGTTGAATACATGTCTTTGCTATTGTGAATAGTGCAGCGATGATCATGCATTTGCCTGTGTCTTTTTGGTGTAACGGTTTGTTTTCTTTTGGAAATACACAGAGTAATGGGATTGCTGGGACAAACGATAGCTCTGTTTTAAGTTCTTTTGGAAATCTCCAAACTGCTCTTCACAGTGGCTGAACTAATTTACATTCCCACCAGCAGTGTATAAATGTTCCCTTTTCTCCACAGCCATGCCATCATCTGTTTTTTGACCCTAATAATAGCCATCCTGACTGATGTGAGATGGTATCTCATTCTGGTTTTGATTTGCATTTCTCTGATGATTAGTGACACGGAGCATTTCTTCATATGTTTGCTGGCTGCTTATATGTCTTCTTTTGAGAAGTGTCTGTTCATGTCTTTTGCCCATTTTTTAATGGGGTTGTTTTTTGCTTGTTCAATTAAGTTTTTATAGATTTTAGATATTAGACTTTTGTTGGATGCATAATTTGCAAATATTTTCTCCCATTCTGTAGGTTGTCTATTCACTCTGTTGATAGTTTCTTTTGCCATGCAGAAGCTCTTTAGTTTAATAGGTTCCACTTGTCAACTTTTGTTTTTGTTGCAATTGCTTTTGAGGACTTATAAATTCTTTCCTAAGGCTGATGTCCAGAATGGTGTTTCCTAGGTTTTCTTCTAGGATTCTTATAGTTTGAGAATTTAAATCTTTAATCCATCTTGAGTTAATTTTTGCATATGGTGAGAGATAGGGATTCAGTTTCATTCTTCTGCTTGTGACTAGCCAGTTTTTCCAGTATCATTTATTAGGGTCTCCTTTCCCTATTGTTTATTTTTGTCAATTTTGTTGGAGATTACATGACTGTAGGGGGGTGGCCTTATTTCTGGGTGCCCTACTCTGTTGCATTGGTCTGGGTCTGTTTTTGTAGAAGTACTGTGCTGTTTTGGTTACTGTAGCCTTATAACACAGTTTGAAGTCAGGTAATGTGATGCCTCCAGTGTTGTTCTTTTTGCTTAGGATTTCTTTGGCTATTCAAGCTCTTTTTGGTTCCATATGAATTTTAACATAGTTTTTTCCAATTCTGTAAAAAATGACACTGATAGTTTGATAAGAATAGTGTTGTATCTGTGGATTGCTTTGTGAAATACGGCCATTTTAATAATACTGATTCTTTCAATCCACGAGCATGGGATGTTTTTCTATTTGATTCCGTCATCCATGATTTATTTTATCAGTGTTTTGTAGTTCTCCTTGTACAAATCTTTCACTTCTTTGGTTAGATGTATTCCTAGATATCTCAATTTTTTAATCTATTGTAAATTGGATTGCATTCTTAATTTGGCTCTCAGTTTGAACATGTATAGAAATGCTACTGATTTTTGTCCATTGATTTTGTACCCTACAACCTTGCTAAAATCGTTTATCAGTTCTAATAGCCTTTTGACAGAGTCCTTAGGGTTTTCTAAGTACAGAATCATATAATTCGGGAAGAAAGAGTTCGACTTCTTCTTTTCCTGTTTGGATGCCCCTTTCATTTCTTTCTCTTGCCTAACTGCTTTGGCTAGCACTTCCAGTACTATGTTGAATAGGTGAGAGTTGTATCCTTTTCTTGTTCCAGTTCTCAAAGGGAATATTTCCAGTTTTTGCTCATTCCATATGATGTTGTCAATTACTTTTTAAACATACATTAATGTTCAATGTGGATGTACATACATCCACACTTCTTTCCCCAAAGTTTCTTGGTTAAGTTTTCCACTCAGTCTTCTAGATAATTTGTGGAATTTTAGAATGAAATATATATACATACAACACATGTACATCAAATTATATAAATCTATCTCCTTGACATTTTTAGATTTGCATTAAACCTGTATATTAATTTGTAGAGAAGTGAAGTTATCTAAAGCTCAGTGTTTCCATCCAGCCACATGATGTACCTCTCAATTTCTTCCCATCTTTCAGGTCCTTTAGTGAAATTTTATGGTTTTCTTCAGAGAGTTTCCACATACTTCTTTTCAAAGTTATCTCTAGGTACTTTATAACTAAGATTTTCTTACTTTCATATTTTCCAATTTGATATCACTGGTGTAAGTGAAATCTATTGATATCTACCATACTTATTTTGTATATTGCCACATTATTTAACTCTTTTTAATTCTAATAATATTTAAGTTGAATCAGTGCAATTTTTTAGTTCAATAATTAAACATCTGCAAATGCTATATTGATTTTTTCTAATACCTTGGTTTGTTTTGGTAGAGTTTTTGCCAGCCCCTGAGATGGTCTCAATTATCCTTACCACCTGATGTTCACAGCATTATGAAGTGCCCTTCCACACTGAACCAGAGCTTGTCAGTGTGACCAGTAGA